>NC_000013.11:16882173-17182173 GCF_000001405.40 Homo sapiens
CAAATCTAGACAGAGAAGCATTCTCAGAAACGTCTTTGTGATGTTTGCATTCAACTCATAGAGTTGAACATTCCCTTTCAGAGAGCAGCTTTGAAACACTCTTTTTGTAGTATGTGCAAGTGGATATTTGGAGCGCTCTGAGGCCTACGGTGAAAAAGCAAATATCTTCCCATAACCACTAGACAGAAACATTCTCAGAAACTCCTTTATGACGTATGCACTCACCTAACAGAGAAGAACCTTCCTTTTGACTGAGCAGTTTTGATACACTCTTTTTGTAGAATCTGCAAGTGGATATTTGGATAGCTGTGAAGATTTCGTTGGAAACGGGAATATCTTCTTATAAAATCTAGACAGAAGCATTCTCAGGGAACTGCTCTGCGATGTCTGTATTCAAGTCACAGAGTTGAACATTGCCTTTCATAGAGCAGGTTTGAAACGCTCTTTTTGTAGTATATGGAAGTGGACGTTTCGGACGGTTTGAGGCCCATGGTGATAAAGGGAATATCTTCCCCTACAAGCTAGAAAGAAGCATTCTGTGAAACTTGTTTTTGATGTGTGTACTCAACTAACAGAGTTGAACCTTTCTTTTTACAGAGCAGTTTTGAAACACTCTTTTTGTAGAATCTGCGAGGGGATATTTGGATAGATTTCAGGATTTCGTTGGAAACGGGAATATCTTCATATAAAATCTCGACAGAAGCATTCTCAGAAACTTCTTTGTGATATGTGCATTCAAGTCACAGGTTTGAATATTCCCTTTCACAGAGTAGGTTTGAAACACTCTTTTTGTAGTATCTGGAAGTGGATATTTGGAGCGCCTTGACGCCTAAGGTGAAAAGGGAAATATCTTCCCATAAAAACTAGACAGAAGCAATCTCAGAATCTTCTTTGGGATATATGCACGCAGCTAACAGAGTTGAACCGTTCTATTGACAGAGCAGTTTTGAAACAGTCTTTCTGTGGAATCTGCAAGTGGATATTTGGATAGCTTGGAGGATTTCGTTGGAAACGGGATTACATATAAAAAGTAGACAGCAGCATCCTCAGAAACTTCTTTGTGATGTGTGCATTCAAGTCACAGAGTTGAACATTCCCTTTCGTACAGCAGTTTTGAAACACTCTTTCTGTAGTATCTGGAAGTGAACATTAGGACAGCTTTCAGGTCTATGGTGAGAAAGGATATATCTTCAAATAAAAACTAGACAGAAGCATTCTCATAAACTTGTTTGTGATGTGTGAACTCTGCTAACAGAGGTGGATCTTTCTTTTGATAGAGCAGTTCTGAAAAACACTTTTTGTTGAATCTGCAAGTGGACATTTGGATAGATTTGAAGATTTCGTTGGAAACGGGAATATCTTCATATCAAATTTTGACAGAAGCATTCTCAGAAACGTCTTTGTGATGTTTGCATTCAACTCATAGAGTTGAACATTCCCTTTCACAGAGCAGCTTTGAAACACTCTTTTTGTAGTATGTGCAAGTGGATATTTGGAGCGCTCTGAGGCCTACGGTGAAAAAGCAAATATCTTCCCATAACCACTAGACAGAAACATTCTCAGAAACTCCTGTATGACGTGTGCACTCACCTAACAGAGAAGAACCTTCCTTTTGACAGAGCAGTTTTGATACACTCTTTTTGTAGAATCTGCAAGTGGATATTTGGATAGCTGTGAAGATTTCGTTGGAAACGGGAATATCTTCCTATAAAATCTAGACAGAAGCATTCTCAGAAACTACTCTGTGATGTCTGCATTCAAGTCACAGAGTTGAACATTGCCTTTCCTAGAGCAGGTTTGAAACGCTCTTTTTGTAGTATATGGAAGTGGACGTTTCGGACGGTTTGAGGCCCATGGTGATAAAGGGAATATCTTCCCCTACAAGCTAGAAAGAAGCATTCTGTGAAACTTGTTTGTGATGTGTGTACTCAACTAACAGAGTTGAACCTTTCTTTTTACAGAGCAGTTTTGAAACACTCTTTTTGTAGAATCTGCGAGGGGATATTTGGATAGATTTCAGGATTTCGTTGGAAACGGGAATATCTTCATGTAAAATCTCGACAGAAGCATTCTCAGAAACTTCTTTGTGATATCTGCATTCAAGTCACAGAGTTGAATATTCCCTTTCACAGAGTAGGTTTGAAACACTCTTTTTGTAGTATCTGGAAGTGGACATTTGGAGCGCCTTGACACCTACGGTGAAAAGGGAAATATGCTTCCCATAAAAACTAGACAGAAGCAATCTCAGAATCTTCTTTGGGATATATGCACGCAACTAACAGAGTTGAACCTTTCTATTGACAGAGCAGTTTTGAAACAGTCTTTCTGTGGAATCTGCAAGTGGATATTTGGATAGCTTGGAGGATTTCTTTGGAAATGGGATTACGTATAAAAAGTAGACAGCAGCATCCTCAGAAACTTCTTTGTGATGTGTGCATTCAAGTCACAGAGTTGAACATTCCCTTTCGTACAGCAGTTTTGAAACACTCTTTCTGTAGTATCTGGAAGTGAACATTAGGACAGCTTTCAGGTCTATGGTGAGAAGGGAAATATCTTCAAATAAAAACTAGACAGAAGCATTCTCATAAACTTGTTTGTGATGTGTTAACACAGCTAACAGAGGTGGATCTTTCTTTTGATAGAGCAGTTCTGAAAAACACTTTTTGTTGAATCTGCAAGTGGACATTTGGATAGATTTGAAGATTTCTTTGGAAACGGGAATATCTTCATATCAAATCTAGACAGAAGCATTCCCAGAAACGTCTTTGTGATGTTTGCATTCAACTCATAGAGTTGAACATTCCCTTTCAGAGAGCAGCTTTGAAGCACTCTTTTTGTAGGATGTGCAAGGGGATATTTGGAGTGCTCTGAGGCCTAAGGTGAAAAAGCAAATATCTTCCCATAACCACTAGACAGAAACATTGTCAGAAACTCCTTTATGACGTATGCACTCACCTAACAGAGAAGAACCTTCCTTTTGACAGAGCAGTTTTGATACACTCTTTTTGTAGAATCTGCAAGTGGATATTTGGATAGCTGCGAAGATTTCGTTGGAAACGGGAATATCTTCCTATAAAATCTAGACAGAAGCATTCTCAGAAACTGCTCTGTGATGTCTGCATTCAAGTCACAGAGTTGAACATTGCTTTTCCTACAGCAGGTTTGAAACGCTCTTTTTGTAGTATATGGAAGTGGACGTTTCGGACGGTTTGAGGCCCATGGTGATAAAGGGAATATCTTTCCCTACAAGCTAGAAAGAAGCATTCTGTGAAACTTGTTTGTGATGTGTGTACTCAACTAACAGGGTTGAACCTTTCCTTTTACAGAGCAGTTTTGCAACACTCTTTTTGTAGAATCTGCGAGGGGATATTTGGATAGATTTCAGGATTTCGTTGGAAACGGGAATATCTTCATATAAAATCTCGACAGAAGCATTCTCAGAAACTTCTTTGTGATATGTGCATTCAAGTCACAGAGTTGAATATTCCCTTTCACAGAGTAGGTTTGAAACACTCTTTTTGTAGTATCTGGAAGTGGACATTTGGAGCGCCTTGACGCCTACGGTGAAAAGGGAAATATCTTCTCATGAAAACTAGACAGAAGCAATCTCAGAATCTTCTTTGGGATATATGCACGCAGCTAACAGAGTTGAACCTTTCTATTGACAGAGCAGTTTTGAAACAGTCTTTCTGTGGAATTTGCAAGTGGATATTTGGATAGCTTGGAGGATTTCGTTGGAAACGGGATTAAGTATAAAAAGTAGACAGCAGCATCCTCAGAAACTTCTTTGTGATGTGTGCATTCAAGTCACAGAGTTGAACATTCCCTTTCGTACAGCAGTTTTGAAACACTCTTTCTGTAGTACCTGGAAGTGAACATTAGGACAGCTTTCAGGACTATGGTGAGAAAGGAAATATCTTCAAATAAAAACTAGACAGAAGCATTCTCATAAACTTGTTCGTAATGTGTGTACTCAGCTAACACACGTGGATCTTTCTTTTGATAGAGCAGTTCTGAAAAACACTTTTTGTTGAATCTGCAAGTGGACATTTGGATAGATTTGAAGATTTCGTTGGAAACGGGAATATCTTCATATCAAATCTAGACAGAAGCATTCTCAGAAACGTCTTTGCGATGTTTGCATTCAACTCATAGAGTTGAACATTCCGTTTCAGAGAGCAGCTTTGAGGCACTCTTTTTGTAATATGTGCAAGTGGATATTTGGAGCGCTCTGAGGCCTACGGTGAAAAAGCAAATATCTTCCCATAACCACTAGACAGAAGCATTCTCAGAAACTCCTTTATGGCGTATGTACTCAACTAAAAGAGAAGAACCTTCCTTTTGACAGAGCATTTTTGATACACTCTTTTTGTGGAATCTGCAAGTGGATATTTGGATAGCTGTGAAGATTTCGTTGGAAACGGGAATATCTTCCTATAAAATCTAGACAGAAGCATTCTCAGAAACTGCTCTGTGAAGTCTACATTCAAGTCACAGAGTTGAACATTGCCTTTCATAGAGCAGGTTTGAAACGCTCTTTTTGTAGTATATGGAAGTGGACGTTTCGGACGGTTTGAGGCCCATGGTGATAAAGGGAATAACTTCCCCTACAAGCTAGAAAGAAGCATTCTGTGAAACTTGTTTGTGATGTGTGTACTCAACTAACAGAGTTGAACCTTTCTTTTTACAGAGCAGTTTTGAAACACTCTTTTTGTAGAATCTGCGAGGGGATATTTGGATAGATTTCAGGATTTTGTTGGAAACGGGAATATCTTCATATAAAATCTCGACAGAAGCATTCTCAGAAACTTCATTGTGATATCTGCATTTAAGTCACAGAGTTGAATATTCGCTTTCACAGAGTAGGTTTGAAACACTCTTTTTGTAGTATCTGGAAGTGGACATTTGGAGCGCCTTGACACCTACGGTGAAAAGGGAAATATCTTCCCATAAAAACTAGACAGAAGCAATCTCAGAATCTTCTTTGGGATATAAGCACGCAGCTAACAGAGTTGAACCTTTCTATTGACAGAGCAGTTTTGAAACAGTCTTTCTGTGGAATCTGCAAGTGGATATTTGGATAGCTTGGAGGATTTCGTTGGAAACGGGATTACGCATAAAAAGTAGACAGCAGCATCCTCAGAAACTTCGTTGTGATGTGTGCATTCAAGTCACAGAGTTGAACATTCCCTTTCGTACAGCAGTTTTGAAACACTCTTTCTGTAGCATCTGGAAGTGAACATTAGGACAGCTTTCAGGTCTATGGTGAGAAAGGAAATATCTTCAAATAAAAACTAGACAGAAGCATTCTCATAAACTTGTTCGTGATGTGTGAACTCAGATAAGAGCCGTGGATCTTTCTTTTGATAGAGCAGTTCTGAAAAACACTTTTTGTTGAATCTGCAAGTGGACATTTGGATAGATTTGAAGATTTCTTTGGAAACGGGAATATCTTCATATCAAATCTAGACAGAAGCATTCTCGGACACGTCTTTGTGATGTTTGCATTCAACTCATAGAGTTGAACATTCCGTTTCAGAGAGCAGCTTTGAGGCACTCATTTTGTAGTATGTGAAAGTGGATATTTGGAGCGCTCTGAGGCCTTCGGTGAAAAAGCAAATATCTTCCCATAACCACTAGAGAGAAGCATTCTCAGAAACTCCTTTATGACGTATGCACTCACCTAACAGAAAAGAACCTTCCTTTTGACAGAGCAGTTTTGATACACTCTTTTTGTAGAATCTGCAAGTGGATATTTGGATAGCTGTGAAGATTTCGTTGGAAACGGGAATATCTTCCTATAAAATCTATACAGAAGCATTCTCAGAAACTGCTCTGTGATGTCTGCATTCAAGTCACAGAGTTGAACATTGCCTTTCATAGAGCAGGTTTGAAACGCTCTTTTTGTAGTATATGGAAGTGGACTTTTCGGACGGTTTGAGGCCCATGTTGATAAAGGGAATATCTTCCCCTACAAGCTAGAAAGAAGCATTCTGTGAAACTTGTTTGTGATGTGTGTACTCAACTAACAGAGTTGAACCTTTCTTTTCACAGAGCAGTTTTGAAACACTCTTTTTGTAGAATCTGCGAGGGGAAATTTGGATAGATTTCAGGATTTCATTGGAAACGGGAATATCTTCATACAAAATCTCGACAGAAGCATTCCCAGAAACTTCTTTGTGATATCTGCATTCAAGTCACAGAGTTGAATATTCCCTTTCACAGAGTAGGTTTGAAACACTCTTTTTGTAGTATCTGGATGTGTACATTTGGAGCGCCTTGACACCTACGGTGAAAAGGGAAATATCTTCCCATAAAAACTAGACAGAAGTAATCTCAGAATCTTCTTTGGGATATATGCACGGAGCTAACAGAGTTGAACCTTTCTATTGACATAGCAGTTTTGAAACAGTCTTTCTGTGGAATCTGCAAGTGGATATTTGGATAGCTTGGAGGATTTCGTTGGAAACGGGATTACGTATAAAAATTAGACAGCAGCATCCTCAGAAACTTCTTTGTGATGTGTGCATTCAAGTCACAGAGTTGAACATCACCTTTCGTACAGCAGTTTTGAAACACTCATTCGGTAGTATCTGGAAGTGAACATTAGGATAGCTTTCAGGTCTATGGTGAGAAAGGAAATATCTTCAAATAAAAACTAGACAGAAGCTTTCTCATAAACTTGTTTGTGATGTCTGAACTCAGCTAACAGAGGTGGATCTTTCTTTTGATAGAGCAGTTCTGAAAAACACTTTTTGTTGAATCTGCAAGTGGACATTTGGATAGATTTGAAGATTTCGTTGGAAACGGGAATATCTTCATATCAAATCTAGACAGAAGCATTCGCGGAAACGTCTTTGTGATGTTTGCATTCAACTCATAGAGTTGAACATTCCCTTTCAGAGAGCAGCTTTGAAGCACTCTTTTTGTAGTATGTGCAAGGGGATATTTGGAGCGCTCTGAGGCCTACGGTGAAAAAGCAAATATCTTCCCATAACCACTAGACAGAAACATTCTCAGAAACTCCTTTATGACGTATGCACTCACGTAACAGAAAAGAACCTTCCTTTTGACAGAGCAGTTTTGATACACTCTTTTTGTAGAATCTGCAAGTGGATATTTGGATAGCTGTGAAGATTTCGTTGGAAACGGGAATATCTTCCTATAAAATCTAGACAGAAGCATTCTCAGAAACTGCTCTGTGATGTCTGCATTCAAGTCACAGAGTTGAACATTGCCTTTCATGGAGCAGGTTTGAAACGCTCTTTTTGTAGTATATGGAAGTGGACGTTTCGGACGGTTTGAGGCCCATGGTGATAAAGGGAATATCTTCCCCTACAAGCTAGAAGGAAGCATTCTGTGAAACTTGTTTGTGAGGTGTGTACTCAACTAACAGAGTTGAACCTTTCTTTTTACAGAGCAGTTTTGAAACACTCTTTTTGTAGAATCTGCGAGGGGATATTTGGATAGATTTCAGGATTTCTTTGGAAACGGGAATATCTTCATATAAAATCTCGACAGAAGCATTCTCAGAAACTTCTTTGTGATATCTGCCTTCAAGTCACAGAGTTGAATATTCCCTTTCACAGAGTAGGTTTGAAACACTCTTTTTGTAGTATCTGGAAGTGGACATTTGGAGCGCCTTGACACCTACGGTGAAAAGGGAAATATCTTCCCATAAAAACTAGACAGAAGCAATCTCAGAATCTTCTTTGGGATATATGCACGCAGCTAACAGAGTTGAACCTTTCTATTGACAGAGCAGTTTTGAAACAGTCTTTCTGTGGAATCTGCAAGTGGATATTTGGATAGCTTGGAGGATTTCGTTGGAAAAGGGATTACGTTTAAAAAGTAGACAGCAGCATCCTCAGAAACTTCTTTGTGATGTGTGCATTCAAGTCACAGAGTTGAACATTCCCTTTCGTACAGCAGTTTTGAAACACTCTTTCTGTAGTATCTGGAAGTGAACACTAAGACAGCTTTCAGATCTATGGTGAGAAAGGAAATATCTTCAAATAAAAACTAGACAGAAGCATTCTCATAAACTTGTTTGTGATGTGTGAACTCAGCTAACAGAGCTGGATCTTTCTTTTGATAGAGCAGTTCTGAAAAACACTTTTTGTTGAATCTGCAAGTGGACATTTGGATAGATTTGAAGATTTCTTTGGAAACGGGAATATCTTCATATCAAATCTAGACAGAAGCATTCTCAGAAACGTCTTTGCGATGTTTGCATTCAACTCATAGAGTTGAACATTCCGTTTCAGAGAGGAGCTTTGAGGCACTCTTTTTGTAGTATGTGCAAGTGGATATTTGGAGCGCTCTGAGGCCTACGGTGAAAAAGCAAATATCTTCCCATAACCACTAGACAGAAACATTCTCAGAAACTCCTTTATGACGTATGCACTCACCTAACAGAGAAGAACCTTCCTTTTGACAGAGCAGTTTTGATACACTCTTTTTGTAGAATCTGCAAGTGGATATTTGGATAGCTGTGAAGATTTGGTTGGAAACGGGAATATCTTCCTATAAAATCTAGACAGAAGCATTCTCAGAAACTGCTCTGTGATGTCTGCATTCAAGTCACAGAGTTGAACACTGCCTTTCCTAGAGCAGGTTTGAAACGCTCTTTTTGTATTATATGGAAGTGGACGTTTCGGACGGTTTGAGGCCCATGGTGATAAAGGGAATATCTTCCCCTACAAGCTAGAAAGAAGCATTCTGTGAAACTTGTTTGTGATGTGTGTACTCAACTAACAGAGTTGAACCTTTCTTTCCACAGAGCAGTTTTGAAACACTCTTTTTGTAGAATCTGCGAGGGGATATTTGGATAGATTTCAGCATTTCGTTGGAAACGGGAATATCTTCATATAAAATCTCGACAGAAGCATTCTCAGAAACTTCCTTGTGATATGTGCATTCAAGTCACAGAGTTGAATATTCCCTTTCACAGAGTAGGTTTGAAACACTCTTTTTGTAGTATCTGGAAGTAGACATTTGGAGCGCCTTGACGCCTACGGTGAAAAGGGAAATATCTTCCCATAAAAACTAGACAGAAGCAATCTCAGAATCTTCTTTGGGATATATGCACGCAGCTAACAGAGTTAAACCTTTCTATTGACAGAGCAGTTTTGAAACAGTCTTTCTGTGGAATCTGCAAGTGGATATTTGGATAGCTTGGAGGATTTCGTTGGAAACGGGATTACGCATAAAAAGTAGACAGCAGCATCCTCAGAAACTTCTTTGTGATGTGTGCATTCAAGTCACAGAGTTGAACATTCCCTTTCTTACAGCAGTTTTGAAACACTCTTTCTGTAGTATCTGGAAGTGAACATTAGGACAGCTTTCAGCTCTATGGTGAGAAAGGAAATATCTTCAAATAAAAACTAGACAGAAGCATTCTCATAAACTTGTTTGTGATGTGTGAACTCAGCTAACAGAGGTGCATCTTTCTTTTGATAGAGCAGTTCTGAAAAACACTTTTTGTTGAATCTGCAAGTGGACATTTGGATAGATTTGAACATTTCGTTGGAAACGGGAATATCTTCATATCAAATCTAGACAGAAGCATTCGCGGAAACGTCTTTGTCATGTTTGCATTCAACTCATAGAGTTGAACATTCCGTTTCAGAGAGCAGCTTTGAAGCACTCTTTTTGTCGTATGTGCAAGTGGATATTTGGAGCGCTCTGAGGCCTACGGTGAAAAAGCAAATATCTTCCCATAACCACTAGACAGAAACATTCTCAGAAACTCCTTTATGACGTATGCACTCACCTAACAGAGAAGAACCTTCCTTTTGACAGAGCAGTTTTGATACACTCTTTTTGTAGAATCTGCAAGTGGATATTTGGATAGCTGTGAAGATTTCGTTGGAAACGGGAATATCTTCCTAAAAAATCTAGACAGAAGCATTCTCAGAAACTGCTCTGTGATGTCTGCATTCAAGTCACAGAGTTGAACATTGCCTTTCATAGAGCAGGTTTGAAACGCTCTTTTTGTAGTATATGGAAGTGGAAGTTTCGGACGGTTGGAGGCCCATGGTGATAAAGGGAATATCTTCCCGTACAAGCTAGAAAGAAGCATTCTGTGAAACTTGTTTGTGATGTGTGTACTCAACTAACAGAGTTGAACCTTTCTTTTTACAGAGCAGTTTTGAAACACTCTTTTTGTAGAATCTGCGAGGGGATATTTGGATAGATTTCAGGATTTCGTTGGAAACGGGAATATCTTCATATAAATCTCGACAGAAGCATTCTCAGAAACTTCTTTGTGATATGTGCATTCAAGTCACAGAGTTGAATATTCCCTTTCACAGAGTAGGTTTGAAACACTCTTTTGTAGTATCTGGAAGTGGACATTTGGAGCGCCTTGACACCTACGGTGAAAAGGGAAATATCTTCCCATAAAAACTAGACAGAAGCAATCTCAGAATCTTCTTTGGGATATATGCACGCAGCTAACAGAGTTGAACCTTTCTATTGACAGAGCAGTTTTGAAACAGTCTTTCTGTGGAATCTGCAAGTGGATATTTGGATAGCTTAGAGGATTTCGTTGGAAACGGGATTACGTATAAAAAGTAGACAGCAGCATCCTCAGAAACTTCTTTGTGATGTGTGCATTCAAGTCACAGAGTTGAACATTCCCTTTCGTACAGCAGTTTTGAAACACTCTTTCTGTAGTATCTGAAGTGAACAATAGGACAGCTTTCAGGTCTATGATGAGAAAGTAAATATCTTCAAATAAAAACTAGACAGAAGCATTCTCATAAACTTGTTTGTGATGTGTGAACTCAGCTAACACACGTGGATCTTTCTTTTGATACAGCAGTTTTGAAAAACACTTTTTGTTGAATCTGCAAGTGGACATTTGGATAGATATGAAGATTTCGTTGGAAACGGGAATATCTTCATATCAAATCTAGACAGAAGCATTCTCAGAAACGTCTTTGTGATGTTTGCATTCAACTCATAGAGTTCAACATTCCGTTTCAGAGAGCAGCTTTGAAGCACTCTTTTTGTAGTATGTGCAAGGGGATATATGGAGCGCTCTGAGGCCTAAGGTGAAAAAGCAAATATCTTCCCATAACCACTAGACAGAAACATTCTCAGAAACTCCGTTATGACGTATGCACTCACCTAACAGAGAAGAACCTTCCTTTTGACTGAGCAGTTTTGATACACTCTTTTTGCAGAATCTGCAAGTGGATATTTGGATAGCTGTGAAGATTTCGTTGGAAACGGGAATATCTTCCTATAAAATCTAGACAGAAGCATTCTCAGAAACTGCTCTGTGATGTCTGCATTCAAGTCACAGAGTTGAACATTGCCTTTCATAGAGCAGGTTTGAAACTCTCTTTTTGTAGTATATGGAAGTAGACGTTTCGGACGGTTTGAGGCCCATGGTGATAAAGGGAATATCTTCCCCTACAAGCTAGAAAGAAGCATTCTGTGAAACTTGTTTGTGAAGTGTGTACTCAACTAACAGAGTTGAACCTTTCTTTTTACAGAGCAGTTTTGAAACACTCTTTTGTAGAATCTGCGAGGGGATATTTGGATAGATTTCAGGATTTCGTTGGAAACGGGAATATCTTCATATAAAATCTCGACAGAAGCATTCTCAGAAACTTCTTTGTGATATCTGCCTTCAAGTCACAGAGTTGAATATTCCCTTTCACAGAGTAGGTTTGAAACACTCTTTTTGTAGTATCTGGAAGTGGACATTTGGAGCGCCTTGACGCCTACGGTGAAAAGGGAAATATCTTCCCATGAAAACTAGACAGAAGCAATCTCAGTAATCTTCTTTGGGATATATGCACGCAGCTAAAAGAGTTGAACCTTTCTATTGACAGAGCAGTTTTGAAACAGTCTTTCTGTGGAATCTGCAAGTGGATATTTGGATAGCTTGGAGGATTTCGTTGGAAACGGGATTACGTATAAAAAGTAGACAGCAGCATCCTCAGAAACTTCTTTGTGATGTGTGCATTAAAGTCACAGAGTTGAACATTCCCTTTCGTACAGCAGTTTTGAAACACTCTTTCTGTAGTATCTGGAAGTGAACATTAGGACAGCTTTCAGCTCTATGGTGAGAAAGGAAATATCTTCAAATAAAAACTAGACAGAAGCATTCTCATAAACTTGTTCGTGATGTGTGAACTCAGCTAACACACGTGGATGTTTCTTTTGATAGAGCAGTTCTGAAAAACACTTTTTGTTGAATCTGCAAGAGGACATTTGGATAGATTTGAAGATTTCGTTGGAAACGGGAATATCTTCATATCAAATCTAGACAGAAGCATTCTCAGAAACGTCTTTTGTCATGTTTGCATTCAACTCATAGAGTTGAACATTCCCTTTCAGAGAGCAGCTTTGAAGCACTCTTTTTGTAGTATGTGCAAGGGGATATATGGAGCGCTCTGAGGCCTAAGGTGAAAAAGCAAATATCTTCCCATAACCACTAGACAGAAACATTCTCAGAAACTTCTTTATGACGTATGTACTCAACTAGCAGAGAAGAACATTCAATTTGACAGAGCATTTTTGATACACTCTTTTTGTAGTATCTGCAAGTGGATATTTGGATAGCTGTAAAGATTTCGTTGGAAACGGGAATGTCTTCCTATAAAGTCTAGGCAGAAGCATTCTCAGAAACTGCTCTGTGATGTCTGCATTCAAGTCACAGAGTTGAACATTGCCTTTCATAGAGCAGGTTTGAAACGCTCTTTTTGTAGTATATGGAAGTGCACGTTTCGGACGGTTTGAGGCCCATGGTGATAAAGGAAATATCTTCCCCTACAAGCTAGAAAGAAGCATTCTGTGAAACTTGTTTGTGATGTGTGTACTCAACTAACAGAGTTGAACCTTTCTTTTCACAGAGCAGTTTTGAAACACTCTTTTTGTAGAATCTGCGAGCGGATATTTGGATAGATTTCAGGATTTCGTTGGAAACGGGAATATCTTCATATAAAATCGCGACAGAAGCATTCTCAGAAACTTCTTTGTGATATGTGCATTCAAGTCACAGAGTTGAATATTCCCTTTCACAGAGTAGGTTTGAAACACTCTTTTTGTAGTATCTGGAAGAGGACATTTGGAGCGCCTTGACGCCTACGTTGAAAAGGGAAATATCTTCCCATAAAAACTAGACAGAAGCAATCTCAGAATCTTCTTTGGGATATATGCACGCAGCTAACAGAGTTGAACCTTTCTATTGACAGAGCAGTATTGAAACAGTCTTTCTGTGGAATCTGCAAGTGGATATTTGGATAGCTTGGAGGATTTCGTTGGAAACGGGATTAAGTATAAAAAGTAGACAGCAGCATCCTCAGAAACTTCTTTGTGATGTGTGCATTCAAGTCACCGAGTTGAACATTCCCTTTCGTACAGCAGTTTTGAAACACTCTTTCTGTAGTAACTGGAAGTGAACATTAGGACAGCTTTCAGGTCTATGGTGAGAAAGGAAATATCTTCAAATAAAAACTAGACAGAAGCATTCTCATAAACTTGTTTGTGATGTGTGAACTCAGCTAACAGACGTGGATCTTTCTTTTGATACAGCAGTTTTGAAAAACACTTTTTGTTGAATCTGCAAGTGGACATTTGGATAGATTTGAAGATTTCGTTGGAAACGGGAATATGTTCATATCAAATCTAGACAGAAGCATTCTCAGAAACGTCTTTGTCATGTTTGCATTCAACTCATAGAGTTGAACATTCCCTTTCAGAGAGCAGCTTTGAAAGACTCTTTTTGTAGTATGTGCAAGTGGATATTTGGAGCGCTCTGAGGCCTACGGTGAAAAAGCAAATATCTTCCCATAACCACTAGACAGAAACATTCTCAGAAACTTCTTTATGACGTATGTACTCAAGTAGCAGAGAAGAACTTTCCTTTTGACAGAGCACTTTGGATACACACTTTTTGTAGTATCTGCAAGTGGATATTTGGATAGCTGTGAAGATTTCGTTGGAAACGGGAATATCTTCCTATAAAGTCTGGACAAAAGCATTCTCAGAAACTGCTCTGTGATGTCTGCATTCAAGTCACAGAGTTGAACATTGCCTTTCATAGAGCAGGTTTGAAACGCTCTTTTTGTAGTATATGGAAGTGGACGTTTCGGACGGTTTGAGGCCCATGGTGATAAAGGGAATATCGTCCCCTACCAGCTAGAAAGAAGCATTCTGTGAAACTCGTTTGTGATGTGTGTACTCAACTAACAGAGTTGAACCTTTCTTTTCACAGAGCAGTTTTGAAACACTCTTTTTGTAGAATCTGCGAGGGGAAATTTGGATAGATTTCAGGATTTCGTTGGAAACGGGAATATCTTCATACAAAATCTCGACAGAAGCATTCTCAGAAACTTCATTGTGATATGTGCATTCAAGTCACAGGAGTTGAATATTCCCTTTTACAGAGTAGGTTTGAAACACTCTTTTTGTAGTATCTGGAAGTGGACATTTGGAGCGCTTTGACGCCTACGGTGAAAAGGGAAATATCTTCTCATAAAAACTAGACAGAAGCAATCTCAGAATCTTCTTTGGGATATATGCACGCAGCTAACAGAGTTGAACCTTTCTATTGACAGAGCAGTTTTGAAACAGTCTTTCTGTGGAATCTGCAAGTGGATATTTGGATAGATTGGAGGATTTCGTTGGAAACGGGATTACGTATAAAAAGTAGACAGCAGCATCCTCAGAAACTTCTTTGTGATGTGTGCATTCAAGTCACAGAGTTGAACATTCCCTTTCGTACAGCAGTTTTGAAACACTCTTTCTGTAGTATCTGGAAGTGAACATTAGGACAGCTTTCAGGGCTATGGTCAGAAAGGAAATATCTTCAAATAAAAACTAGACAGAAGCATTCTGATAAACTTGTTTGTGAAGTGTGATCTCAGCTAACAGAGGTGGATCTTTCTTTTGATAGAGCAGTTCTGAAAAACACTTTTTGTTGAATCTGCAAGTGGACATTTGGATAGATTTGAAGATTTCGTTGGAAACGGGAATATCTTCATATCAAATCTAGACAGAAGCATTCTCAGAAACGTCTTTGTGATGTTTGCATTCAACTCATAGAGTTGAACATTCCGTTTCAGAGAACAGCTTTGAAGCACTCTTTTTGTAGTATGTGCAAGTGGATATTTGGAGCGCTCTGAGGCCTACGGGGAAAAAGCAAATATCTTCCCATAACCACTAGACAGAAACATTCTCAGAAACTCCTTTATGACGTATGCACTCACCTAACAGAGAAGAACCTTCCTTTTGACAGAGCAGATTTGATACACTCTTTTTGTAGAATCTGCAAGTGGATATTTGGATAGCTGTGAAGATTTCGTTGGAAACGGGAATATCTTCCTATAAAATCTAGACAGAAGCATTCTCAGAAACTGCTCTGTGATGTCTGCATTCAAGTCACAGAGTTGAACATTGCCTTTCATAGAGCAGGTTTGAAACGCTCTTTTTGTAGTATATGGAAGTGGATGTTTCGGTCGGTTGGAGGCCCATGGTGATAAAGGGAATATCTTCCCCTACAAGCTAGAAAGAAGCATTCTGTGAAACTTGTTTGTGATGTGTGTACTCAACTAACAGAGTTGAACCTTTCTTTTCACAGAGCAGTTTTGAAACACTCTTTTTGTAGAATCTGCGAGGGGATATTTGGATAGATTTCAGGATTTCGTTGGAAACGGGAATATCTTCATACAAAATCTCGACAGAAGCATTCTCAGAAACTTCTTTGTGATATCTGCATTCAAGTCACAGAGTTGAATATTCCCTTCCACAGAGTAGGTTTGAAAGACTCTTTTTGTAGTATCTGGAAGTGGACATTTGGAGCGCCTTGACGCCTACGGTGAAAAGGGAAATATCTTCCCATAAAAACTAGACAGAAGCAATCTCAGAATCTTCTTTGGGATATATGCACGCAGCTAACAGAGTTGAACCTTTCTATTGACAGAGCAGTTTTGAAACAGTCTTTCTGTGGAATCTGCAAGTGGATATTTGGATAACTTGGAGGATTTCGTTGGAAACGGGATTACGTATAAAAAGTAGACAGCAGCATCCTCAGAAACTTCTTTGTGATGTGTGCACTGAAGTCACAGAGTTGAACATTCCCTTTCGTACAGCAGTTTTGAAACACTCTTTCTGTAGTATCTGGAAGTGAACATTAGGACAGCTTTCAGGTCTATGGTGAGAAAGGAAATATCTTCAAATAAAAACTAGACAGAAGCATTCTCATAAACTTGTTTGTGAAGTGTGAACTCAGCTAACACAGGTGGATCTTTCTTTTGATACAGCAGTTTTGAAAAACACTTTGTTGAATCTGCAAGTGGACATTTGGATAGATTTGAAGATTTCGTTGGAAACGGGTATATCTTCATAACAAATCTAGACAGAAGCATTCTCAGAAACGTCTTTGTGATGTTTGCATTGAACTCATAGAGTTGAACATTCCCTTTCAGAGAGCAGCTTTGAAGCACTCTTTTTGTAGTATGTTCAAGTGGACATTTGGAGCGCTTTGAGGCCTACAGGGAAAAAGCAAATATCTTCCCATAACAACTAGACAGAAACATTCTCAGAAACTCCTTTATGACGTATGCACTCACCTAACAGAGAAGAACCTTCCTTTTGACAGAGCAGTTTTGATACACTCTTTTTGTAGAATCTGCAAGTGGATATTTGGATAGCTGTGAAGATTTCGTTGGAAACGGGCATATCTTCCTATAAAATCTAGACAGAAGCATTGTCAGAAACTGCTCTGTGATGTCTGCATTCAAGTCACAGAGTTGAACATTGCCTTTCATAGAGCAGGTTTGAAACGCTCTTTTTGTAGGATATGGAAGTGGACTTATCGGACGGTTTGAGGCCCATGGTGATAAAGGGAATATCTTCCCCTACAAGCTAGAAAGAAGCATTCTGTGAAACTTGTTTGTGATGTTTGCACTCAACTAACAGAGTTGAACCTTTCTTTTTACAGAGCAGTTTTGAAACACTCTTTTTGTAGAATCTGCGAGGGGATATTTGGATACATTTCAGGATTTCGTTGGAAACGGGAATATCTTCATATAAAATCTCGACAGAAGCATTCTCAGAAACTTCATTGTGATATCTGCATTCAAGTCACAGAGTTGAATATTCCCTTTCAGAGAGTAGGTTTGAAACACTCTTTTTGTAGTATCTGGAAGTGGACATTTGGAGCGCCTTGACACCTACGGTGAAAAGGGAAATATCTTCCCATTAAAACTAGACAGAAGCAATCTCAGAATCTTCTTTGGGATATATGCACGCAGCTAACAGAGTTGAACCTTTCTATTGACAGAGCAGTTTTGAAACAGTCTTTCTGTGGAATCTGCAAGTGGATATTTGGTTAGCTTGGAGGATTTCGTTGGAAACGTCATTACGTATAAAAAGTAGACAGCAGCATCCTCAGAAACTTCTTTGTGATGTGTGCATTCAAGTCACAGAGTTGAACATTCCCTTTCGTACAGCAGTTTTGAAACACTCTTTCTGTAGTATCTGGAAGTGGACATTAGGACAGCTTTCAGGTCTATGGTGAGAAAGGAAATATCTTCAAATAAAAACTAGACAGAAGCATTCTCATAAACTTGTTTGTGATGTGTGAACTCAGCTAACAGAGGTGGATCTTTCTTTTGATAGAGCAGTTCTGAAAAACACTTTTTGTTGAATCTGCAAGTGCACATTTGGATAGATTAGAAGATTTCGTTGGAAACGGGAATATCTTCATATCAAATCTAGACAGAAGCATTCTCAGAAACCGTCGTTGTGATGTTTGCATTCAACTCATAGAGTTGAACATTCCGATTCAGAGAGCAGCTTTGAGGCACTCTTTTTGTAGTATGTGCAAGTGGATATTTGGAGCGCTCTGAGGCCTACGGTGAAAAAGCAAATATCTTCCCATAACCACTAGACAGAAACATTCTCAGAAACTCCTTTATGACGTATGCACTCACCTAACAGAGGAGAACCTTCCTTTTGACAGAGCAGTTTTGATACACTCTTTTTGTAGAATCTGCAAGTGGATATTTGGATAGCTGTGAAGATTTCGTTGGAAACGGGAATATCTTCCTATAAAATCTAGACAGAAGCATTCTCAGAAACTGCTCTGTGATGTCTGCATTCAAGTCACAGAGTTGAACATTGCCTTTCATAGAGCAGGTTTGAAACGCTCTTTTTGTAGTATATGGAAGTGGACGTTTCGGACGGTTTGAGGCCAATGGTGATAAAGGGAATATCTTCCCCTACAAGCTAGAAAGAAGCATTCTGTGAAACTTGTTTGTGATGTGTGTACTCAACTAACAGAGTTGAACCTTTCTTTTTACAGAGCAGTTTTGAAACACTCTTTTTGTAGAATCTGCGAGGGGATATTTGGATAGACTTCAGGATTTCGTTGGAAACGGGAATATCTTCATATAAAATCTCGACAGAAGCATTCTCAGAAACTTCTTTGTGCTATCTGCATTCAAGTCACAGAGTTGAATATTCCCTTTCACAGAGTAGGTTTGAAACACTCTTTTTGTAGTATCTGGAAGTGGACATTTGGAGCGCCTTGACACCTAAAGTGAAAAGGGAAATATCTTCCCATAAAAACTAGACAGAAGCAATCTCAGAATCTTCTTTGGGATATATGTACGCAGCTAATAGAGTTGAACCTTTCTATTGACAGAGCAGTTTTGAAACAGTCTTTCTGTGGAATCTGCAAGGGGATATTTGGATAGCTTGGAGGATTTCGTTGGAAACGGGATTACTGTATAAAAAGTAGACAGCAGCATCCTCAGAAACTTCTTTGTGATGTGTGCATTCAAGTCACAGAGTTGAACATTCCCTTTCGTACAGCAGTTTTGAAACACTCTTTCTGTAGTATCTGGAAGTGAACCATTAGGACAGCTTTCAGCTCTATGGTGAGAAAGGAAATATCTTCAAATAAAAACTAGACAGAAACATTCTCATAAACTTGTTTGTGATGTGTGAACTCAGCTAACAGAGGTGGATCTTTCTTTTGATAGAGCAGTTCTGAAAAACACTTTTTGTTGAATCTGCAAGTGGACATTTGGATAGATTTGAAGATTTCGTTGGAAACGGGAATATCTTCATATCAAATCTAGACAGAAGCATTCTCAGAAACGTCTTTGCGATGTTTGCATTCAACTCATAGAGTTGAACATTCCGTTTCAGAGAGCAGCTTTGAGGCACTCTTTGTAGTATGTGCAAGTGGATATTTGGAGCGCTCTGAGGCCTACGGTGAAAAAGCAAATATCTTCCCATAACCACTAGACAGAAACATTCTCAGAAACTCCTTTCTGACGTATGCACTCACCCAACAGAGAAGAACCTTCCTTTTGACAGAGCAGTTTTGATACACTCTTTTTGTAGAATCTGCAAGTGGATATTGGGATAGCTGTGAAGATTTCGTTGGAAACGGGAATATCTTCCTATAAAATCTAGACAGAAGCATTCTCAGAAACTGCTCTGTGATGTCTGCATTCAAGTCACAGAGTTGAACATTGCTTTTCATAGAGCAGGTTTGAAACGGTCTTTTTGTAGTATATGGAAGTAGACGTTTCGGACGGTTTGAGGCCCATGGTGATAAAGGGAATATCTTCCCCTACAAGCTAGAAAGAAGCATTCTGTGAAACTTGTTTGTGATGTGTGTACTCAACTAACAGAGTTGAACCTTTCTTTTTACAGAGCAGTTTTGAAACACTCTTTTTGTAGAATCTGCGAGGGGATATTTGGATAGATTTCAGGATTTTGTTGGAAACCGGAATATCTTTATATAAAATCTGGACAGAAGCATTCTCAGAAACTTCTTTGTGATATCTGCATTCAAGTCACAGAGTTGAATATTCCCTTCCACAGAGTAGGTTTGAAACACTCTTTTTGTGGTATCTGGAAGTGGACATTTGGAGCGCCTTGACGCCTACGGTGAAAAGGGAAATATCTTCCCATAAAAACTAGACGGAAGCCATCTCAGAATCTTCTTTGGGATATATGCACGCAGCTAACAGAGTTGAACCTTTCTATTGACAGAGCAGTTTTGAAACAGTCTTTCTGTGGAATCTGCAAGTGGATATTTGGATAGCTTGGAGGATTTCGTTGGAAACGGGATTACGCATAAAAAGTAGACAGCAGCATCCTCAGAAAATTCTTTGTGATGTGTGCATTCAAGTCACAGAGTTGAACATTCCCTTTCGTACAGCAGTTTTGAAACACTCTTTCTGTAGTATCTGGAAGTGAACATTAGGACAGCTTTCAGGTCTTTGGTGAGAAAGGAAATATCTTCAAATAAAAACTAGACAGAAGCATTCTCATAAACTTGTTTGTGATGTGTGAAGTCAGCTAACAGAGGTGGATCTTTCTTTTGATAGAGCAGTTCTGAAAAACACTTTTTGTTGAATCTGCAAGTGGACATTTGGATAGATTTGAAGATTTCGTTGGAAACGGGAATATCTTCATATCAAATCTAGACAGAAGCATTCTCAGAAACGTCTTTGCGATGTTTGCATTCAACTCATAGAGTTAAACATTCCGTTTCAGAGAGCAGCTTTGAAGCACTCTTTTTGTAGTATGTGCAAGTGGATATTTGGAGCGCTCTGAGGCCTACGGTGAAAAAGCAAATATCTTCCCATAACCACTAGACAGAAACATTCTCAGAAACTCCTTTATGACGTATGCACTCACCTAACAGAGAAGAACCTTCCTTTTGACAGAGCAGTTTTGATACACACTTTTTGTAGAATCTGCAAGTGGATATTTGGATAGCTGTGAAGATTTCGTTGGAAACGGGAATATCTTCCTATAAAATCTAGACAGAAGCATTCTCAGAAACTGCTCTGTGATGTCTGCATTCAAGTCACAGAGTTGAACATTGACTTTCATAGAGCAGGTTTGAAACGCTCTTTTTGTAGTATATAAAAGTGGACGTTTCGGACGGTTTGAGGCCCATGGTGATAAAGGGAATATCTTCCCCTACAAGCTAGAAAGAAGCATTCTGTGAAACTTGTTTGTGATGTGTGTACTCAACTAACAGAGTTGAACCTTTCTTTTTACAGAGCAGTTTTGAAACACTCTTTTTGTAGAATCTGCGAGGGGATATTTGGATACATTTCAGCATTTCGTTGGAAACGGGAATAAATTCATATAAAATCTCGACAGAAGCATTCTCAGAAACTTCTTTGTGATATCCTGCATTCAAGTCACAGAGTTGAATATTCCCTTTCACAGAGTAGGTTTGAAACACTCTTTTTGTAGTATCTGGAAGTGGACATTTGGAGCGCCTTGACGCCTACAGTGAAAAGGGAAATATCTTCCCATAAAAACTAGACAGAAGCAATCTCAGAATTTTCTTTGGGATATATGCACATAGCTAACAGAGTTGAACCTTTCTTTTTACAGAGCAGTTTTGAAACACTCTTTTTGTAGAATCTGCAAGTGGATATTTGGATAGCTTGGAGGATTTCGTTGGAAACGGGATTACGTATAAAAAGTAGACGGCAGCATCCTCAGAAACTTCTTTGTGATGTGTGCATTCAAGTCACAGAGTTGAACATTCCTTTTCGTACAGCAGTTTTGAAACACTCTTTCTGTAGTATCTGGAAGTGAACATTAGGACAGCTTTCAGGTCTATGGTGAGAAAGGAAATATCTTCAAATAAAAACTAGACAGAAGCATTCTCATAAACTTGTTTGTGATGTGTGAACTCAGCTAACAGAGGTGGATCTTTCTTTTGATAGAGCAGTTCTGAAAAACACTTTTGGTTGAATCTGCAAGTGGACATTTGGATAGATTTGAAGATTTCGTTGGAAACTTGAATATCTTCATATCAAATCTAGAGAGAAGCATTCTCAGAAACGTCTTTGTGATGTTTGCATTCAACTCATAGAGTTGAACATTCCGTTTCAGAGAGCAGCTTTGAAGCACTCTTTTTGTAGTATCTGCAAGTGGATATTTGGAGTGCTCTGAGGCCTACGGTGAAAAAGCAAATATCTTCCCATAACCACTAGACAGAAACATTCTCAGAAACTCCTTTATGACGTATGTACTCAACTAACAGAGAAGAACCTTCCTTTTGACAGAGCAGTTTTGATACACTCTTTTTGTAGAATCTGCAAGTGCATATTTGGATAGCTGTGAAGATTTCGTTGGAAACTGGAATATCTTCCTATAAAATCTAGACAGAAGCATTCTCAGAAACTGCTCTGTGATGTCTGCATTCAAGTCACAGAGTTGAACATTGCCTTTCATAGAGCAGGTTTGAAACGCTCTTTTTGTAGTATATGGAAGTAGACGTTTCGGACGGCTTGAGGCCCATGGTGATAAAGGGAATATCTTCCCCTACAAGCTAGAAAGAAGCATTCTGTGAAACTTGTTTGTGATGTGTGTACTCAACTAACAGTGTTGAACCTTTCTTTTTACAGAGCAGTTTTGAAACACTCTTTTTGTAGAATCTGCGAGGGGATATTTGGATAGATTTCAGGATTTCGTTGGGAACGGGAATATCTTCATATAAAATCTCGACAGAAGCATTCTCAGAAACTTCTTTGTGATATGTGCATTCAAGTCACAGAGTTGAATATTCCCTTTCACAGAGTAGGTTTGAAACACTCTGTTTGTAGTATCTGGAAGTGGACATTTGGAGCGCCTTGACGCCTACGGTGAAAAGGGAAATATCTTCCCATAAAAACTAGACAGAAGCAATCTCAGAATCTTCTTTGGGATATATGCACGCAGCTAGCAGAGTTGAACCTTTCTATTGACAGAGCAGTTTTGAAACAGTCTTTCTGTGGAATCTGCAAGTGGATATTTGGATAGCTTGGAGGATTTCGTTGGAAACGGGATTACGTATAAAAAGTAGACAGCAGCATCCTCAGAAACTTCTTTGTGATGTGTGCATTCAAGTCACAGAGTTGAACATTCCCTTTCGTACAGCAGTTTTGAAACACTCTTTCTGTAGTATCTAGAAGTGAACATTAGGACAGCTTTCAGCTCTATGGTGAGAAAGGAAATATCTTCAAATAAAAACTAGACAGAAGCATTCTCATAAACTTGTTTGTGATGTGTGAACTCAGCTAACAGAGGTGGATCTTTCTTTTGATAGAGCAGTTCTGAAAAACACTTTTTGTTGAATCTGCAAGTGGACATTTGGATAGATTTGAAGATTTCGTTGGAAACGGGAATATCTTCATATCAATCTAGACAGAAGCATTCTCAGAAACGTCTTTGTGATGTTTGCATTCAACTCATAGAGTTGAACATTCCGTTTCAGAGAGCAGCTTTGAGGCACACTTTTTGTAGTATGTGCAAGTGGATATTTGGAGCGCTCTGAGGCCTACGGTGAAAAAGCAAATATCTTCCCATAACCACTAGACAGAAACATTCTCAGAAACTGCTTTATGACGCATGCACTCACCTAACAGAGAAGAACCTTCCTTTTGACAGAGCAGCTTTGATACACTCTTTTTGTAGAATCTGCAAGTGGATATTTGGATAGCTGTGAAGATTTCGTTGGAAACGGGAATATCTTCCTATAAAATCTAGACAGAAGCATTCTCATAAACTGCTCTGTGATGTCTGCATTCAAGTCACAGAGTTGAACATTGCCTTTCCTAGAGCAGGTTTGAAACGCTCTTTTTGTAGTATATGGAAGTGGACGTTTCGGACGGTTTGAGGCCCATGGTGATAAAGGGAATATCTTCCCCTACAAGCTAGAAAGAAGCATTCTGTGAAACTTGTTTGTGATGTGTGTACTCAACTAAGAGAGTTGAACCTTTCTTTTCACAGAGCAGTTTTGAAACACTCTTTTTGTAGAATCTGCGAGGGGATATTTGGATAGATTTCAGGATTTCGTTGGAAACGGGAATATCTTCATACAAAATCTCGACAGAAGCATTCTCAGAAACTTCTTTGTGATATCTGCCTTCAAGTCACAGAGTTGAATATTCCCTTTCACTGAGTAGGTTTGAAACACTCTTTTTGTAGTATCTGGAAGTGGACATTTGGAGCGCCTTGACGCCTACGGTGAAAAGGGAAATATCTTCCCATAAAAACTAGACAGAAGCAATCTCAGAATCTTCTTTGGGATATATGCATGCAGCTAACAGAGTTGAACCTTTCTATTGGCAGAGCAGTTTTGAAACAGTCTTTCTGTGGAATCTGCAAGTGGATATTTGGATAGCTTGGAGGATTTCGTTGGAAACGGGATTAAGTATAAAAAGTAGACAGCAGCATCCTCAGAAACATCCTTGTGATGTGTGCATTCAAGTCACAGAGTTGAACATTCCCTTTCGTACAGCAGTTTTCAAACACTCTTTCTGTAGTATCTGGAAGTGAACTTTAGGAGAGCTTTCAGGTCTATAGTGAGAAAGGATATATCTTCAAATAAAAACTAGACAGAAGCATTCTCATAAACTTGTTTGTGATCTGTGAACTCAGCTAAGAGACGTGGATCTTTCTTTTGATAGAGCAGTTCTGAAAAACACTTTTTGTTGAATCTGCAAGTGGACATTTGGATAGATTTGAAGATTTCTTTGGAAACGGGAATATCTTCATATCAAATCTAGACAGAAGCTTTCTCAGAAACGTCTTTGTGATGTTTGCATTCAACTCATAGAGTTGAACATTCCGTTTCAGAGAGCAGCTTTGAAGCACTCTTTTTGTAGTATGTGCAAGGGGATATTTGGAGCGCTCTGAGTCCTAAGGTGAAAAAGCAAATATCTTCCCATAACCAATAGACAGAAGCATTCTGTGAAACTTGTTTGTGATGTGTTTACTCAACTAACAGAGTTGAACTTTTCTTTTGATAGAGCAGTTTTCAAACATTCTTTTTGTAGAGTCTGCAAGTGGATATTTGGCTAGCTTTGAGGATTTTGTTGGAAACGGGAATATCTTCACATAAAAACTAGGCAGAAGCATTCTCTGAAACTTCTTTGTGTTGTTTGCATTTAACTCACAGAGTTGAACATTCCCTTTCATACAGCAGTTCTGAAACACTCATTTTGTAGTAGATGGAAGTGGACACTTGGACTGCTTCGAGGCCTATGGTGAAAAAGGTAGTACCCTCACATAAAAACTAGACAGAAGCATTCTGTGAAACTTGTTTGTGATGTGTGTACTCAACTAACAGACTTGAACCTTTCTTTTTACAGAGCAGTTTTGAAACACTCTTTTTGTAGAATCTGCGAGGGGATATTTGGATAGATTTCAGGATTTCGTTGGAAAGGGGAATATCTTCATATAAAATCTCGACAGAAGCATTCTCAGAAACTTCTTTGTGATATGTGCATTCAAGTCACAGAGTTGAATATTCCCTTTTACACAGTAGGTTTGAAACACTCTTTTTGTAGTATCTGGAAGTGAACATTTGGAGCGCCTTGACGCCTACGGTGAAAAGGGAAATATCTTCTCATAAAAAGTAGACAGAAGCAATCTCAGAATCTTCTTTGGGATATATGCACGCAGCTAACAGAGTTGAACCTTTCTATTGACAGAGTAGTTTTGAAACAGTCTTTCTGTGGAATCTGCAAGTGGATATTTGGATAGCTTGGAGGACTTCGTTGGAAACGGGATTAAGTATAAAAAGTAGACAGCAGCATCCTCAGAAACTTCTTTGTGATGTGTGCATTCAAGTCACAGAGTTGAACATTCCCTTTCGTACTGCAGTTTTGAAACACTCTTTCTGTAGTATCTGGAAGTGAACATTAGGACAGCTTTCAGCTCTATGGTGAGAAAGGAAATATCTTCAAATAAAAACTAGACAGAAGCATTCTCATAAACTTGTTCGTGATGTGTGAACTCAGCTAACACACGTGGATCTTTCTTTTGATAGAGCAGTTCTGAAAAACACTTTTTGTTGAATCTGCAAGAGGACAGTTGGATAGATTTGAAGATTTCGTTGGAAACGGGAATATCTTCCATATCAAATCTAGACAGAAGCATTCTCAGAAACGTCTTTGTGATGTTTGCATTCAACTCATAGAGTTGAACATTCCGTTTCAGAGAGCAGGTTTGAAGCACTCTTTTTGTAGTATGTGCAAGTGGATATTTGGAGGGCTCTGAGGCCTACGGTGAAAAAGCAAATATCTTCCCATAACCACTAGACAGAAACATTCTCAGAAACTCCTTTACGACGTATGCACTCACCTAACAGAGGAGAACCTTCCTTTTGACAGAGCAGTTTTGATACACTCTTTTTGTAGAATCTGCAAGTGGATATTTGGATAGCTGTGAAGATTTCGTTGGAAACGGGAATATCTTCCTATAAAATCTAGACAGAAGCATTCTCAGAAACTGCTCTGTGATGTCTACATTGAAGTCACAGAGTTGAACATTGCCTTTCATAGAGCAGGTTTGAAACGCTCTTTTTGTAGTATATGGAAGTGGACGTTTCGGACGGTTTGAGGCCCATGGTGATAAAGGGAATATCTTTCCCTACAAGCTAGAAAGAAGCATTCTGTGAAACTTGTTTGTGATGTGTGTACTCAACTAACAGAGTTGAACCTTTCTTTTTACAGAGCAGTATTGAAACACTCTTTTTGAAGAATCTGCGAGGGGATATTTGGATAGATTTCAGGATTTCGTTGGAAACGGGAATATCTTCATATAAAATCTCGACAGAAGCATTCTCAGAAACTTCCTTGTGATATGTGCATTGAAGTCACAGAGTTGAATATTCCCTTTCACAGAGTAGGTTTGAAACACTCTTTTTGTAGTATCTGGAAGTGGACATTTGGAGCGCCTTGACGCCTACGGTGAAAAGGGAAATATCTACCAATAAAAACTAGACAGAAGCAATCTCAGAATCTTCTTTGGGATATATGCACGCAGCTAACAGAGTTGAACGTTTCTATTGACAGAGCAAGTTTTGAAACAGTCTTTCTGTGGAATCTGCAAGTGGATATTTGGATAGCTTGGAGGATTTCGTTGGAAACGGGATTACGTATAAAAAGTAGACAGCAGCATCCTCAGAAACTTCTTTGTGATGTGTGCATTCAAGTCACAGAGTTGAACATTCCCTTTCGTACAGCAGTTTTGAAACACTCTTTCTGTAGTACCTGGAAGTGAACATTAGGACAGCTTTCAGCTCTATGGTGAGAAAGGAAATATCTTCAAATAAAAACTAGACAGAAGCATTCTCATATACTTGTTTGTGATGTGTGAACTCAGCTAACAGAGGTGGATCTTTCTTTTGATAGAGCAGTTGTGAAAAACACTTTTTGTTGATTATGCAAGTGGACATTTGGATAGATTTGAAGATTTCGTTGGAAACGGGAATATCTTCATATCAAATCTAGACAGAAGCATTCTCAGAAACGTCTTTGTGATGTTTGCATTCAACTCATAGAGTTGAACATTCCGTTTCAGAGAGCAGCTTTGAAGCACTCTTTTTGTAGTATGTGCAAGGGGATATTTGGAGCGCTCTGAGGCCTAAGGTGAAAAAGGAAATATCTTCCCATAACCACTAGACAGAAACATTCTCAGAAACTCCTTTATGACGTATGCACTCACCTAACAGAGAAGAACCTTCCTTTTGACAGAGCAGTTTTGATACAC
This sequence comes from Homo sapiens, assembly GCF_000001405.40. Classification (NCBI taxonomy): domain Eukaryota; kingdom Metazoa; phylum Chordata; class Mammalia; order Primates; family Hominidae; genus Homo; species Homo sapiens. Next base: position 16,909,726 of record NC_000013.11, read on the forward strand.
TCTTTTTGTAGAATCTCCAAGTGGATATTTGGATAGCTGTGAAGATTTCGTTGGAAACGGGAATATCCTCCTATAATATCTAGACAGAAGCATTCGCAGAAACTGCTCTGTGATGTCTGCATTCAAGTCACAGAGTTGAACATTGCCTTTCATAGAGCCGGTTTGAAACGCTCTTTTTGTAGTATATGGAAGTGGATGTTTCGGACGGTTGGAGGCCCATGGTGATAAAGGGAATATCTTCCCCTACAAGATAGAAAGAAGCATTCTGTGAAACTTGTTTGTGATGTGTGTACTCAACTAACGGAGTTGAACCTTTCTTTTTACAGAGCAGTTTTGAAACACTCTTTTTGTAGAATCTGCGAGGGGATATTTGGATAGATTTCAGGATTTCGTTGGAAACGGGAATATCTTCATAGAAAATCTCGACAGAAGCATTCTCAGAAACTTCTTTGTGATATGTGCATTCAAGTCACAGAGTTGAATATTCCCTTTCACAGAGTAGGTTTGAAACACTCTTTTTGTAGTATCTGGAAGTGGCCATTTGGAGCGCCTTGACACCTACGGTGAAAAGGGAAATATCTTCCCATAAAAACTAGACAGAAGCAATCTCAGAATCTTCTTTGGGATATATGCACGCAGCTAACAGAGTTGAACCTTTCTATTGCCAGAGCAGTTTTGAAACAGTCTTTCTGTGGAATCTGCAAGTGGATATTTGGATAGCTTGGAGGATTTCGTTGGAAACGGGATTACGTATAAAAAGTAGACAGCAGCATCCTCAGAAACTTCTTTGTGATGTGTGCATTCAAGTCACAGAGTTGAACATTCCCTTTCGTACAGCAGTTTTGAAACACTCTTTCTGTAGTATCTGGAAGTGAACTTTAGGAGAGCTTTCAGGTCTATAGTGAGAAAGGATATATCTTCAAATAAAAACTAGACAGAAGCATTCTCATAAACTTGTTTGTGATGTGTCAACTCAGCTAACAGAGGTGGATCTTTCTTTTGATAGAGCAGTTCTGAAAAACACTTTTTGTTGAATCTGCAAGTGGACATTTGGATAGATTTGAAGATTTCGTTGGAAACGGGAATATCTTCATATCAAATCTAGACAGAAGCATTCTCAGAAACGTCTTTGTGATGTTTCAATTAAACTCATGGAGATGAACATTCCCTTTCAGAGAGCAGCTTTGAAGCACTCTTTTTGTAGTATGTGCAAGTAGATATTTTGAGCGCTCTGAGGCCTACGGGGAAAAAGCAAATATCTTCCCATAACCACTAGACAGAAACATTCTCAGAAACTCCTTTATGACGTATGCACTCACCTAACAGAGAAGAACCTTCCTTTTGACAGAGAAGTTTTGATACACTCTTTTTGTAGAATCTGCAAGTGGATATTTGGATAGCTGTGAAGATTTCGTTGGAAACGGGAATATCTTCCTATAAAATCTAGACAGAAGCATTCTCAGAAACTGCTCTGTGATGTCTGCATTCAAGTCACAGAGTTGAACATTGCCTTTCCTAGAGCAGGTTTGAAACCCTCTTTTTGTAGTATAGGGAAGTGGACGTTTCGGACGGTTTGAGGCCCATGGTGATAAAGGGAATATCTTCCCCTACAAGCTAGAAAGAAGCATTCTGTGAAACTTGTTTGTGATGTGTGTACTCAACTAACAGAGTTGAACCTTTCTTTTTACAGAGCAGTTTTGAAACACTCTTTTTGTAGAATCTGCGAGGGGATATTTCGATAGATTTCAGGATTTCGTTGTAAACGGGAATATCTTCATATAAAATCTCGACAGAAGCATTCTAAGAAGCTTCTTTGTGATATGTGCATTCAAGTCACAGAGTTGAATATTCCCTTTCACAGAGTAGGTTTGAAACACTCTTTTTGTAGTATCTGGAAGTGGACATTTGGAGCGCCTTGACGCCTACGGTGAAAACGGAAATATCTTCTCATAAAAAGTAGACAGAAGCAATCTCAGAATATTCTTTGGGATATATGCACGCAGCTAACAGAGTTGAACCTTTCTATTGACAGAGCAGTTTTGAAACAGTCTTTCTGTGGAATCTGCAAGTGGATATTTGGATAGCTTGGAGGATTTCGTTGGAAACGGGATTACGTATAAAAAGTAGACAGCAGCACCTCAGAAACTTCTTTGTGATGTGTGCATTCAAGTCACAGAGTTGAACATTCCCTTTCGTACAGCAGTTTTGAAACACTCTTTCTGTAGTATCTGGAAGTGAACATTAGGACAGCTTTCAGCTCTATGGTGAGAAAGGAAATATCTTCAAATAAAAACTAGACAGAAGCATTCTCATAAAATTGTTTGTGATGTGTGAACTCAGCTAACAGAGGTGGATATTTCTTTTGATATAGTAGTTTTGAAAAACACTTTTTGTAGAATCTGAAAGTGGATATTTGGATAGATTTGAAGATTTCGTTGGAAACGGGAATATCTTCGTATAAAATCTAGACAGAAGCATTCTCAGAAACGTCTTTGTGATGTTTGCATTCAACTCATAGAGTTGAACATTCCCTTTCAGAGAGCAGCTTTGAAGCACTCTTTTTGTAGCATGTGCAAGTGGACATTTGTAGCGCCCTGAGGCCTACGGGGAAAAAGCAAATATCTTCCCATAACCACTAGACAGAAACATTCTCAGAAACTCCTTTATGACGTATGCACTCACCTAACAGAGAAGAACCTTCCTTTTGACAGAGCAGTTTTGATACACTCTTTTTGTAGAATCTGCAACTGGATATTTGGATAGCTGTGAAGATTTCGTTGGAAACGGGAATATCTTCCTATAAAATCTAGACAGAAGCATTCTCAGAAACTGCTCTGTGATGTCTGCATTCAAGACACAGAGTTCAACATTGCCTTTCATAGAGCAGGTTTGAAACGCTCTTTTTGTAGTATATGGAAGTGGATGTTTCGGACGGTTGGAGGCCCATGGTGATAAAGGGAATATCTTCCCCTACAAGCTAGAAAGAAGCATTCTGTGAAACTTGTTTGTGATGTGTGTACTCAACTAACAGAGTTGAACCTTTCTTTTCACAGAGCAGTTTTGAAACACTCTTTTTCTAGAATCTGCGAGGGGATATTTGGATAGATTTCAGGATTTCATTGGAAACGGGTATATCTTCATATAAAATCTCGACAGAAGCATTCTCAGAAGCTTCTTTGTGATATGTGCATTCAAGTCACAGAGTTGAATATTCCCTTTCACAGAGTAGGTTTGAGACACTCTTTTTGTAGTATCTGGAAGTGGACATTTGGAGCACATTGACGCCTACGGTGAAAAGGGAAATATCTTCTCATAAAAAGTAGACAGAAGCAATCTCAGAATCTTCTTTGGGATATATGCACGCAGCTAACAGAGTTTAACCTTTCTATTGACAGAGCAGTTTTGAAACAGTCCTTCTGTGGAATCTGCAAGTGGATATTTGGATAGATTGGAGGATTTCGTTGGAAACGGGATTACGTATAAAAAGTAGACAGCAGCATCCTCAGAAACTTCTTTGTGATGTGTGCATTCATGTCACAGTGTTGAACATTCCCTTTCGTACAGCCGTTTTGAAACACTCTTTCTGTAGTATCTCTAAGTGAACATTAGGACATCTTTCAGGTCTATGGTGAGAAAGGAAATATCTTCAAATAAAAACTAGACAGAAGCATTCTCATAAACTTGTTTGTGATGTGTGAACTCAGCTAACAGAGGTGAATCTTTCTTTTGAAAGAGCAGTTCTGAAAAACACTTTTTGTTGAATCTGCAAGTGGACATTTGGATAGATTTGAAGATTTCGTTGGAAACGGGAATATCTTCATATCAAATCTAGACAGAAGCATTCTCGGAAACGTCTTTGTCATGTTTGCATTCAACTCATAGAGTTGAACATTCCGTTTCAGAGAGCAGCTTTGAAGCACTCTTTTTGTAGTATGTGCAAGTGGATATTTGGAGCGCTCTGAGGCCTAAGATGAAAAAGCAAATATCTTCCCATAACCACTAGACAGAAACATTCTCAGAAACTCCTTTATGACGTATGTACTCAACTAACAGAGAAGAACCTTCCTTTTGAAAGAGCAGTTTTGATACACTCTTTTTGTAGAATCTGCAAGTGGATATTTGGATAGCTGTGAAGATTTCGTTGGAAACGGGAATATCTTCCTATAAAATCTAGACAGAAGCATTCTCAGAAACTGCTCTGTGATGTCTGCATTCAAGTCACAGAGTTGAACATTGCCTTTCATAGAGCAGGTTTGAAAGGCTCTTTTTGTACTATATGGAACAGGACGTTTCGAACGGTTTGAGGACCATGGTGATAAAGGGAATATCTTCCCCTACAAGCTAGAAAGAAGCATTCTGTGAAACTTGTTTGTGATGTGTGTACTCAACTAACAGTGTTGAACCTTTCTTTTTACAGAGCAGTTTTGAAACACTCTTTTTGTAGAATCTGCGAGGGGAAATTTGGATAGATTTCAGGATTTCGTTGGAAACGGGAATATCTTCATACAAAATCTCGACAGAAGCATTCTCAGAAACTTCTTTGTGATATGTGCATTCAAGTCACAGAGTTGAATATTCCCTTTCACAGAGTAGGTTTGAAACACTCTTTTTGTAGTATCTGGAAGTGGACATTTGGAGCGCCTTGACTGCCTACGGTGAAAAGGGAAATATCTTCCCATAAAAACTAGACAGAAACAATCTCAGAATCTTCTTTGGGATATATGTACGCAGCTAACAGAGTTGAACCTTTCTATTGACAGAGCAGTTTTGAAACAGTCTTTCTGTGGAATCTGCAAGTGGATATTTGGATAGCTTGGAGGATTTCGTTGGAAACGGGATTACGTATAAAAAGTAGACAGCAGCATCCTCAGAAACTTCTTTGTGATGTGTGCATTCAAGTCACAAGGTTGAACATTCCCTTTCATACAGCAGTTTTGAAACGCTCTTTCTGTAGTATCTGGAAGTGAACTTTAGGACAGCTTTCAGGTCTATGGTGAGAAAGGAAATATCTTCAAATAAAAACTAGACAGAAGCATTCTCATAAACTTGTTTGTGATGTGTGAACTCAGCTAACAGAGGTGGATCTTTCTTTTGATAGAGCAGTTCTGAAAAACACTTTTTGATGAATCTGCAAGTGGACATTTGGATAGATTTGAAGATTTCTTTGGAAACGGGAATATCTTCATATCAAATCTAGACAGAAGCATTCTCAGAGACGTCTTTGTGATGTTTGCATTCAACTCATAGAGTTGAACATTCCCTTTCAGAGAGCAGCTTTGAAGCACTCTTTTTGTAGCATGTGCAAGTGGACATTTGGAGCGCCCTGAGGCCTACGGGGAAAAAGCAAATATCTTCCCATAACCACTAGACAGAAACATTCTCAGAAACTCCTTTATGACGTATGTACTCAACTAACAGAGAAGAACCTTCCTTTTGACAGAGCAGTTTTGATACACTCTTTTTGTAGAATCTGCAAATGGATATTTGGATAGCTGTGAAGATTTCGTTGGAAACGGGAATATCTTCCTATAAAATCTAGACAGAAGCATTCTCAGAAACAGCTCTGTGATGTCTGCATTCAAGTCACAGAGTTGAACATTGCCTTTCATAGAGCAGGTTTGAAACGCTCTTTTTGTAGTATATGTAACTGGAGGTTTCGGACGGTTTGAGGCCCATGGTGATAAAGGGAATATCTTCCCCTACAAGCTAGAAAGAAGCATTCTGTGAAACTTGTTTGTGATGTGTGTACTCAACTAACAGAGTTGAAACTTTCTTTTTACAGAGCAGTTTTGAAACACTCTTTTTGTAGAATCTGCGAGGGGATATTTGGATAGATTTCAGGATTCCGTTGGAAACGGGAATATCTTCATATAAAATCTCGACAGAAGCATTCTCAGAAACTTCATTGTGATATCTGCATTCAAGTCACAGAGTTGAATATTCCCTTTCAGAGAGTAGGTTTGAAACACTCTTTTTGGAGTATCTGGAAGTGGACATTTGGAGTGCCTTGACACCTACGGTGAAAAGGGAAATATCTTCCCATAAAAACTAGACAGAAGCAATCTCAGAATCTTCTTTGGGATATATGCACGCAGCTAACAGAGTTGAACCTTTCTATTGACAGAGCAGTTTTGAAACAGTCTTTCTGTGGAATCTGCAAGTGGATATTTGGATAGCTTGGAGGATTTCGTTAGAAACGGGATTACGTATAAAAAGTAGACAGCAGCATCCTCAGAAACTTCTTTGTGATGTGTGCATTCAAGTCAAAGAGTTGAACATTCCCTTTCATACAGCAGTTTTGAAACACTCTTTCTGTAGTATCTGGAAGTGAACATTAGGACAGCTTTCAGCTCTATGGTGAGAAAGGAAATATCTTCAAATAAAAACTAGACAGAAGCATTCTCATAAACTTGTTTGTGAGGTGTGAACTCAGCTAACAGAGGTGGATCTTTCTTTTGATAGAGCAGTTCTGAAAAACACTTTTTGTTGAATCTGCAAGTGGACATTTGGATAGATTTGAAGATTTCGTTGGAAACGGGAATATCTTCATATCAAATCTAGACAGAAGCATTCTCAGAAACGTCTTTGTGATGTTGGCATTCAACTCATAGAGTTGAACATTCCGTTTCAGAGAGCAGCTTTGAGGCACTCTTTTTGTAGTATGTGCAAGTAGATATTTGGAGCGCTCTGAGGCCTACGGTGAAAAAGCAAATATCTTCCCATAACCACTAGACAGAAACATTCTCAGAAACTCCTTTATGACGTATGCACTCACCTAACAGAGAAGAACCTTCCTTTTGACAGAGCAGTTTTGATACACTCTTTTTGTAGAATCTGCAAGTGGATATTTGGATACCTGTGAAGATTTCGTTGGAAACGGGAATATCTTCCTATAAAATGTAGACAGAAGCATTCTCAGAAACTGCTCTGTGATGTCTGCATTCAAGTCACAGAGTTGAACATTGCCTTTCATAGAGCAGGTTTGAAACGCTCTTTTTGTAGTATATGGAAGTGGATGTTTCGGACGGTTGGAGGCCCATGGTGATAAAGGGAAAATCTTCTCCTACAAGCTAGAAAGAAGCATTCTGTGAAACTTGTTTGTGATGTGTGTACTCAACTAACAGAGTTGAACCTTTCTTTTTACAAAGCAGTTTTGAAACACTCTTTTTGTAGAATCTGCGAGGGGAAATTTGGATAGATTTCAGGATTTCGTTGGAAACGGGAATATCTTCATACAAAATCTCGACAGAACCATTCTCAGAAACTTCCTTGTGATATGTGCATTCAAGTCACAGAGTTGAATATTCCCTTTCACAGAGTAGGTTTGAAACACTCTTTTTGTAGTATCTGGAAGTGGACATTTGGAGCGCCTTGACGCCTACGGTGAAAAGGGAAATATCTTCCCATAAAAACTAGACAGAAGCAATCTCAGAATCTGCTTTGGGATATATGCACGCAGCTAACAGAGTTGAACCTTTCTATTGACAGAGCAGTTTTGAAACAGTCTTTCTGTGGAATCTGCAAGTGGATATTTGGATAGCTTGGAGGATTTCGTTGGAAACGGGATTAAGTATAAAAAGTAGACAGCAGCATCCTCAGAAACTTCCTTGTGATGTGTGCATTCAAGTCACAGAGTTGAACATTCCCTTTCGTACAGCAGTTTTGAAACACTCTTTCTGTAGTATCTGGAAGTGAACTTTAGGAGAGCTTTAAGGTCTATAGTGAGAAAGGATATATTTTCAAATAAAAACTAGACAGAAGCATTCTGATAAACTTGTTTGTGAAGTGTGATCTCAGCTAACAGAGGTGGATCTTTCTTTTGATAGAGCAGTTCTGAAAAACACTTTGTTGAATCTGCAAGTGGACATTTGGATAGATTTGAAGATTTCATTGGAAACGGGAATATCTTCATATCAAATCTAGACAGAAGCATTCTCAGAAACGTCTTTGTGATGTTTGCATTCAACTCATAGAGTTGAACATTCCGTTTCAGAGAGCAGCTTTGAAGCACTCTTTTTGTAGTACGTGCAAGTGGATATTTGGAGTCCTCTGAGGCCTAAGGTGAAAAAGCAAATATCTTCCCACAACCACTAGACAGAAACATTCTCAGAAACTCCTTTATGACGTATGCACTCACCTAACAGAGAAGAACCTTCCTTTGGACAGAGCAGTTTTGATACACTCTTTTTGTAGAATCTGCAATTGGATATTTGGATAGCTGTGAAGATTTCGTTGGAAACGGGAATATCTTCCTATAAAATCTAGACAGAAGCATTCTCAGTAACTGCTCTGTGATGTCTGCATTCAAGTCACAGAGTTGAACATTGCCTTTCATAGAGCAGGTTTGAAACACTCCTTTTTTAGTATATGGAAGTGGACGTTTCGGACGGTTTGAGGCCCATGGTGATAAAGGGAATATCTTCCCCTACAAGCTAGAAAGAAGCATTCTGTGAAACTTGTTTGTGATGTGTGTACTCAACTAACAGAGTTGAACCTTTCTTTTTACAGAGCAGTTTTGAAACACTCTTTTTGTACAATCTGTGAGGGGGTATTTGGATAGATTTCAGGATTTCGTTGGAAACGGGAATATCTTCATATAAAATCTCAACAGAAGCATTCTCAGAAACTTCTTTGTGATATGTGCATTCAAGTCACAGAGTTGAATATTCCCTTTCACAGAGTAGGTTTGAAACACTCTTTTTGTAGTATCTGGAAGTGGACATTTGGAGCGCCTCGACGCCTACGGTGAAAAGGGAAATATCTTCTCATAAAAAGTAGACAGAAGCAATCTCAGAATCTTCTTTGGGATATATGCACGCAGCTAACAGAGTTGAACCTTTCTATTGACAGAGCAGTTTTGAAACAGTCTTTCTGTGGAATATGCAAGTGGATATTTGGATAGCTTGGAGGATTTCGTTGGAAACGGGATTACGCATAAAAAGTAGACAGCAGCATCCTCAGTAAACTTCTTTGTGATGTGTGCTTTCAAGTCACAGTGTTGAACATTCCCTTTCGTACAGCAGTTTTGAAACACTCTTTCTGTAGTATCTGGAAGTGAACATTAGGACAGCTTTCAGGTCTATGGTGAGAAAGGAAATATCTTCAAATAAAAACTAGACAGAAGCATTCTCATAAACTTGTTTCTGATGTGTGAACTCAGCTAACAGAGGTGGATCTTTCTTTTGATAGAGCAGTTCTGAAAAACACTTTTTGTTGAATCTGCAAGTGGACATTTGGATAGATTTGAAGATTTCTTTGGAAACGGGAATATCTTCATATCAAATCTAGACAGAAGCATTCTCAGAAACGTCTTTGTGATGTTTGCATTCAACTCATAGAGTTGAAAATTCCCTTTCAGAGAGCAGCTTTGAAGCACTCTTTTTGTAGTATGTGCAAGTGGATATTTGGAGCGCTCTGAGGCCTACGGTGAAAAAGCAAATATCTTCCCATAACCACTAGACAGAAACATTCTCAGAAACTCCTTTATGACGTGTGCACTCACCTAACAGAGAAGAACCTTCCTTTTTACAGAGCAGTTTTGATACACTCTTTTTGTAGAATCTGCAAGTGGATATTTGGATAGCTGTGAAGATTTCGTTGGAAACGGTAATATCTTCCTATAAAATCTAGACAGAAGCATTCTCAGAAACGTCTTTCCGATGTTTGCATTCAACTCATAGAGTTGAACATTCCCTTTCAGAGAGCAGCTTTGAAGCACTCTTTTTGTACCATGTGCAAGTGGACATTTGGAGGGCCCTGAGGCCTACGGGGAAAAAGCAAATATCTTCCCATAACCACTAGACAGAAACATTCTCAGAAACTCCTTTATGACGTATGCACTCACCTAACAGAGAAGAACCTTCCTTTTTACAGAGCAGTTTTGAAACACTCTTTTTGTAGAATCTGCGAGGGGATATTTGGATAGATTTCAGGATTTCGTTGGAAACGGGAATATCTTCATATAAAATCTCGACAGAAGCATTCTCAGAAACTTCTTTGTGATATGTGCATTCAAGTCACAGAGTTGAATATTCCCTTTCACAGAGTAGGTTTGAAACACTCTTTTTGTAGTATCTGGAAGTGGACATTTGGAGCGCCTTGACACCTACAGTGAAAAGGGAAATATCTTCCCATAAAAACTAGACAGAAGCAATCTCAGAATCTTCTTTGGGATATATGTACGCAGCTAACAGAGTTGAACCTTTCTATTGACAGAGCAGTTTTGAAACAGTCTTTCTGTGGAATCTGCAAGTGGATATTTGGATAGCTTGGAGGATTTCTTTGGAAACGGGATTACGTATAAAAAGTAGACAGCAGCATCCTCAGAAACTTCTTTGTGATGTGTGCATTCAAGTCACAGAGTTGAACATTCCCTTTCGTACAGCAGTTTTGAAACACTCTTTCTGTAGTATCTGGAAGTGAACATTAAGACAGCTTTCAGGTCTATGGTGAGAAAGGAAATATCTTCAAATAAAAACTAGACAGAAGCATTCTCATAAACTTGTTTGTGATGTGTGAACTCAGCTAACAGAGGTGGATCTTTCTTTTGATAGAGCAGTTCTGAAAAACCCTTTTTGTTGAATCTGCAAGTGGACATTTGGATAGATTTGAAGATTTCGTTGGAAACGGGAATATCTTCATATCAAATCTAGACAGAAGCATTCTCAGAAACGTCTTTGTGATGTTTGCATTCAACTCATAGAGTTGAACATTCCCTTTCAGAGACCAGCTTTGAAGCACTCTTTTTGTAGTATGTGCAAGTGGATATTTGGAGCGCTCTGAGGCCTACGGTGAAAAAGCAAATATCTTCCCATAACCACTAGACAGAAACATTCTCAGAAACTCCTTTATGACGTATGCACTCACCTAACAGAGAAGAACCTTCCTTTTGACAGAGCAGTTTTGATACACTCTTTTTGTAGAATCTGCAAGTGGATATTTGGATACCTGTGAAGATTTCGTTGGAAACGGGAATATCTTCCTATAACATACTAGACAGAAGCATTCTCAGCAAACTGCTCTGTGATGTCTGCATTCAAGTCACAGAGTTGAACATTGCCTTTCATAGAGCAGGTTTGAAACGCTCTTTTTGTAGTATATGGAAGTGGACTTTTCGGACGGTTTGAGGCCCATGGTGATAAAGGGAATATCTTCCCCTACAAGCTAGAAAGAAGCATTCTGTGAAACTTGTTTGTGATGTGTGTACTCAACTAACAGAGTTGAACCTTTCTTTTTACAGAGCAGTTTTGAAACACTCTTTTTGTAGAATCTGCGAGGGGAAATTTGGATAGATTTCAGGATTTCGTTGGAAACGGGAATATCTTCATACAAAATCTCGACAGAAGCATTCTCAGAAACTACTTTGTGATATCTGCATTCAAGTCACAGAGTTGAATATTCCCTTTCACAGAGTAGGTTTGAAACACTCTTTTTGTAGTATCTGGAAGTGGACATTTGGAGCGCCTTGACACCTACGGTGAAAAGGGAAATATCTTCCCATAAAAACTAGACAGAAGCAATCTCAGAATCTTCTTTGGGATATATGCACGCAGCTAACAGAGTTGAACCTTTCTATTGAGAGAGCACTTTTGAAAGAGTCTTTCTGTGGAATCTGCAAGTGGATATTTGGATAGCTTGGAGGATTTCGTTGGAAACGGGATTACGTATAAAAAGTAGACAGCAGCATCCTCAGAAACATCCTTGTGATGTGTGCATTCAAGTCACAGAGTTGAACATTCCCTTTCGTACAGCAGTTTTGAAACACTCTTTCTGTAGTATCTGGAAGTGAACTTTAGGAGAGCTTTCAGGTCTATAGTGAGAAAGGATATATCTTCAAATAAAAGCTAGACAGAAGCATTCTCATAAACTTGTTTGTGATGTGTGAACTCAGCTAACAGAGGTGGATCTTTCTTTTGATAGAGCAGTTCTAAAAAACACTTTTTGTTGAATCTGCAAGTGGACATTTGGATAGATTTGAAGATTTCGTTGGAAACGGGAATATCTTCATATCAAATCTAGACAGAAGCATTCTCAGAAACGTCTTTGCGATGTTTGCATTCAACTCATAGAGTTGAACATTCCGTTTCAGAGAGCAGCTTTGAGGCACTCTTTTTGTAGTATGTGCAAGTGGATATTTGGAGCGCTCTGAGGCCTACAGTGAAAAAGCAAATATCTTCCCATAACCACTAGACAGAAACATTCTCAGAAACTCCTTTATGACGTATGTACTCAACTAACAGAGAAGAACCTTCTTTTTGACAGAGCAGTTTTGATACACTCTTTTTGTAGAATCTGCAAGTGCATATTTGGATAGCTGTGAAGATTTCGTTGGAAACGGGAATATCTTCCTATAAAATCTAGACAGAAGCATTCTCAGAAACTGCTCTGTGATGTCTGCATTCAAGTCACAGAGTTGAACATTGCCTTTCATAGAGCAGGTTTGAAATGCTCTTTTTGTAGTATATGGAAGTGGACTTTTCGGACGGTTTGAGGCCCATGGTGATAAAGGGGAATATCTTCCCCTACAAGCTAGAAAGAAGCATTCTGTGAAACTTGTTTGTGATGTGTGTACTCAACTAACAGAGTTGAACCTTTCATTTTACAGAGCAGTTTAGAAACACTCTTTTTGTAGAATCTGCGAGGGGATATTTGGATAGATTTCAGGATTTCGTTGGAAAGGGGAATATCTTCATTTAAAATCTCGACAGAAGCATTCTCAGAAGCTTCTTTGTGATATGTGCATTCAAGTCACAGAGTTGAATATTCCCTTTCACAGAGTAGGTTTGAAACACACTTTTTATAGTATCTGGAAGTGGACATTTGGAGCGCCTTGATGCCTACGGTGAAAAGGGAAATATCTTCCCATAAAAACTAGACAGATAAGCAATCTCAGAATCTTCTTTGGGATATATGCACGCAGCTAACAGAGTTGAACCTTTCTATTGACAGAGCAGTTTTGAAACAGTCTTTCTGTGGAATCTGCAAGTGGATATTTGGATAGATTGGAGGATTTCGTTGGAAACGGGATTACGTATAAAAAGTAGACAGCAGCATCCTCAGAAACTTCTTTGTGATGTGTGCATTCAAGTCAGAGTGTTGAACATTCCCTTTCGTACAGCAGTTTTGAAACACTCTTTCTGTAGTATCTGGAAGTGAACATTAAGACAGCTTTCAGGTCTATGGTGAGAAAGGAAATATCTTCAAATAAAAACTAGACAGAAGCATTCTCATAAACTTGTTTGTGATGTGTGAACTCAGCTAACAGAAGTGGATCTTTCTTTTGATAGAGCAGTTCTGAAAAACACTTTTTGTTGAATCTGCAAGTGGACATTTGAAAAGATTTGAAGATTTCGTTGGAAACGGGAATATCTTCATATCAAATCTAGACAGAAGCATTCTCAGAAACGTCTTTGTGATGTTTGCATTCAACTCATAGAGTTGAATATTCCCTTTCAGAGAGCAGCTGTGAAGCACTCTTTTTGTAGTATGTGCAAGTGGATATTTGGAGCGCTCTGAGGCCTACGGTGAAAAAGCAAATATCTTCCCATAACCACTAGACAGAAACATTCTCAGAAACTCCTTTATGACGTATGCACTCACCTAACAGAGAAGAACCGTCCTTTTGACAGAGCAGTTTTGATACACTCTTTTTGTAGAATCTGCAAGTGGATATTTGGATAGCTGTGAAGATTTCGTTGGAAACGGGAATATCTTCCTATAAAATCTAGACAGAAGCATTCTCAGAAACTGCTCTGTGATGTCTGCATTCAAGTCACAGAGTTGAACATTGCCTTTCATACAGCAGGTTTGAAATGCTCTTTTTGTAGTATATGGAAGTGGACGTTTCAGACGGTTTGAGGCCCATGGTGATAAAGGGAATATCTTCCCCTACAAGCTAGAAAGAAGCATTGTGTGAAACTTATTTGTGATGTGTGTACTCAACTAACAGAGTTGAACCTTTCTTTTTACAGAGCAGTTTTGAAACACTCTTTTTGTAGAATCTGCGAGGGGATATTTGGATACATTTCAGGATTTCGTTGGAAACGGGAATATCTTCATATAAAATCTCGACAGAAGCATTCTCAGAAGCTTCTTTGTGATATGTGCATTCAAGTCACAGAGTTGAATATTCCCTTTCACAGAGTAGGTTTGAAACACACTTTTTGTAGTATCTGGAAGTGGACATTTGGAGCGCCTTGATGCCTACGGTGAAAAGGGAAATATCTTCTCATAAAAAGTAGACAGAAGCAATCTCAGTAATCTTCTTTGGGATATATGCACGCAGCTAACAGTAGTTGAACCTTTCTATTGACAGAGCAGTTTTGAAACAGTCTTTCTGAGGAATCTGCAAGTGGATATTTGGATAGCTTGGAGGATTTCGTTGGAAACGGGATTACGTATAAAAAGTAGACAGCAGCATCCTCAGAAACTTCTTTGTGATGTGTGCATTCAAGTCACAGAGTTGAACATTCCCTTTCGTACGGCAGTTTTGAAACACTCTTTCTGTAGTATCTGGAAGTGAACATTAGGACAGCTTTCAGGTCTATGGTGAGAAAGGAAATATCTTCAAATAAAAACTAGACAGAAGCATTCTCATAAACTTGTTTGTGATGTGTGAACTCAGCTAACAGAGGTGGATCTTTCTTTTGATAGAGCAGTTCTGAAAAACACTTTTTGTTGAATCTGCAAGTGGACATTTGGATAGATTTGAAGATTTTGTTGGAAACGGGAATATCTTCATATCAAATCTAGACAGAAGCATTCTCAGAAACGTCTTTGTGATGTTTGCATTCAACTCATAGAGTTGAACATTCCGTTTCAGAGAGCAGCTTTGAGGCACTCTTTTTGTAGTATGTGCAAGTGGATATTTGGAGCGCTCTGAGGCCTACGGTGAAAAAGCAAATATCTTCCCATAACCACTAGAGAGAAACATTCTCAGAAACTCCTTTATGACGTATGCACTCACCTAACAGAAAAGAACCTTCCTTTTGACAGAGCAGTTTTGATACACTCTTTTTGTAGAATCTGCAAGTGGATATTTGGATAGCTGTGAAGATTTCGTTGGAAACGGGAATATATTCGTATAAAATCTAGACAGAAGCATTCTCAGAAACTGCTCTGTGATGTCTGCATTCAAGTCACAGAGTTGAACATTGCCTTTCCTAGAGCAGGTTTGAAACGCTCTTTTTGTAGTATATGGAAGTGGATGTTTCGTACGGTTGGAGGCCCATGGTGATAAAGGGAATATCTTCCCCTACAAGCTAGAAAGAAGCATTCTGTGAAACTTGTTTGAGATGTGTGTACTCAACTAACAGTGTTGAACCTTTCTTTATACAGAGCAGTTTTGAAACACTCTTTTTGTAGAATCTGCGAGGGGATATTTGGATAGATTTCAGGATTTCGTTGGAAACGGGAATATCTTCATATAAAATCTCGACAGAAGCATTCTCTGAAACTTCTTTGTGATATGTGCATTCAAGTCACAGAGTTGAATATTCCCTTTCACAGAGTAGGTTTGAAACACTCTTTTTGTAGTATCTGGAAGTGGACATTTGGAGCGCCTTGACGCCTACGGTGAACAGGGAAATATCTTCTCATAAAAAGTAGACAGAAGCAATCTCAGAATCTTCTTTGGGATATATGCACGCAGCTAACATAGTTGAACCTTTCTATTGACAGAGCAGTTTTGAAACAGTCTTTCTGTGGAATCTGCAAGTGGATATTTGGATAGCTTGGAGGATTTCGTTGGAAACGGGATTACGTATAAAAAGTAGACAGCAGCATCCTCAGAAACTTCTTTGTGATGTGTGCATTCAAGTCACAGAGTTGAACATACCCTTTCGTACAGCAGTTTTGAAACACTCTTTCTGTAGCATCTGGAAGTGAACATTAGGACAGCTTTCAGGTCTATGGTGAGAAAGGAAATATCTTCAAATAAAAACTAGACAGAAGCATTCTCATAAACTTGTTTGTGATGTGTGAACTCAGCTAAGAGACGTGGATCTTTCTTTTGATAGAGCAGTTCTGAAAAACACTTTTTGTTGAATCTGCAAGTGGACATTTGGACAGATTTGAAGATTTCTTTGGAAACGGGAATATCTTCATATCAAATCTAGACAGAAGCATTCTCAGAAACGTCTTTGTGATGTTTGCATTCAACTCATAGAGTTGAACATTCCGTTTCAGAGAGCAGCTTTGAGGCACTCTTTTTGTAGTATGTGCAAGTGGATATTTGGAGCGCTCTGAGGCCCTCGGTGAAAAAGCAAATATCTTCCCATAACCACTAGACAGAAACATTCTCACAAACTCCTTTATGACGTATGTACTCAACTAACAGAGAAGAACCTTCCTTTTGACAGAGCAGTTTTGATACACTCTTTTTGTAGAATCTGCAAGTGGATATTTGGATAGCTGTGAAGATTTCGTTGGAAACGGGAATACCTTCCTATAAAATCTAGACAGAAGCATTCTCAGAAACTGCTCTGTGATGTCTGCATTCAAGTCACAGAGTTGAACATTGACTTTCATAGAGCAGGTTAGAAACGCTCTTTTTGTACTATATGGAAGAGGACGTTTCGGACGGTTTGAGGACCATGGTGATAAAGGGAATATCTTCCCCTACAAGCTAGAAAGAAGCACTCTGTGAAACTTGTTTGTGATGTGTGTATTCAACTAACAGAGTTGAACCTTTCTTTTTACAGAGCAGTTTTGAAACACTCTTTTTGTAGAATCTGCGAGGGGATATTTGGATAGATTTCAGGATTTCGTTGGAAACGGGAATATCTTCATATAAAATCTCGACAGAAGCATTCTCAGAAACTTCTTTGTGATATCTGCCTTCAAGTCACAGAGTTGAATATTCCCTTTCACAGAGTAGGTTTGAAACACTCTTTTTGTAGTATCTGGAAGTGGACATTTGGAGTGCCTTGACGCCTACGGTGAAAAGGGAAATATCTTCCCATAAAAACTAGACAGAAGCAATCTCAGAATCTTCTTTGGGATATATGCACGCAGCTAACAGAGTTGAACCTTTCTATTGACAGAGCAGTTTTGAAACAGTCTTTCTGTGGAATCTGCAAGTGGATATTTGGATAGCTTGGAGGATTTCGTTGGAAACGGGATTACGTATAAAAAGTAAACAGCAGCATCCTCAGAAACTTCTTTGTGATGTGTGCATTCAAGTCACAGAGTTGAACATTCCCTTTCGTACAGCAATTTTGAAACACTCTTTCTGTAGTATCTGGAAGTGAACATTAGGACAGCTTTCAGCTCTATGGTGAGAAAGGAAATATCTTCAAATAAAAACTAGACAGAAGCATTCTCATAAACTTGTTTATGATGTGTGAACTCAGCTAACAGAGGTGGATCTTTCTTTTGATAGAGCAGTTCTGAAAAACACTTTTTGTTGAATCTGCAAGTGGACATTTGGATAGATTTGAAGATTTCGTTGGAAACGGGAATATCTTCATATCAAATCTAGACAGAAGCATTCTCAGAAACGTCTTTGTGATGTTTGCATTCAACTCATAGAGTTGAACATTCCGTTTCAGAGAGCAGCTTTGAGGCACTCTTTTTGTAGTATGTGCAAGTGGATATTTGGTGCGCTGTGAGGCCAACGGTGAAAAAGCAAATATCTTCCCATAACCACTAGACAGAAACATTCTCAGAAACTCCTTTATGACGTATGCACTCACCTAACAGAGAAGAACCTTCCTTTTGACAGAGAAGTTTTGATACACTCTTTTTGTAGAATCTGCAAGTGGATATTTGGATACCTGTGAAGATTTCGTTGGAAACGGGAATATCTTCCTATAAAATCTAGACAGAAGCATTCTCAGAAACTGCTCTGTGATGTCTGCATTCAAGTCACAGAGTTGAACATTGCCTTTCATAGAGCAGGTTTGAAACACTCTTTTTGTAGTATATGGAAGTGGACGTTTCGGACGGTTTGAGGCCCATGGTGATAAAGGGAATATCTTCCCCTACAAGCTAGAAAGAAGCATTGTGTGAAACTTGTTTGTGATGTGTGTACTCAACTAACAGAGTTGAACCTTTCTTTTTACAGAGCAGTTTTGAAACACTCTTTTTGTAGAATCTGCGAGGGGATATTTGGATAGATTTCAGGATTTCGATGGAAACGGGAATATCTTCATATAAAATCTCGACAGAAGCATTCTCAGAAACTTCTTTGTGATATCTGCATTCAAGTCACAGAGTTGAATATTCCCTTTCACAGAGTAGGTTTGAAACACTCTTTTTGTAGTATCTGGAAGTGGACATTTGGAGCACCTTGACACCTACGGTGAAAAGGGAAATATCTTCCCGATAAAAACTAGACAGAAGCAATCTCAGAATCTTCTTTGGGATATATGCACGCAGCTAACAGCAGTTGAACCTTTCTATTGACAGAGCAGTTTTGAAACAGTCTTTCTGTGGAATCTGCAAGTGGATATTTGGATAGCTTGGAGGATTT
Source organism: Homo sapiens (assembly GCF_000001405.40). Classification (NCBI taxonomy): domain Eukaryota; kingdom Metazoa; phylum Chordata; class Mammalia; order Primates; family Hominidae; genus Homo; species Homo sapiens. The sequence goes on from NC_000013.11 coordinate 16,928,198, forward strand.
CTTTGGAAACGGGACTACGTGTAAAAAGTAGACAGCAGCATCCTCAGAAACTTCTTTGTGATGTGTGCATTCAAGTCACAGAGTTGAATATTCCCTTTCGTACAGCAGTTTTGAAAAACTCTTTCTGTAGTATCTGGAAGTGAACATTAGGACAGCATTCAGGTCTATGGTGAGAAAGGAAATATCTTCAAATAAAAACTACACAGAGGCATTCTCATAAACTTGTTTGTGATGTGTGAACTCAGCTAACAGACGTGGATCTTTCTTTTGATACAGCAGTTTTGAAAAACACTTTTTGTTGAATCTGAAAGTGGACATTTGGATAGATTTGAAGATTTCCTTGGAAACGGGAATATCTTCATATCAAATCTAGACAGAAGCATTCTCAGAGACGTCTTTGTAATGTTTGCATTCAACTCATAGAGTTGAACATTCCCTTTCAGAGAGCAGCTTTGAAGCACTCTTTTTGTAGCATGTGCAAGTGGACATTTGGAGCGCCCTGAGGCCTACGGTGAAAAAGCAAATATCTTCCCATAACCACTAGACAGACAAACATTCTCAGAAACTCCTTTATGACGTATGCACTCACCTAACAGAAAAGAACCTTCCTTTTGACAGAGCAGTTTTGATACACTCTTTTTGTAGAATCTGCAAGTGGATATTTGGATAGCTGTGAAGATTTCGTTGGAAACGGGAATATCTTCCTATAAAATCTAGACAGAAAGCATTCTCAGAAACTGCTCTGTGATGTCTGCATTCAAGTCACAGAGTTGAACATTGCCTTTCATAGAGCAGGTTTGAAACGCTCTTTTTGTAGTATATGGAAGTAGACGTTTCGGACGGCTTGAGGCCCATGGTGATAAAGGGAATATCTTACCCTACAAGCTAGAAAGAAACATTCTCAGAAACTCCTTTATGAAGTATGCACTCACCTAACAGAGAAGAACCTTCCTTTTGACAGAGCAGTTTTGATACACTCTTTTTGTAGAATCTGCAAGTGGATATTTGGATAGCTGTGAAGATTTCATTGGAAACGGGAATATCTTCCTATAAAATCTAGACAGAAGCATTCTCAGAAACTTCTTTGTGATATCTGCATTCAAGTCACAGAGTTGAATATTCCCTTTCACAGAGTAGGTTTGAAACACTCTTTTTGTAGTATCTGGAAGTGGACATTTGGAGCGCCTTGATGCCTACGGTGAAAAGGGAAATATCTTCCCATAAAAACTAGACAGAAGCAATCTCAGAATCTTCTTTGGGATATATGCACGCAGCTAACAGAGTTGAACCTTTCTATTGACAGAGCAGTTTTGAAACAGTCTTTCTGTGGAATCTGCAAGTGGATATTTGGATAGCTTGGAGGATTTTGTTGGAAACGGGATTACGTATAAAAAGTAGACAGCAGCATCCTCCGAAACTACTTTGTGATGTGTGCATTCAAGTCACAGAGTTGAACATTCCCTTTCGTACAGCAGTTTTGAAACACTCTTTCTGTAGTATCTGGAAGTGAACATTAGGACAGCTTTCAGCTCTATGGTGAGAAAGGAAATATCTTCAAATAAAAACTAGACAGAAGCATTCTCATAAACCTTTTTGTGATGTGTGAACTCAGCTAACAGAGGTGGATCTTTCTTTTGATAGAGCAGTTCTGAAAAACACTTTTTGTTGAATATGCAAGTGGATATTTGGATAGATTTGAAGATTTCGTTGGAAACGGGAATATCTTCATATCAAATCTAGACAGAAGCATTCTCAGAAACGTCTTTGTGATGTTTGCATTCAACTCATAGAGTTGAACATTCCGTTTCAGAGAGCAGCTTTGAGGCACTCTTTTTGTAGTATGTGCAAGTGGGTATTTGGAGCGCTCTGAGGCCTACGGTGAAAAAGCAAATATCTTCCCATAACCACTAGACAGATACATTCTCAGAAACTCCTTTATGACGTATGCACTCACCTAACAGAGAAGAACCTTCCTTTTGACAGAGCAGTTTTGATACACTCTTTTTGTAGAATCTCCAAGTGGATATTTGGATAGCTGTGAAGATTTCGTTGGAAACGGGAATATCTTCTTATGAAATCTAGACAGAAGCATTCTCAGAAACTGCTCTGTGATGTCTGCATTCAAGTCACAGAGTTGAACATTGCCTTTCATATAGCAGGTTTGAAACGCTCTTTTTGTAGTATATGGAAGTGGACTTTTCGGACGGTTTGAGGCCCATGGTGATAAAGGGAATATCTTCCCCTACAAGCTAGAAAGAAGCATTCTGTGAAACTTGTTTGTGATGTGTGTACTCAACTAACAGAGTTGAACCTTTCTTTTCACAGAGCAGTTTTGAAACACTCTTTTTGTAGAATCTGCGAGGGGAAATTTGGATAGATTTCAGGATTTCGTTGGAAACGGGAATATCTTCATACAAAATCTCGACAGAAGCATTCTCAGAAACTTCTTTGTGATATGTGCATTCAAGTCACAGAGTTGAATATTCCCTTTCACAGAGTAGGTTTGAAACACTCTTTTTGTACTATCTGGAAGTGGACATTTGGAGCGCCTTGACGCCTACGGTGAAAAGGGAAATATCTTCCCATAAAAACTAGACAGAAGCAATCTCAGAATCTTCTTTGGGATATATGCACGCAGCTAATAGAGTTGAACTTTTCTATTGACAGAGCAGATTTCAAACAGTGTTTCTGTGGAATCTGCAAGTGGATATTTGGATAGCCTGGAGGATTTCGTTGGAAACGGGATTACGTATAAAAAGTAGACAGCAGCATCCTCAGAAACTTCTTTGTGATGTGTGCATTCAAGTCACAGAGTTGAACATTCCCTTTCGTACAACAGTTTTGAAACACTCTTTCTGTAGTATCTGGAAGTGAACATTAGGACAGCTTTCAGCTCTATGATGAGAAAGGAAATATCTTCAAATAAAAACTAGACAGAAGCATTCTCATAAACTTGTTTGTGATGTGTGAACTCAGCTAACAGAGGTGGATCTTTCTTTTGATAGAGCAGTTCTGAAAAACACTTTTTGTTGAATCTGCAAGTGGACATTTGGATAGATTTGAAGATTTCGTTGGAAACGGGAATATCGTCATATCAAATCTAGACAGAAGCATTCTCAGAAACGTCTTTGCGATGTTTGCATTCAACTCATAGAGTTGAACATTCCGTTTCTGAGAGCAGCTTTGAGGCACTCTTTTTGTAGTATGTGCAAGTGGATATTTGGAGCGCTCTGAGGCCTACGGTGAAAAAGCAAATATCTTCCCATAACCACTAGACAGAAACATTCTCAGAAACTCCTTTATGACGTATGCACTCACCTAAGAGAGAAGAACCTTCCTTTTGACAGAGCAGTTTTGATACACTCTTTTTGTAGAATCTGCAAGTGGATATTTGGATAGCTGTGAAGATTTCGTTGGAAACGGGAATATCTTCTTATAAAATCTAGACAGAAGCATTCTCAGAAACTGCTATGTGATGTCTGCATTCAAGTCACAGAGTTGAACATTGCCTTTCCTAGAGCAGGTTTGAAACGCTCTTTTTTTAGTATATGGAAGTGGACGTTTCGGACGGTTTGAGGCCCATGGTGATAAAGGGAATATCTTCCCCTACAAGCTAGAAAGAAGCATTGTGTGAAAATTGTTTGTGATGTGTGTACTCAACTAACAGAGTTGAACCTTTCTTTTTACAGAGCAGTTTTGAAACACTCTTTTTGTAGAATCTGCGAGGGGATATTTGGATACATTTCAGGATTTCGTTGGAAACGGGAATATCTTCATATAAAATCTCGACAGAAGCATTCTCAGAAACTTCTTTGTGATATGTGCATTCAAGTCACAGAGTTGAATATTCCCTTTCACAGAGTAGGTTTGAAACACTCTTTTTGTAGTATCTGGAAGTGGACATTTGGAGCGCCTTGACGCCTACGGTGAAAAGGGAAATATCTTCCCATACAAACTAGACAGAAGCAATCTCAGAATCTTCTTTGGGATATATGCACGCAGCTAACGGAGTTGAACCTTTCTATTGACAGAGCAGTTTTGAAACAGTCTTTCTGTGGAATCTGCAAGTGGATATTTGGATAGCTTGGAGGATTTCGTTGGAAACGGGATTACGTATAAAAAGTAGACAGCAGCATCCTCAGAAACTTCTTTGTGATGTGTGCATTCAAGTCACAGAGTTGAACATTCCCTTTCGTACAGCAGTTTTGAAACACTCTTTCTGTAGTAACTGGAAGTAAACATTAGGACAGCTTTCAGGTCTATGGTGAGAAAGGAAATATCTTCAAATAAAAACTAGACAGAAGCATTCTCATAAACTTGTTTGTGATGTGTGAACTCATCTAACAGAGGTGGATCTTTCTTTTGATAGAGCAGTTCTGAAAAACACTTTTTGTTGAATCTGCAAGTGGACATTTGGATAGATTTGAAGATTTCGTTGGTAACGGGAATATCTTCATATCAAATCTAGACAGAAGCATTCTCAGAAACGTCTTTGTGATGTTTGAATTCAACTCATAGAGTTGAACATTCCGTTTCAGAGAGCAGCTTTGAAGCACTCTTTTTGTAGTATGTGCAAGGGGATATTTGGAGCGCTCTGAGGCCTACGGTGAAAAAGCAAATATCTTCCCATAACCACTAGACAGAAACATTCTCAGAAACTCCTTTATGACGTATGTACTCAACTAACAGAGAAGAACCTTCCTTTTGACAGAGCAGTTTTGATACACTCTTTTTGTAGAATCTGCAAGTGGATATTTGGATAGCTGTGAAGATTTCGTTGGAAACGGGAATATCTTCCTATAAAATCTAGACGGAAGCATTCTCAGAAACTGCTCTGTGATGTCTGCATTCAAGTCACAGAGTTGAACATTGCCTTTCATAGAGTAGGTTTGAAACGCTCTTTTTGTAGTATATGGAAGTGGACGTTTCGGACGGTTTGAGGCCCATGGTGATAAAGGGAATATCTTCCCCTACAAGCTAGAAAGAAGCATTCTGTGAAACTTGTTTGTGATGTGTGTACTCAACTAACAGAGTTGAACCTTTCTTTTTACAGAGCAGTTTTGAAACACTCTTTCTGTAGAATCTGCGAGGGGATATTTGGATACATTTCAGGATTTCGTTGGAAACGGGAATATCTTCATAGAAAATCTCGACAGAAGCATTCTCAGAAACTTCTTTGTGATATCTGCATTCAAGTCACAGAGTTGAATATTCCCTTTCACAGAGTAGGTTTGAAACACTCTTTTTGTAGTATCTGGAAGTGGACATTTGGAGCGCCTTGACACCTACGGTGAAAAGGGAAATATTTTCCCATAAAAACTAGACAGAAGCAATCTCAGAATCTTCTTTGGGATATATGCACGCAGCTAACAGAGTTGAACCTTTCTATTGACAGAGCAGTTTTGAAACAGTCTTTCTGTGGAATCTGCAAGTGGATATTTTGATAGATTGGAGGATTTCGTTGGAAACGGGATTACGTATAAAAAGTAGACAGCAGCATCCTCAGAAACTTCTTTGTGATGTGTGCATTCAAGTCACAGAGTTGAACATTCCCTTTCATACAGCAGTTTTGAAACACTCTTTCTGTAGTATCTGGAAGTGAACATTAGGACAGCTTTCAGCTCTATGGTGAGAAAGGAAATATCTTCAAATAAAAACTAGACAGAAGCATTCTCATCAACTTGTTTGTGATGTGTGAACTCAGCTAACAGAGGTGGATCTTTCTTTTGATAGAGCAGTTTTGAAAAACACTTTTTGTTGAATCTGCAAGTGGACATTTGGATAGATATGAAGATTTCGTTGGAAACGGGAATATCTTCATATCAAATCTAGACAGAAGCATTCTCAGAAACGTCTTTGTGATGTTTGCATTCAACTCATAGAGTTGAACATTCCCTTTCAGAGAGCAGCTTTGAAGCTCTCTTTTTGTAGTATGTGCAAGGGTATATTTGGAGCTCTCTGAGGCCTAAGGTGAAAAAGCAAATATCTTCCCATAACCACTAGACAGAAACATTCTCAGAAACTCCTTTATGACGTATGCACTCACCTAACAGAAAAGAACCTTCCTTTTGACAGAGCAGTTTTGATACACTCTTTTTGTAGAATCTGCAAGTGGATATTTGGATAGCTGTGAAGATTTCATTGGAAACGGGAATATCTTCCTATAAAATCTAGACAGAAGCATTCTCAGAAACTGCTCTGTGATGTCTGCATTCAAGTCACAGAGTTGAACATTGCCTTTCATAGAGCAGGTTTGAAACGCTCTTTTTGTAGTATATGGAAGTGGATGTTTCGGACGGTTGGAGGCCCATGGTGATAAAGGGAATATCTTCCCCTACAAGTCTAGAAAGAAGCATTGTGTGAAACTTGTTTGTGATGTGTGTACTCAACTAACAGATTTGAACCTTTCTTTTTACAGAGCAGTTTTGAAACACTCTTTTTGTAGAATCTGCGAGGGGATATTTGGATAGATTTCAGGATTTCGTTGGAAACGGGAATATCTTCATATAAAATCTCGACAGAAGCATTCTCAGAAAACTTCTTTGTGATATGTGCATTCAAGTCACAGAGTTGAATATTCCCTTTCACAGAGTAGGTTTGAAACACTCTTTTTGTAGTATCTGGAAGTGGACATTTGGAGCGCCTTGACACCTACGGTGAAAAGGGAAATATCTTCCCATAAAAACTAGACAGAAGCAATCTCAGAATCTTCTTTGGGATATATGCACGCAGCTAACAGAGTTGAATCTTTCTGTTGACAGAGCAGATTTGAAACAGTCTTTCTGTGGAATCTGCAAGTGGATATTTGGATAGATTGGAGGATTTCATTGGAAACGGGATTACGTATAAAAAGTAGACAGCAGAATCCTCAGAAACTTCTTTGTGATGTGTGCATTCAAGTCACAGGGTTGAACATTCCCTTTCGTACAGCAGTTTTGAAACACTCTTTCTGTAGTATCTGGAAGTGAACATTAGGACAGCTTTCAGGTCTATGGTGAGAAAGGAAATATCTTCAAATAAAAACTAGACAGAAGCATTCTCATAAACTTGTTTGTGATGTGTGGACTCAGCTAACAGAGGCGGATCTTTCTTTTGATAGAGCAGTTCGGGAAAACACTTTTTGTTGAATCTGCAAGTGGACATTTGGATAGATTTGAAGATTTCGTTGGAAACGGGAATATCTTCATATCAAATCTAGACAGAAGCATTCTCAGAAACGTCTTTGTGATGTTTGCATTCAACTCATAGAGTTGAACATTCCCTTTCAGAGAGCAGCTTTGAAGCACTCTTTTTGTAGCATGTGCAAGTGGACATTTGGAGCGCCCTGAGGCCTACGGTGAAAAAGCAAATATCTTCCCATAACCACTAGACAGAAACATTCTCAGAAACTCCTTTATGACGTATGCACTCACCTAACAGAGAAGAACCTACCTTTTGACAGAGCAGTTTTGATACACTCTTTTTGTAGAATCTGCGAGGGGATATTTGGAGAGATTTCAGGATTTCGTTGGAAACGGGAATATCTTCATATAAAATCTCGACAGAAGCATTCTCAGAAACTGCTCTGTGATGTCTGCATTCAAGTCACAGAGTTGAACATTGCCTTTCATAGAGTAGGTTTGAAACGCTTTTTTGTAGTATATGGAAGTGGATGTTTCGGACGGTTGGAGGCCCATGGTGATAAAGGGAATATCTTCCCCTACAAGCTAGAAAGAAGCATTCTGTGAAACTTGTTTGTGATGTGTGTACTCAACTAACAGAGTTGATCCTTTCTTTTTACAGAGCAGTTTTGAAACACTCTTTTTGTAGAATCTGCGAGGGGATATTTGGATAGATTTCAGGATTTCGTTGGAAACGGGAATATCTTCATATAAAATCTCGACAGAAGCATTCTCAGAAACTTCTTTGTGATATGTGCATTCAAGTCACAGAGTTGAATATTCCCTTTCACAGAGTAGGTTTGAAACACTCTTTTTGTCGTATCTAGAAGTGGACATTTGGAGTGCATTGACGCCTACGGTGAAAAGGGAAATATCTTCCCATAAAAACTAGACAGAAGCAATCTCAGAATCTTCTTTGGGATATATGCACGCAGCTAACAGAGTTGAACCTTTCTATTGACAGAGCAGTTTTGAAACAGTCTTTCTGTGGAATCTGCAAGTGGATATTTGATAGCTTGGAGGATTTCGTTGGAAACGGGATTACGTATAAAAAGTAGACAGCAGCATCCTCAGAAACTACTTTGTGATGTGTGCATTCAAGTCACAGAGTTGAAAATTCCCTTTCGTACAGCAGTTTTGAAACACTCTTTCTGTAGTATCTGGAAGTGAACATTAGGACAGCTTTCAGGTCTATAGTGAGAAAGGATATATCTTCAAATAAAAACTAGACAGAAGCATTCTCATAAACTTGTTCGTAATGTGTGAACTCAGCTAACACACGTGGATCTTTCTTTTGATAGAGCAGTTCTGAAAAACACTTTTTGTTGAATCTGCAAGTGGACATTTGGATAGATTTGAAGATTTCGTTGGAAACGGGAATATCCTTCATATCAAATCTAGACAGAAAGCATTCTCAGAAACGTCTTTGTGATGTTTGCATTCAACTCATAGAGTTGAACATTCCGTTTCAGAGACCAGCTTTGAAGCACTCTTTTTGTAGTATGTGCAAGTGGATATTTGGAGCGCTCTGAGGCCTACGGTGTAAAAGCAAATATCTTCCCATAACCACTAGACAGAAACATTCTCAGAAACTCCTTTATGACGTATGTACTCAACTAACAGAGAAGAACCTTCCTTTTGACAGAGCAGTTTTGATACACTCTTTTTGTGGAATCTGCAAGTGGATATTTGGATAGCTGTGAAGATTTCGTTGGAAACGGGAATATCTTCCTATAAAATCTAGACAGAAGCATTCTCAGAAACTGCTCTGTGATGTCTGCATTCAAGTCACAGAGTTGAACATTGCCTTTCATAGAGCAGGTTTGAAACGCTCTTTTTGTAGTATATGGAAGTAGTCGTTTCGGACGGTTTGAGGCCCATGGTGATAAAGGGAATATCTTCCCCTACAAGCTAGAAAGAAGCATTCTGTGAAACTTGTTTGTGATGTGTGTACTCAACTAACAGAGTTGAACCTTTCTTTTTACAGAGCAGTTTTGAAACACTCTTTTTGTAGAATCTGCGAGGGGATATTTGGATAGATTTTAGGATTTCGTTGGAAACGGGAATATCTTCATATAAAATCTCGACAGAAGCATTCTCAGAAACTTCTTTGTGATATCTGCATTCAAGTCACAGAGTTGAATATTCCCTTTCACAGAGTAGGTTTGAAACACTCTTTGTGGTATCTGGAAGTGGACATTTGGAGCGCCTTGACGCCTACGGTGAAAAGGGAAATATCTTCCCATAAAAACTAGACAGAAGTAATCTCAGAATCTTCTTTGGGATATATGCACGCAGCTAACAGAGTTGAACCTTTCTATTGACAGAGCAGTTTTGAAACAGTCTTTCTGTGGAATCTGCAAGTGGATATTTGGATAGCTTGGAGGATTTCGTTGGAAACGGGATTACGTATAAAAAGTGGACAGCAGCATCCTCAGAAACTTCTTTGTGATGTGTGCATTCAAGTCACAGGAGTTGAACATTCCCTTTCGTACAGCAGTTTTGAAACACTCTTTCTGTAGTATCTGGAAGTGAACATTACGACAGCTTTCAGGTCTATGGTGAGAAAGGAAATATCTTCAAATAAAAACTAGACAGAAGCATTCTCATAAACCTGTTTGTGATGTGGGAACTCAGCTAACAGAGGTGGATCTTTCTTTTGATAGAGCAGTTCTGAAAAACACTTTTTGTTGAATCTGCAAGTGGACATTTGGATAGATTTGAAGATTTCGTTGGAAACGGGAATATCTTCATATCAAATCTAGACAGAAGCATTCTCAGAAAACGTCTTTGCGATGTTTGCATTCAACTCATAGAGTTGAACATTCCGTTTCAGAGAGCAGCTTTGAGGCACTCTTTTTGTAGTATGTGCAAGTGGATATTTGGAGCGCTCTGAGGCCTACGGTGAAAAAGCAAATATCTTCCCATAACCACAAGACAGAAACATTCTCAGAAACTCCTTTATGACGTATGCACTCACCTAACAGAAAAGAACCTTCCTTTTGACAGAGCAGTTTTGATACACTCTTTTTGTAGAATCTGCAAGTGGATATTAGGATAGCTGTGAAGATTTCGTTGGAAACGGGAATATCTTCCTATAAAATCTAGACAGAAGCATTCTCAGAAGCTGCTCTGTGATGTCTGCATTCAAGTCACAGAGTTGAACATTGCCTTTCATGGAGCAGGTTTGAAACGCTCTTTTTGTACTATATGGAAGTGGACGTTTCGGACGGTTTGAGGCCCATGGTGATAAAGGGAATATCTTCCCCTACAAGCTAGAAAGAAGCATTCTGTGAAACTTGTTTGTGATGTGTGTACTCAACTAACAGAGTTGAACCTTTCTTTTTACAGAGCAGTTTTGAAACACTCGTTTTGTAGAATCTGCGAGGGGATATTTGGATAGATTTCAGGATTTCGTTGGAAACGGGAATATCTTCATATAAAATCTCGACAGAAGCATTCTCAGAAACTTCTTTGTGATATCTGCATTCAAGTCACAGAGTTGAATATTCCCTTTCACAGAGTAGGATTGGAACACTCTTTTGTAGTATCTGGAAGTGGACATTTGGAGCGCCTTGACGCCTACGGTGAAAACGGAAATATCTTCCCATAAAAACTAGACAGAAGCAATCTCAGAATCTTCTTTGGGATATATGCACGCAGTTAACAGAGTTGAACCTTTCTATTGACAGAGCAGTTTTGAAACAGTCTTTCTGTGGAATCTCCAATTGGATATTTGGATAGCTTGGAGGATTTCGTTGGAAACGGGATTACGTATAAAAAGTAGACAGCAGCATCCTCAGAAACTTCTTTGGGATGTGTGCATTCAAGTCACAGAGTTGAACATTCCCTTTCGTACAGCAGTTTTGAAACACTCTTTCTGTAGTATCTGGAAGTGAACATTAGGACAGCTTTCCGGTCTATGGTGAGAAAGGAAATATCTTCAAATAAAAACTAGACAGAAGCATTCTCATAAGCTTGTTTGTGATGTGTGAACTCAGCTAACAGAGGTGGATCTTTCTTTTGATAGAGCAGTTCTGAAAAACACTTTTTGTTGAATCTGCAAGTGGACATTTGGATAGATTTGAAGATTTCGTTGGAAACGGGAATATCTTCATATCAAATCTAGACAGAAGCATTCTCAGAAACGTCTTTGTCATGTTTGCATTCAACTCATAGAGTTGAACATTCCGTTTCAGAGAGGAGGTTTGAAGCACTCTTTTTGTAGTATGTGCAAGTGGATATTTGGAGCGCTCTGAGGCCTACGGTGAAAAAGCAAATATCTTCCCATAACCACTAGACAGAAACATTCTCAGAAACTCCTTAATGACGTATGCACTCACCTAACAGAGAAGAACCTTCCTTTTGACAGAGCAGTTTTGATACACTCTTTTTGTAGAATCTGCAAGTGGATATTTGGATAGCTGTGAAGATTTCGTTGGAAACGGGAATATCTTCCTATAAAATCTAGACAGAAGCATTCTCAGAAACTGCTCTGTGATGTCTGCATTCAAGTCACAGAGTTGAACATTGCCTTTCATAGAGCAGGTTTCAAACACTCTTTTTTTAGTATATGGAAGTGGACGATTCGGACGGTTTGAGGACCATGGTGATAAAGGAAATATCTTCCCCTACAAGCTAGAAAGAAGCATTCTGTGAAACTTGTTTGTGATGTGTGTACTCAACTAACAGTAGTTGAACCTTTCTTTTTACAGAGCAGTTTTGAAACACTCTTTTTGTAGAATCTGCGAGGGGATATTTGGATAGATTTCAGGATTTCGTTGGAAACGGGAATATCTTTATATAAAATCTCGACAGAAGCATTCTCAGAAACTTCTTTGTGATATCTGCATTCAAGTCACAGAGTTGAATATTCCCTTTCACAGAGTAGGTTTGAAACACTCTTTTTGTAGTATCTGGAAGTGGACATTTGGAGCGCCTTGACTGCTACGGAGAAAAGGGAAATATCTTCCCTAAAAAACTAGACAGAAGCAATCTCAGAATCTTCTTTGGGATATATGCACGCAGCTAACAGAGTTGAACCTTTCTATTGACAGAGCAGTTTTGAAACAGTCTTTCTGTGGAATCTGCAAGTGGATATTTGGATAGCTTGGAGGATTTCGTTGGAAAAGGGATTACGTATAAAAAGTAGACAGCAGCATCCTCAGAAACTTCTTTGTGATGTGTGCATTCAAGTCACAGAGTTGAACATTTCCTTTCGTACAGCAGTTTTGAAACACTCTTTCTGTAGTATCTGGAAGTGAACATTAGGACAGCTTTCAGGTCTATGGTGAGAAAGGAAATATCTTCAAATAAAAACTATACAGAAGCATTTTCATAAACTTGTTTGTGATGTGTGAACTCAGCTAACAGAGGTGGATCTTTCTTTTGATAGAGCAGTTCTGAAAAACACGTTTTGTTGAATCTGCAAGTGGACATTTGGATAGATTTGAAGATTTCGTTGGAAACGGGAATATCTTCATATCAAATCTAGACAGAAGCATTCTCAGAAACGTCTTTGTGATGTTTGCATTCAACTCATAGAGTTGAACATTCCCTTTCAGAGAGCAGCTTTGAAGCACTCATTTTGTAGTATGTGCAAGTGGACATTAGGAGCACTTTGAGGCCTACGGTGAAAAAGCAAATATCTTCCCATAACCACTAGACAGAAACCTTCTCAGAAACTTCTTTATGACGTATGTACTCAACTAACAGAGAAGAACCTTCCTTTTGACAGAGCAGTTTTGATACACTCTTCTTGTAGAATCTGCAAGTAGATATTTGGATATCTGTGAAGAATTCGTTGGAAAAGGGAATATCTTTCTATAAAATCTAAACAAAAGCATTCTCAGAAACTGCTCTGTGATGTCTGCATTCAAGTCACAGAGTTGAACATTGCCTTTCATAGAGCAGGTTTGAATCGCTCTTTTTGTAGTATATGGAAGTGGACGTTTCAGACGGTTTGAGGCCCATGGTGATAAAGGGAATATCTTCCCCTACAAGCTAGAAAGAAGCATTCTGTGAAACTTGTTTGTGATGTGTGTACTCAACTAACAGAGTTGAACCTTTCTTTTTACAGAGCAGTTTTGGAACACTCTTTTTGTAGAATCTGCGAGGGGATATTTAGATAGATTTCAGGATTTCGTTGGAAACGGGAATATCTTCATATAAAATCTCGACAGAAGCATTCTCAGAAACTTCTTTGTGATATGTGCATTCAAGTCACAGAGTTGAATATTCCCTTTCACAGGAGTAGGTTTGAAACACTCTTTTTGTAGTATCTGGAAGTGGACATTTGGAGCGCCTTGACGCCTACGGTGAAAAGGGAAATATCTTCCCATAAAAACTAGACAGAAGCAATCTCAGAATCTTCTTTGGGATATATGCACGCAGCTAACAGAGTTGAACCTTTCTATTGACAGAGCAGTTTTGAAACAGTCTTTCTGTGGAATCTGCAAGTGGATATTTAGATAGCTTGGAGGATTTCGTTGGAAACGGGATTACGTATAAAAAGTAGACAGCAGCATCCTCAGAAACTTCCTTGTGATGTGTGCATTCAAGTCACAGAGTTGAACATTCCCTTTCGTACAGCAGTTTTGAAACACTCTTTCTGTAGTATCTGGAAGTGAACATTAGGACAGGTTTCAGGTCTATGGTGAGAAAGGAAATATCTTCAAATAAAAACTAGACAGAAGCATTCTCATAAACTTGTTTGTGATGTGTGAACTCAGCTAACAGAGGTGGATCTTTCTTTTGATAGAGCAGTTCTGAAAAACACTTTTTGTTGAATCTGCAAGTGGACATTTGGATAGATTTGAAGATTTCGTTGGAAACGGGAATATCTTCATATCAAATATAGACAGAAGCATTCCCAGAAACGTCTTTTTGATGTTTGCATTCAACTCATAGAGTTGAACATTCTCTTTCAGAGAGCAGCTTTGAAGCACTCTTTTTGTAGTATGTGCAAGGGGATATTTGGAGCGCTCTGAGGCCTAAGGTGAAAAAGCAAATATCTTCCCATAACCACTAGACAGAAACATTCTCAGAAACTACTTTATGACGTATGTACTCAACTAACAGAGAAGAACCTTCCTTTTGACAGAGCAGTTTTGATACACTCTTTTTGTAGAATCTGCAAGTGGATATTTGGATAGCTGTGAAGATTTCGTTGGAAACGGGAATACCTTCCTATAAAATCTAGACAGAAGCATTCTCAGAAACTGCTCTGTGATGTCTGTATTCAAGTCACAGAGTTGAACATTGCCTTTCATAGAGCAGGTTTGAAACGCTCTTTTTGTAGTATACGGAAGTGGATGTTTCGGACGGTTGGAGGCCCATGGTGATAAAGGGAATATCTTCCCCTACAAGCTAGAAAGAAGCATTCTGTGAAACTTGTTTGTGATGTGTGTACTCAACTAACAGAGTTGAACCTTTCTTTTTACAGAGCAGTTTTGAAACACTCTTTTTGTAGAATCTGCGAGGGGATATTTGGATAGATTTCAGGATTTCTTTGGAAACGGGAATATCTTCATATAAAATCTCGACAGAAGCATTCTCAGAAACTTCTTTGTGATATCTGCATTCAAGTCACAGAGTTGAATATTCCCTTTCACAGAGTAGGATTGAAACACTCTTTTTGTAGTATCTGGAAGAGGACATTTGGAGCACCTTGACGCCTGCGGTGAAAAGGGAAATATCTTCCCATAAAAACTAGACAGAAGCAATCTCAGAATCTTCTTTGGGATATATGCACGCAGCTAACAGAGTTGTACCTTTCTATTGACAGAGCAGTTTTGAAACAGTCTTTCTGTGGAATCTGCAAGTGGATATTTGGATAGCTTGGAGGATTTCATTGGAAACGGGATTACATATAAAAAGTAGACAGCAGCATCCTCAGAAACTTCTTTGTGATGTGTGCATTCAAGTCACAGGGTTGAACATTTCCTTTCATACAGCAGTTTTGAAACACTCTTTCTGTAGTATCTGGAAGTGAACATTAGGACAGCTTTCAGGTCTATGGTGAGAAAGGAAATATCTTCAAATAAAAACTAGACACAAGCATTCTCATAAACTTGTTTGTGATGTGTGAACTCAGCTAACAGAGGTGGATCTTTCTTTTGATAGAGCAGTTCTGAAAAACACTTTTTGTTGATTATGCAAGTGGACATTTGGATAGATTTGAAGATTTCGTTGGAAACGGGAATATCTTCATATCAAATCTAGACAGAAGCATTCTCAGAAACGTCGTTGTGATGTTTGCATTCAACTCATAGAGTTGAACATTCCGTTTCAGAGAGCAGCTTTGAGGTACTCTTTTTGTAGTATGTGCAAGTGGATATTTGGAGCGCTCTGAGGCCTACGGTGAAAAAGCAAATATCTTCCCATAACCACTAGACAGAAACATTCTCAGAAACTCCTTTATGACGTATGCACTCACCTAACAGAGAAGAACCTTCCTTTTGACAGTGCAGTTTTGATACACTCTTTTTGTAGAATCTGCAAGTGGTTATTTGGATAGCTGCGAAGATTTCCTTGGAAACGGGAATATCTTCCTATAAAATCTAGACAGAAGCATTCTCAGAAACTGCTCTATGATGTCTGCATTCAAGTCACAGAGTTGAACATTGCCTTTCATGGAGCAGGTTTGAAACGCTCTTTTTGTAGTATATGGAAGTGGACGTTTCGGACGGTTTGAGGCCCATGGTGATAAAGGGAATATCTTCCCCTACGAGCTAGAAAGAAGCATTCTGTGAAACTTGTTTGTGATGTGTGTACTCAACTAACAGAGTTGAACCTTTCTTTTTACAGAGCAGTTTTGAAACACTCTTTTTGTAGAATCTGCGAGGGGAAGTTTGGATAGATTTCAGGATTTCGTTGGAAACGGGAATATCTTCATATAAAATCTCGACAGAAAGCATTCTCAGAAACTTCTTTGTGATATCTGCATTCAAGTCACAGAGTTGAATATTCCCTTTCACAGAGTAGGTTTGAAACACTCTTTTTGTAGTATCTGGAAGTGGACATTTGGAGCGCCTTGACGCCTACGGTGAAAAGGGAAATATCTTCTCATAAAAACTAGACAGAGCAATCTCAGAATCGTCTTTGGGATATATGCACGCAGCTAACAGAGTTGAACCTTTCTATAGACAGAGCAGTTTTGAAACAGTCTTTCTGTGGAATCTGCAAGTGGATATTTGGATAGCTTGGAGGATTTCGTTGGAAACGGGATTACGTATAAAAAGTAGACAGCAGCATCCTCAGAAACTTCTTTGTGATGTGTGCATTCAAGTCACAGAGTTGAACATTCCCTTTCGTACAGCAGTTTTGAAACACTCTTTCTGTAGTATCTGGAAGTGAACATTAGTACAGCTTTCAGGTCTATGGTGAGAAACGAAATATCTTCAAATAAAAACTAGACAGAAGCATTCTCATAAACTTGTTTGTGATGTGCGAACTCAGCTAAGAGAGGTGGATCTTTCTTTTGATAGAGCAGTTCTGAAAAACACTTTTTGTTGAATCTGCAAGTGGACATTTGGATAGATTTGAAGATTTCGTTGGAAACGGGAATATCTTCATATCAAATCTAGACAGAAGCATTCTCAGAAACGTCTTTGTGATGTTTGCATTCAACTCATAGAGTTGAACATTCCGTTTCAGAGAGCAGCTTTGAAGCACTCTTTTTGTAGTATGTGCAACTGGATATTTGGAGCGCTCTGAGGCCTACGGGGAAAAAGCAAATATCTTCCCATAACCACTAGACAGAAACATTCTCAGAAACTTCTTTATGACGTATGTACTCAACTAGCAGAGAAGAACTTTCCTTTTGACAGAGCACTTTTGATACACTCTTTTTGTAGTATCTGCAAGTGGATATTTGGATAGCTGTGAAGATTTCGTTTTAAACGGGAATATCTTCCTATAAAGTCTGGAGAGAAGCATTCTCAGAAACTGCTCTGTGATGTCTGCATTCAAGTCACAGAGTTGAACATTGCCTTTCCTAGAGCAGGTTTGAAACGCTCTTTTTGTAGTATATGGAAGTGGACGTTTCGGACGGTTTGAGGCCCATGGTGATAAAGGGAATATCTTCCCCTAAAAGCTAGAAAGAAGCATTCTGTGAAACTTGTTTGTGATGTGTGTAGTCAACTAACAGAGTTGAACCTTTCTTTTTACAGAGCAGTTTTGAAACACTCTTTTTGTAGAATCTGTGAGGGGATATTTGGATAGATTTCAGGATTTCGTTGGAAACGTGAATATCTTCATATAAAATCTCGACAGAAGCATTCTCAGAAACTTCTTTGTGATATGTGCATTCAAGTCACAGAGTTGAATATTCCCTTTCACAGAGTAGGTTTGAAACACTCTTTTTGTAGTATCTGGAAGTGGACATTTGGAGCGCATTGACGCCTACGGTGAAAAGGGAAATATCTTCCCATAAAACCTAGACAGAAGCAATCTCAGAATCTTCTTTGGGATATATGCACGCAGCTAACGGAGTTGAATCTTTCTATTGACAGAGCAGTTTTGAAACAGTCTTTCTGTGGAATCTGCAAGTGGATATTTGGATAGCTTGGAGGATTTCGTTGGAAACGGGATTACGTATAAAAAGTAGACAGCAGCATCCTCCGAAACTTCTTTGTGATGTGTGCATTCAAGTCACAGAGTAGAACATTCCCTTTCGTACAGCAGTTTTGAAACACTCTTTCTGTAGTATCTGGAAGTGAACATTAGGACAGCTTTCAGCTCTATGGTGAGAAAGGAAATATCTTCAAATAAAAACTAGACAGAAGCATTCTCATAAACTTGTTTGTGATGTGTGAACTCAGCTAACAGAGGTGGGACTTTCTTTTGATAGAGCAGTTCTGAAAAACACTTTTTGTTGAATCTGCAAGTGGACATTTGGATAGATTTGAAGATTTCGTTGGAAACGGGAATATCTTCATATCAAATCTAGACAGAAGCATTCTCAGAAACGTCGTTGTGATGTTAGCATTCAACTCATAGAGTTGAACATTCCCTTTCAGAGAGCAGCTTTGAAGCACTCTTTTTGTAGTATGTGCAAGTGGACATTTGGAGCGCTTTGAGGCCTACGGGGAAAAAGCAAATATCTTCCCATAACCACTAGACAGGAACATTCTCAGAAACTTCTTTATGACGCATGTACTCAACTAGCAGAGAAGAACTTTCCTTTTGACAGAGCATTTTTGATACATTCTTTTTCTAGTATCTGCAAGTGGATATTTGGATAGCTGTGAAGATTTCGTTGGAAACGGGAATATCTTCCTATAAAGTCTGGACAGAAGCATTCTCAGAAACTGCTCTGTGATGTCTGCATTCAAGTCACAGAGTTGAACATTGCCTTTCATAGAGCAGGTTTGAAACGCTCTTTTTGTAGTATATGGAAGAGGACGTTTTGAACGGTTTGAGGACCATGGTGATAAAGGGAATATCTTCCCCTACAAGCTAGAAAGAAGCATTCTGTGAAACTTGTTTGTGATGTTTGTACTCAACTAACAGAGTTGAACCTTTCTTTTTACAGAGCAGTTTTGAAACACTCTTTTTGTAGAATCTGCGAGGGGATATTTGGATAGATTTCAGGATTTCGTTGGAAACGGGAATATCTTCATATAAAATCTCGACAGAAGCATTCTCAGAAACTTCTTTGTGATATGTGCATTCAAGTCACAGAGTTGAATATTCCCTTTCACAGAGTAGGTTTGAAACACTCTTTTTGTAGTATCTGGAAGTGGACATTTGGAGTGCCTTGACACCTACTGTGAAAAGGGAAATATCTTCCCATAAAAACTAGACAGAAGCAATCTCAGAATCTTCTTTGGGATATATGCACGCAGCTAACAGAGTTGAACCTTTCTATTGACAGAGCAGTTTTGAAACAGTCTTTCTGTGGAATCTGCAAGTGGATATTTGGATAGCTTGGAGGATTTCGTTGGAAACGGGATTATGTATAAAAAGTAGACAGCAGCATACTCAGAAACTTCTTTGTGATGTGTGCATTCAAGTCACAGAGTTGAACATTCCCTTTCGTACAGCAGTTTTGAAACACTCTTTCTGTAGTATCTGGAAGTGAACATTAGGACAGCTTTCAGGTCTATGCTGAGAAAGGAAATATCTTCAAATAAAAACTAGACAGAAGCATTCTCATAAACTTCTTTGTGATGTGTGAACTCAGCTAACCGAGGTGGATCTTTCTTTTGATAGAGCAGTTCTGAAAAACACTTTTTGTTGAATCTGCAAGTGGACATTTGGATAGATTTGAAGATTTCGTTGGAAACGGGAATAACTTCATTTCAAATCTAGACAGAAGCATTCTCAGAAACGTCTTTGTGATGTTTGCATTTAACTCATAGAGTTGAACATTCCCTTTCAGAGACCAGCTTTGAAGCACTCTTTTTGTAGCATGTGCAAGTGGACATTTGGAGCGCCCTGAGGCCTACGGGGAAAAAGCAAATATCTTCCCATAACCACTAGACAGAAACATTCTCAGAAACTTCCTTTATGACGTATGCACTCACCTAACAGAAAAGAACCTTCCTTTTGACAGAGCAGTTTTGATACACTCTTTTTGTAGAATCTGCAAGTGGATATTTGGATAGCTGTGAAGATTTCGTTGGAAACGGGAATATCTTCCTATAAAATCTAGACAGAAGCATTCTCAGAAACTGCTCTGTGATGTCTGCATTCAAGTCACAGAGTTGAACATTGCCTTTCATAGAGCAGGTTTGAAGCGCTCTTTTTGTAGTATATGGAAGTGGATGTTTCGGACGGTTGGAGGCCCATGGTGATAAAGGGAATATCTTCCCCTACAAGCTAGAAAGAAGCATTCTGTGAAACTTGTTTGTGATGTGTGTACTCAACTAACAGAGTTGAACCTTTCTTTTTACAGAGCAGTTTTGAAACACTCTTTTTGTAGAATCTGCGAGGGGATATTTGGATAGATTTCAGGATTTCGTTGGAAACGGGAATATCTTCATATAAAATCTCGACCGAAAGCATTCTCAGAAACTTCTTTGTGATATCTGCATTCAAGTCACAGAGTTGAATATTCCCTTTCACAGAGTAGGTTTGAAACACTCTTTTTGTAGTATCTGGAAGTGGACATTTGGAGCGCCTTGACACCTACGGTGAAAAGGGAAATATCTTCCCATAAAAACTAGACAGAGCAATCTCAGAATCTTCTTTGGGATATATGCACGCAGCTAACAGAGTTGAACCTTTCTATTGACAGAGCAGTTTTGAAACAGTCTTTCTGTGGAATCTGCAAGTGGATATTTGGAGAGCTTGGAGTATTTCGTTGGAAACGGGATTAAGTATAAAAAGTAGACAGCAGCATCCTCAGAAACTTCTTTGTGATGTGTGCATTCAAGTCACAGAGTTGAACATTTCCTTTCGTACAGCAGTTTTGAAACACTCTTTCTGTAGTAACTGGAAGTGAACATTAGGACAGCTTTCAGGTCTATGGTGAGAAAGGAAATATCTTCAAATAAAAACTAGACAGAAGCATTCTCATAAACTTGTTTGTGATGTGTGAACTCAGCTAACAGAGGCGGATCTTTCTTTTGATAGAGCAGTTCGGAAAAACACTTTTTGTTGAATCTGCAAGTGGACATTTGGATAGATTTGAAGATTTCGTTGGAAACGGGAATATCTTCATATCTAATCTAGACAGAAGCATTCTCAGAAACGTCTTTGTGATGTTTGCATTCAACTCATAGAGTTGAACATTCCGTTTCAGAGAGCAGCTTTGAGGCACTCTTTTTGTAGTATGTGCAAGTGGATATTTGGAGCACTCTGAGGCCTACGGTGAAAAAGCAAATATCTTCGAATAACCACTAGACAGAAACATTCTCAGAAACTCCTTTATGACGTATGCACTCACCTAACAGAGAAGAACCTTCCTTTTGACAGAGCAGTTTTGATACACGCTTTTTGTAGAATCTGCAAGTGGATATTTGGATAGCTGTGAAGATTTTGTTGGAAACGGGAATATCTTCCTATAAAATCTAGACAGAAGCATTGTCAGAAACTGCTCTGTGATGTCTGCATTCAAGTCACAGAGTTGAACATTGCCTTTCATAGAGCAGGTTTGAAACGCTCTTTTTGTAGTATATGGAAGTAGACGTTTCGGACGGTTTGAGGCCCATGGTGATAAAGGGAATATCTTCCCCTACAAGCTAGAAAGAAGCATTCTGTGAAACTTGTTTGTGATGTGTGTACTCAACTAACAGAGTTGAACCTTTCTTTTTACAGAGCAGTTTTGAAACACTCTTTTTGTAGAATCTGCGAGGGGATATTTGGATAGATTTCAGGATTTGGTTGGAAACTGGAATATCTTCATATAAAATACTCGACAGAAGCATTCTCAGAAACTTCTTTGTGATATGTGCATTCAAGTCACAGAGTTGAATATTCCCTTTCACAGAGTAGGTTTGAAACACTCTTTTTGTAGCATCTGGAAGTGGACATTTGGAGCGCCTTGACGCCTACGGTGAAAAGGGAAATATCTTCCCATAAAAACTAGACAGAAGCAATCTCAGAATCTTCTTTGGGATATATGCATGCAGCTAACAGAGTTGAACCTTTCTATTGACAGAGCAGTTTTGAAACAGTCTTTCTGTGGAATCTGCCAGTGGATATTTGGATAGCTTGGAGGATTTCGTTGGAAACGGGATTACGTATAAAAAGTAGACAGCAGCATCCTCAGAAACTTCTTTGTGATGTGTGCATTCAAGTCACAGTAGTTGAACATTCCCTTTCGTACAGCAGTTTTGAAACACTCTTTCTGTAGTATCTGGAAGTGAACATTAGGACAGCTTTCAGCTCTATGGTGAGAAAGGAAATATCTTCAAATAAAAACTAGACAGAAGCATTCTCATAAACTTGTTTGTGATGTGTGAACTCAGCTAACAGAGGTGGATCTTTCTTTTGATAGAGCAGTTCTGAAAAACACTTTTTGTTGAATCTGCAAGTGGACATTTGGATACATTTGAAGATTTCGTTGGAAACGGGAATATCTTCATATCAAATCTAGACAGAAGCATTCTCAGAAACGTCTTTCTGATGTTTGCATTCAACCCATAGAGTTGAACATTCCGTTTCAGAGAGCAGCTTTGAAGCGCTCTTTTTGTAGTATGTGCAAGGGGATATTTTGAGCGCTCTGAGGCCTAAGGTGAAAAAGCAAGTATCTTCCCATAACCACTAGACAGAAACATTTTCAGAAACTCCTTTATGACGTATGCACTCACCTAACAGAGAAGAACCTTCCTTTTGACAGAGCAGTTTTGATACACTCTTTTTGTAGAATCTGCAAGTGGATATTTGGATAGCTGTGAAGATTTCGTTGGAAACCGGAATATCTTCCTATAAAATCTAGACAGAAGCATTCTCAGAAACTGCTCTATGATGTCTGCATTCAAGTCACAGAGTTGAACATTGCCTTTCATGGAGCAGGTTTGAAACGCTCTTTTTGTAGTATATGGAAGTGGACGTTTCGGACGGTTTGAGGCACATGGTGATAAAGGGAATATCTTCCCCTACGAGCTAGAAAGAAGCATTCTGTGAAACTTGTTTGTGATGTGTGTACTCAACTAACAGAGTTGAACCTTTCTTTTTACAGAGCAGTTTTGAAACACTCTTTTTGTAGAATCTGCAAGGCGATATTTGGATAGATTTCAGGATTTCGTTGGAAACGGGAATATCTTCATATAAAATCTCGACAGAAGCATTCTCAGAAACTTCTTTGTGATATGTGCATTCAAGTCACAGAGTTGAATATTCCCTTTCACAGAGTAGGTTAGAAACACTCTTTTTGTAGTATCTGGAAGTGGACATTTGGAGCGCCTTGACACCTACGGTGAAAAGGGAAATATCTTCCCATAAAAACTAGACAGAAGCAATCTCAGAATCTTCTTTGGGATATATGCACGCAGCTAACAGAGTTGAACCTTTCTATTGACAGAGCAGTTTTGAAACAGTCTTTCTGTGGAATCTGCAAGTGGTATTTGGATAGCTTGGAGGATTTCGTTGGAAACGGGATTACGTATAAAAAGTAGACAGCAGCATCCTCAGAAACTTCCTTGTGATGCGTGCATTCAAGTCACAGAGTTGAATATTCCCTTTCGTACAGCAGTTTTGAAACACTCTTTCTGTAGTATCTGGAAGTGAACTTTAGGAGAGTTTTCAGGTCTATAGTGAGAAAGGATATATCTTCAAATAAAAACTAGACAGAAAGCATTCTCATAAACTTGTTTGTGATGTCTGAACTCAGCTAACAGAGGTGGATCTTTCTTTTGATAGAGCAGTTCTGAAAAACACTTTTTGTTGAATCTGCAAGTGGACATTTGGATAGATTTGAAGATTTCGTTGGAAACGGGAAGATCTTCATATCAAATCTAGACAGAAGCATTCTCGGAAAACGTCTTTGTGATGTTTGCATTCAACTCATAGAGTTGAACATTCCGTTTCAGAGAGCAGCTTTGAAGCACTCTTTTTGTAGTATATGCAAGTGGATATTTGGAGCGCTCTGAGGCCTACGGTGAAAAAGCAAATATCTTCCCATAACCACTAGACAGAAACATTCTCAGAAACTCCTTTATGACGTATGCACTCACCTAACAGAGAAGAACCTTCCTTTTGACAGAGCAGTTTTGATACACTCTTTTTGTAGAATCTGCAAGTGGATAATTGGATAGCTGTGAAGATTTCGTTGGAAACGGGAATATCTTCCTATAAAATCCAGACAGAAGCATTCTCAGAAACTGCTCTGTGATGTCTGCATTGAAGTCACGGAGTTGAACATTGCCTTTCATAGAGCAGGTTTGAAACGCTCTTTTTGTAGTATATGGAAGTGGACGTTTCGGACGGTTTGAGGCCCATGGTGATAAAGGGAATATCTTCCCCTATAAGCTAGAAAGAAGCATTCTGTGAAACTTGTTTGTGATGTTTGTACTCAACTAACAGAGTTGAACCTTTCTTTTTACAGAGCAGTTTTGAAACACTCTTTTTGTAGAATCTGCGAGGGGATATTTGGATACATTTCAGGATTTCGTTGGAAATGGGAATATCTTCATAGAAAATCTCGACAAAAGCATTCTCAGAAACTTCTTTGTGATATGTGCTTTCAAGTCACAGAGTTGAATATTCCCTTTCACAGAGTAGGTTTGAAACAGTCTTTTTGTAGTATCTGGAAGTGGACATTTGGAGCGCCTTGACGCCTACGGTGAAAAGGGAAATATCTTCCCATAAAAACTAGACAGAAGCAATCTCAGAATCTTCTTTGGGTTATATGCACGCAGCTAACAGAGTTGAACCTTTCTATGGACAGAGGAGTTTTGAAACAGTCTTTCTGTGGAATCTGCAAGTGGATATTTGGATAGCTTGGAGGATTTCGTTGGAAACGGGATTACGTATAAAAAGTAGACAGCAGCATCCTCAGAAACTTCTTTGTGATGTGTGCATTCAAGTCACAGAGTTGAACATTCCCTTTCGTACAGCAGTTTTGAAACAGTCTTTCTGTAGTAACTGGAAGTGAACATTAGGACAGCTTTCAGCTCTATGGTGAGAAAGGAAATATCTTCAAATAAAAACTAGACAGAAGCATTCTCATAAACTTGTTTGTGATGTGTGAACTCAGCTAACAGAGGTTGATCTTTCTTTTGATAGAGCAGTTCTGAAAAACACTTTTTGTTGAATCTGCAAGTGGACATTTGGATAGATTTGAAGATTTCGTTGGAAACGGGAATATCTTCATATCAAGTCTAGACAGAAGCATTCTCAGAAACGTCTTTGTGATGTTTGCATTCAACTCATAGAGTTGAACATTCCGTTTCAGAGAGCAGATTTGAAGCACTCTTTTTGTAGTATGTGCAAGTGGATATTTGGAGCGCTCTGAGGCCTACGGTGAAAAAGCAAATATCTTCCCATAACCACTAGACAGAAACATTCTCAGAAACTCCTTTATGACGTATGCACTCACCTAACAGAGAAGAACCTTCCTTTTGACAGAGCAGTTTTCATACACTCTTTTTGTAGAATCTGCAAGTGGATATTTGGATAGCTGTGAAGATTTCGTTGGAAACGGGAATATCTTCCTATAAAATCTAGACAGAAGCATTCTCAGAAACTGCTCTGTGATGTCTGCATTCAAGTCACAGAGTTGAACATTGCCTTTCATAGAGCAGGTTTCAAACACTCTTTTTTTAGTATATGGAAGTGGACGATTCGGACGGTTTGAGGACCATGGTGATAAAGGAAATATCTTCCCCTACAAGATAGAAAGAAGCATTCTGTGAAACTTGTTTGTGATGTGTGTACTCAACTAACAGAGTTGAACCTTTCTTTTTACAGAGCAGTTTTGAAACACTCTTTTTGTAGAATCTGCGAGGGGATATTTGGATACATTTCAGCATTTCGTTGGAAACGGGAATGTCTTCATATAAAATATCGACAGAAGCATTCTCAGAAACTTCTTTGTGATATCTGCATTCAAGTCACAGAGTTGAATATTCCCTTTCACAGAGTAGGTTTGAAACACTCATTTTGTAGTATCTGGAAGTGGACATTTTGAGCGCCTTGACACCTACGGTAAAAAGGGAAATATCTTCCCATAAAAACTAGACAGAAGCAATCTCAGAATCTTCTTTGGGATATATGCACGCAGCTAACAGAGTTGAACCTTTCTATTGACAGAGCAGTTTTGAAACAGTCTTTCTGTGGAATCTGCAAGTGGATATTTGGATAGCTTGGAGGATTTCGTTGGAAACGGGATTAGGTATAAAAAGTAGACAGCCGCATCCTCAGAAACTTCTTTGTGATGTGTGCATTCAAGTCACAGTGTTGAACATTCCCTTTCGTACAGCAGTTTTGAAACACTCTTTCTGTAGTATCTGGAAGTGAACATTAGGACAGCTTTCAGGTCGATGGTGAGAAAGGAAATATCTTCAAATAAAAACTAAACAGAAGCATTCTCATAAACTTGTTTGTGATGTCTGAACTCAGCTAACAGAGGTGGATCTTTCTTTTGATAGAGCAGTTCTGAAAAACACTTTCTGTTGAATCTGCAAGTGGACATTTGGATAGATTTGAAGATTTCGTTGGAAACGGGAAGATCTTCATATCAAATACTAGACAGAAGCATTCTCAGAAACGTCTTTGTGATGTTTGCATTCAACTCCTAGAGTTGAACATTCCGTTTCAGAGAGCAGCTTTGAAGCACTCTTTTTGTAGTATGTGCAACTGGATATTTGGAGCGCTCTGAGGCCTACGGTGAAAAAGCAAATATCTTCCCATAACCACTAGACAGAAACATTTTCAGAAACTCCTTTATGACGTATGCACTCACCTAACAGAGAAGAACCTTCCTTTTGACAGAGCAGTTTTGATACACTCTTTTTGTAGTATCTGCAGGTGGATATTTGGATAGCTGTGAAGATTTCGTTGGAAACCGGAATATCTTCCTATAAAATCTAGACAGAAGCATTCTCAGAAACTGCTGTGTGATGTCTGCATTCAAGTCACAGAGTTGAACATTGCCTTTCACAGAGCAGGTTTGAAATGCTCTTTTTGTAGTATATGGAAGTGGACGTTTCAGACGGTTTGAGGCCCATGGTGAAAAAGGGAATATCTTCCCCTACAAGCTAGAAAGAAGCATTCTGTGAAACTTGTTTGTGATGTGTGTACTCAAGTAACAGAGTTCAACCTTTCTTTTTACAGAGCAGTTTTGAAACACTCTTTTTGTAGAATCTGTGAGGGGATATTTGGATAGATTTCAGGATTTCGTTGGAAACGAGAATATCTTCATATAAAATCTCGACAGAAGCATTCTCAGAAGCTTCTTTGTGATATGTGCATTCAAGTCACAGAGTTGAATATTCCCTTTCACAGAGTAGGTTTGAAACACTCTTTTTGTAGTATCTGGAAGTGGACATTTTGAGCACCTTGACGCCTACGGTGAAAAGGGAAATATCTTCTCATAAAAAGTAGACAGAAGCAATCTCAGAATCTTCTTTGGGATATATGCATGCAGCTAACAGAGTTGAACCTTTCTATTGACAGCAGTTTTGAAACAGTCTTTCTGTGGAATCTGCAAGTGGATATTTGGATAGCTTGGAGGATTTCGTTGGAAACGGGATTACGTATAAAAAGTAGACAGCAGCATCCTCAGAAACTTCTTTGTGATGTGTGCATTCAAGTCACAGAGTTGAATATTCCCTTTCGTACAGCAGTTTTGAAACACTCTTTCTGTAGCATCTGGAAGTGAACATTAGGACAGCTTTCAGGTCTATGGTGAGAAAGGAAATATCTTCAAATAAAAACTATACCGAAGCATTCTCATAAACTTGTTTGTGATGTGTGAACTCAGCTAACAGAGGTGGATCTTTCTTTTGATAGAGCAGTTCGGAAAAACACTTTTTGTTGAATCTGCAAGTGGACATTTGGATAGATTTGAAGATTTCGTTGGAAACGGGAATATCTTTATATCAAATCTAGACAGAAGCATTCTCAGAAACGTCTTTGTGATGTTTGCATTCAACTCATAGAGTTGAACATTCCGTTTCAGAGAGCAGCTTTGAGGCACTCTTTTTGTAGTATGTGCAAGGGGATATTTGGAGTGCTCTGAGGCCTCAGGTGAAAAAGCAAATATCTTCCCATAACCACTAGACAGAAACTTTCTCAGAAACTCCTTTATGACGTATGCACTCACCTAACAGAGAAGAACCTTCCTTTTGACAGAGCAGTTTTGATACACTCTTTTTGTAGAATCTGCAAGTGGATATTTGGATACCTGTGAAGATTTCGTTGGAAACGGGAATATCTTCCTATAAAATCTAGACAGAAGCATTCTCAGAAACTGCTCTGTGATGTCTGCATTCAAGTCACAGAGTTGAACATTGCCTTTCATAGAGCAGGTTTGAAACGCTCTTTTTGTAGTATATGGAAGTAGACGTTTCGTACGGTTTGAGGCCCATGGTGATAAAGGGAATATCTTCCCCTACAAGCTAGAAAGAAGCATTCTGTGAAACTTGTTTCTGATGTGTGTACTCAACTAACAGAGTTGAACCTTTCTTTTTACAGAGCAGTTTTGAAACACTCTTTTTGTAGAATCTGCGAGGGGATATTTGGATAGATTTCAGGATTTCGTTGGAAACGGGAGTATCTTCATATAAAATCTCGACAGAAGCGTTCTGAGAAACTTCTTGGTGATGTTTGCATTCAAGTCACAGAATTGAACATTCCCTTTAATAGAACAGGTTTGAAACACTCTTTTTGTAGTATCTGGAAGTGGACATTTGGAGCGCCTTGACGCCTACGGTGAAAAGGGAAATATCTTCCCATCAAAACTAGACAGAAGCAATCTCAGAATCTTCTTTGGGATATATGCATGCAGCTAACAGAGTTGAACCTTTCTATTGACAGAGCAGTTTTGAAACAGTCTTTCTGTGGAATCTGCAAGTGGATATTTGGATAGCTTGGAGGATTTCGTTGGAAACGGGATTAAGTATAAAAAGTAGACAGCAGCATCCTCAGAAACTTCTTTGTGATGTGTGCATTCAAGTCACAGAGTTGAACATTCCCTTTCGTACAGCAGTTTTGAAACACTCTTTCTGTAGTATCTGGAAGTGAACATTAGGACAGCTTTCAGGTCTATGGTGAGAAAGGAAATATTTTCAAATAAAAACTAGACAGAAGCATTCTCATAAACTTGTTTGTGATGTGTGAACTCAGCTAACAGAGGTGGATCTTTCTTTTGATAGAGCAGTTCTGAAAAACACTTTTTGTAGAATCTGCAAGTGGACATTTGGATAGATTTGAAGATTTCGTTGGAAACGGGAATATCTTCATATCAAATCTAGACAGAAGCATTCTCAGAAACGTCTTTGTGATGTTTGCATTCAACTCATAGAGTTGAACTTTCCGTTTCAGAGAGCAGCTTTGAAGCACTCTTTTTGTAGTATGTGCAAGTGGACATTTGGAGCGCCCTGAGGCCTACGGGGAAAAAGCAAATATCTTCCCATAACCACTAGACAGAAACATTCTCAGAAACTCCTTTACGACGTATGCACTCACCCTAACAGAGAAGAACCTTCCTTTTGACAGAGCAGTTTTGATACACTCTTTTTGTAGAATCTGCAAGTGGATATTTGGATAGCTGTGAAGATTTCGTTGGAAACGGGAATATCTTCCTATAAAATCTAGACAGAAGCATTCTCAGAAACTGCTCTGTGATGTCTGCTTTCAAGTCACAGAGTTGAACATTGCCTTTCATAGAGCAGGTTTGAAACGCTCTTTTTGTAGTATATGGAAGTGGATGTTTCGGACGGTTGGAGGCCCATGGTGATAAAGGGAATATCTTCCCCTACAAGCTAGAAAGAAGCATTCTGTGAAACTTGTTTGTGATGTCTGTACTCAACTAACAGAGTTGAACCTTTCTTTTTACAGAGCAGTTTTGAAACACTCTTTTTGTAGAATCTGCGAGGGGATATTTGGATACATTTCAGGATTTCGTTGGAAACGGGAATATCTTCATATAAAATCTCGACAGAAGCATTCTCAGAAACTTCTTGTGATATCTGCATTCAAGTCACAGAGTTGAATATTCCCTTTCACAGAGTAGGTTTGAAACACTCTTTTTGTAGTATCTGGAAGTGGACATTTGGAGCGCCTTGACCCCTACGGTGAAAAGGGAAATATCTTCCCATAAAAACTAGACAGAAGCAATCTCAGAATCTTCTTTGGGATATATGCACGCAGCTAACAGAGTTGAACCTTTCTATTGACAGATCAGTTTTGAAACAGTCTTTCTGTGGAATCTGCAAGTGGATATTTGGATAGCTTGGAGGATTTCGTTGGAAACGGGATTACGTATAAAAAGTAGACAGCAGCATCCTCAGAAACTTCTTTGTGATGTGTGCATTCAAGTCACAGAGTTGAACATTCCCTTTCGTACAGCAGTTTTGAAACACTCTTTCTGCAGTATCTGGAAGTGAACATTAGGACAGCTTTCAGGTCTATGGTGAGAAAGGAAATATCTTCAAATAAAAACTAGACAGAAGCATTCTCATAAACTTGTTTGTGATGTGTGAACTCAGCTAACAGAGGTGGATCTTTCTTTTGATAGAGCAGTTCTGAAAAACACTTTTTGTTGAATCTGCAAGTGGACATTTGGACAGATTTGAAGATTTCGTTGGAAACGGGAATACCTTCATATCAAATCTAGACAGAAGCATTCTCAGAAACGTCTTTGCGATGTTTGCATTCAACTCATAGAGTTGAACATTCCCTTTCAGAGAGCAGCTGTGAGGCACTCTTTTTGTAGTATGTGCAAGTGGATATTTGGAGCGCTCTGAGGCCTACGGTGAAAAAGCAAATATCTTCCCATAACCACTAGACAGAAACATTCTCAGAAACTCCTTTATGACTTATGCACTCACCTAACAGAGAAGAACCTTCCTTTTGACAGAGCAGTTTTGATACACTCTTTTTGTAGAATCTGCAAGTGGATATTGGGGTAGCTGTGAAGATTTCGTTGGAAACGGGAATATCTTCCTATAAAATCTAGACAGAAGCATTCTCAGAAACTGCTCTGTGATGTCTGCATTCAAGTCACAGTGTTGAACATTGCCTTTCCTAGAGCAGTTTAGAAACGCTCTTTTTGTAGTATATGGAAGTGGACGTTTCGGACGGTTTGAGGACCATGGTGATAAAGGGAATATCTTCCCCTACAAGCTAGAAAGAAGCATTCTGTGAAACTTGTTTGTGATGTGTGTACTCAACTAACAGAGTTGAACCTTTCTTTTTACAGAGCAGTTTTGAAACACGCTTTTTGTAGAATCTGCGAGGGGATATTTGGATAGATTTCAGGATTTCGTTGGGAACGGGAATATCTTCATATAAAATCTCGACAGAAGCATTCTCAGAAACTTCTTTGTGATATCTGCATTCAAGTCACAGAGTTGAATATTCCCTTTCACAGAGTAGGTTTGAAACACTCTTTTTGTAGTATCTGGAAGTGGACATTTGGAGCGCCTTAACGCCTACGGTGAAAAGGGAAATATCTTCCCATAAAAACTAGACAGAAGCAATCTCAGAATCTTCTTTGGGATATATGCACGCAGCTAACAGAGTTGAACCTTTCTATTGACAGAGCAGTTTTGAAACAGTCTTTCCGTGGAATCTGCAAGTGGATATTTGGATAGCTTGGAAGATTTCGTTGGAAACGGGATTACGTATCAAATGTAGACAGCAGCATCCTCAGAAACTTCCTTGTGATGTGTGCATTCAAGACACACAGTTGAACATTCCCTTTCGTACAGCAGTTTTGAAACACTCTTTCTGTAGTATCTGGAAGTGAACATTAGGACAGCTTTCAGGTCTATCGTGAGTAAGGAAATATCTTCAAATAAAAACTAGACAGAAGCATTCTCATAAACTTGTTTGTGATGTGTGAACTCAGCTAACAGAGGTGGATCTTTCTATTGATAGAGCAGTTCTGAAAAACACTTTTTGTTGAATCTGCAAGTGGACATTTGGATAGATTTGAAGATTTCGTTGGAAACGGGAATATCTTCATATCAAATCTAGACAGAAGCATTCTCAGAAACGTCTTTGTGATGTTTGCATTCAACTCATAGAGTTGAACATTCCGTTTCAGAGAGCAGCTTTGAAGCACTCTTTTTGTAGTATGTGCAAGTGGATATTTGGAGCGCTCTTAGGCCTACGGTGAAAAAGCAAATATCTTCCCATAACCACTAGACAGAAACATTCTCAGAAACTCCTTTATGACGTATGTACTCAACTAACAGAGAAGAACCTTCCTTTAGACAGAGCAGTTTTGATACACTCTTTTTGTAGAATCTGCAAGTGGATATTTGGATAGCTGTGAAGATTTCGTTGGAAACGGGAATATCTTCCTATAAAATCTAGACAGAAACATTCTCAGGAACTGCTCTGTGATGTCTGCATTCAAGTCACAGAGTTGAACATTGCCTTTCCTAGAGCAAATTTGAAACGCTCTTTTTGTAGTATATGGAAGTGGACGTTTCGGACGGTTTGAGACCCATGGTGATAAAGGGAATATCTTCCCCTACAAGCTAGAAAGAAGCATTCTGTGAAACTTGTTTGTGATGTGTGTACTCAACTAACAGAGTTGAACCTCTCTTTTTACAGAGCAGTTTTGAAACACTCTTTTTGTAGAATCTGCGAGGGGATATTTGGATAGATTTCAGGATTTCGTTGGAAACGGGAATATCTTTATATAAAATCTCGACAGAAGCATTCTCAGAAACTTCTTTGTGATATCTACATTCAAGTCACAGAGTTGAATATTCCCTTTCACAGAGTAGGTTTGAAACACTCTTTTTGTAGTATCTGGAAGTGGACATTTGGAGCGCCTTGACACCTACGGTGAAAAGGGAAATATCTTCCCATAAAAACTAGACAGAAGCAATCTCAGAATCTTCTTTGGGATATATCGCACGCAGCTAACAGAGTTGAACCTTTCTATTGACAGAGCAGTTTTGAAACAGTCTTTCTGTGGAATCTGCAAGTGGATATTTGGATAGCTTGGAGGATTTCTTTGGAAACGGGATTACGTATAAAAAGTAGACAGCAGCATCCTCAGAAACTTCTTTGTGATGTGTGCATTCAAGTCACAGAGTTGAACATTCCCTTTCGTACAGCAGTTTTGAAACACTCTTTCTGTAGTATCTGGAAGTGAACATTAGGACAGCTTTCAGGTCTATGGTGAGAAAGGAAATATCTTCAAATAAAAACTTGACAGAAGCATTTTCATAAACTTGTTTTTGATGTGTGAACTCAGCTAACAGAGGTGGATCTTTCTTTTGATAGAGCAGTTCTGAAAAACACTTTTTGTTGAATCTGCAAGTGGACATTTGGATAGATTTGAAGATTTCGTTGGAAACGGGAATATCTTCCTATCAAATCTAGACAGAAGCATTCTCAGAAACGTCTTTGTGATGTTTGCATTCAACTCATAGAGTTGAACATTCCCTTTCAGAGAGCAGCTTTGAAACACTCTTTTTGTAGTATGTGCAAGTGGATATTTGGAGCGCTCTGAGGCCTACGGTGAAAAAGCAAATATCTTCCCATAACCACTAGACAGAAACATTCTCAGAAACTCCTTTATGACGTATGCACTCACCTAACAGAGAAGAACCTTCCATTTGACAGAGCAGTTATGATACACTCTTTTTGTAGAATCTGCAAGTGGATATTTGGATAGCTGTGAAGATTTCGCTGGAAACGGGAATATCTTCCTATAAAATCTAGACAGAAGCATTCTCAGAAGCTGCTCTGTGATGTCTGCATTCAAGTCACAGAGTTGAACATTGCCTTTCATAGAGCAGGTTTGAAACGCTCTTTTTGTAGTATATGGAAGTGGACTTTTCGGACGGTTTGAGGCCCATGGTGATAAAGGGAATATCTTCCCCTACAAGCTAGAAAGAAGCATTCTGTGAAACTTGTTTGTGATGTGTGTACTCAACTAACAGAGTTGAACCTTTCTTTTCACAGAGCAGTTTTGAAACACTCTTTTTGTAGAATCTGCGAGGGGATATTTGGATAGATTTCAGGATTTCGTTGGAAACGGGTATATCTTCATATAAAATCTCGACAGAAGCATTCTCAGAAACTGCTCTGTGATATCTGCATTCAAGTCACAGAGTTGAATATTCCCTTTCACAGAGTAGGTTTGAAACACTCTTTTTGTAGTATCTGGAAGTGGACATTTGGAGCGCCTTGACGTCTACTGTGAAAAGGGAAATATCTTCCCATCAAATCTAGACAGAAGCAATCTCAGAATCTTCTTTGGGATATATGCACGCAGCTTACAGAGTTGAACCTTTCTATTGACAGAGCAGTTTTGAAACAGTCTTTTTGAGGAATCTGCAAGTGGATATTTGGATAGCTTGGAGGATTTCGTTGGAAACGGTATTATGTATAAAAAGTAGACAGCAGTATTCTCAGAAACTCCTTTGTGATGTGTGAATTCAAGTCACAGAGTTCAACATTCCCTTTCGCAGAGCAGGTTTGAACCACTCTTTCTCTAGTATCTGGAAGTGAACATTACGAGAGCTTTCAGGTCCATGGTGAGAAAGGAAATATCTTCAAATAAAAACTAGACAGAAGCATTCTCATAAACTTGTTTGTGATGTCTGAACTCAGCTAACAGAGGTGGATCTTTCTTTTGATACAGCAGTTCTGAAAAACACTTTTTGTTGAATCTGCAAGTGGACATTTGGATAGATTTGAAGATTTCGTTGGAAACGGGAATATCTTCATATCAAATCTAGACAGAAGCATTCTCAGAAACGTCTTTGCGATGTTTGCATTCAACTCATAGAGTTGAACATTCCGTTTCAGAGAGCAGTTTTGAGGCACTCTTTTTGTAGTATGTGCAAGTGGATATTTGGAGCGCTCTGAGGCCTACGGTGAAAAAGCAAATATCTTCCCATAACCACTAGACAGAAACATTCTCAGAAACTCCTTTATGACGTATGCACTCACCTAACAGAAAAGAACCTTCCTTTTGACAGAGCAGTTTTGATACACTCTTTTGGTAGAATCTGCAAGTGGATATTTGGATAGCTGTGAAGATTTCGTTGGAAACGGGAATATCTTCCTATAAAATCTAGACAGAAGCATTCTCAGAAACTGCTCTGTGATGTCTGCATTCAAGTCACAGAGTTGAACATTGCCTTTCATAGAGGAGGTTTGAAACGCTCTTTTTGTAGTATATGGAAGTGGACGTTTCGGACGGTTTGAGGCCCATGGTAATAAAGGGAATATCTTCCCCTACAAGCTAGAAAGAAGCATTCTGTGAAACTTGTTTGTGATGTGTGTACTCAACTAACAGAGTTGAACCTTTCTTTTTACAGAGCAGTTTTGAAACACTCTTTTTGTAGAATCTGCGAGGGCATATTTGGATAGATTTCAGGATTTCGTTGGAAACGGGAATATCTTCATATAAAATCTCGACAGAAGCATTCTCAGAAACTTCTTTGTGATATGTGCATTCAAGTCACAGAGTTGAATATTCCCTTTCACAGAGTAGGTTTGAAACACTCTTTTTGTAGTATCTGGAAGTGGACATTTGGAGCGCCTTCACACCTACGGTGAAAAGGGAAATATCTTCCCATAAAAACTAGACAGAAGCAATCTCAGAATCTTCTTTGGGATATATGCACGCAGCTAACGGAGTTGAACCTTTCTATTGACAGAGGAGTTTTGAAACAGTCTTTCTGTGGAATCTGCAAGTGGATATTTGGATAGCTTGGAGGATTTCGTTGGAAACGGGATTACGTATAAAAAGTAGACAGCAGCATCCTCAGAAACTTTTTTGTGATGTGTGCATTCAAGTCACAGAGTTGAACATTCCCTTTTGTACAGCAGTTTTGAAACACTCTTTCTGTAGTATCTGGAAGTGAACATTAGGACAGCTTTCAGGTCTATGGTGAGAAAGGAAATATCTTCAAATAAAAACTAGACAGAAGCATTCTCATAAACTTGTTTGTGATGTGTGAACTCAGCAAACAGCGGTGGATCTTTCTTTTGATAGAGCAGTTCTGAAAAACACTTTTTGTTGAATCTGCAAGTGGACATTTGGATAGTTTTGAAGATTTCCTTGGAAAAAGGAATATCTTCATATCAAATCTAGACAGAAGCATTCTCAGAAACGTCTTTGCGATGTTTGCATTCAACTCATAGAGTTGCACATTCCGTTTCAGAGAGCAGCTTTGAGACACTCTTTTTGTAGTATGTGCAAGTGGATATTTGGAGCGCTCTGAGGCCTACGGTGAAAAAGCAAATATCTTCCCATAACCACTAGACAGAAACATTCTCAGAAACTCCTTTACGACGTATGCACTCACCTAACAGAGAAGAACCTTCCTTTTGACAGAGCAGTTTTGATACACTCTTTTTGTAGAATCTGCAAGTGGATATTTGGATAGCTGTGAAGATTTTGTTGGAAACGGGAATATCTTCCTATAAAATCTAGACAGAAGCATTCTCAGAAACTGCTCTGTGATGTCTGCATTCAAGTCACAGAGTTGAACATTGCCTTTCATAGAGCAGGTTTGAAATGCTCTTTTTGCTGTATATGGAAGTGGACGTTTCAGACGGTTTGAGGCCCATGGTGATAAAGGGAATATCTTCCCCTACAAGCTAGAAAGAAGCATTCTGTGAAACTTGTTTGTGATGTGTGCACTCAACTAACAGAGTTGAACCTTTCTTTTTACAGAGCAGTTTTGAAACACTCTTTTTGTAGAATCTGCGAGGGGATATTTGGATAGATTTCAGGATTTCGTTGGAAACGGGAATATCTTCATATAAAATCTCGACAGAAGCATTCTCAGAAACTTCTTTGTGATATCTGCATTCAAGTCACAGAGTTGAATATTCCCTTTCACAGAGTAGGTTTGAAACACTCTTTTTGTAATATCTGGAAGTGGACATTAGGAGCGCCTTGACGCCTACGGTGAAAAGGGAAATATCTTCCCATAAAAATTAGACAGAAGCAATCTCAGAATCTTCTTTGGGATATATGCACGCAGCTTACAGAGTTGAACCTTTCTATTGACAGAGCAGTTTTGAAACAGTCTTTCTGTGGAATCTGCAAGTGGATATTTGGATAGCTTGGAGGATTTCGTTGGAAACGGGATTACGTATAAAAAGTAGACAGCCGCATCCTCAGAAACTTCTCTGTGATGTGTGCATTCAAGTCACAGAATTGAACATTCCCTTTCGTACAGCAGTTTTGAAACACTTTTTCTGTAGCATCTGGAAGAGAACATTAGGACAGCTTTCAGGTCTATGGTGAGAAAGGAAATATCTTCAAATAAAAACTAGACAGAAACATTCTCATAAACTTGTTTGTCATGTGTGAACTCAGCTAACAGACGTGGATCTTTCTTTTGATACAGCAGTTTTGAAAAACACTTTTTGTTGAATCTGCAAGTGGACATTTGGATAGATTTGAAGATTTCGTTGGAAACGGGAATATCTTCATATCAAATCTAGACAGAAGCATTCTCAGAAACGTCTTTGTGATGTTTGCATTCAACTCATAGATTTGAACATTCCGTTTCAGAGAGCAGCTTTGAAGCACTCTTTTTGTAGTATGTGCAAGGGGATATTTGGAGCGCTCTGAGGCCTACGGTGAAAAAGCAAATATCTTCCCATAACCACTAGACAGAAACATTCTCAGAAACTCCTTTATGACGTATGCACTCACCTAACAGAGAAGAACCTTCCTTTTGACAGAGCAGTTTTGATACACTCTTTTTGTAGAATCTGCAAGTGGATATTTGGATAGCTGTGAAGATTTCTTTGGAAACGGGAATATCTTCCTATAAAGTATAGACAGAAGCATTCTCAGAAACTGCTCTGTGATGTCTGCATTCAAGTCACAGAGTTGAACATTGCCTTTCCTAGAGCAGGTTTGAAACGCTCTTTTTGTAGTATATGGAAGTGGACGTTTCAGACGGTTTGAGGCCCATGGTGATAAAGGGAATATCTTCCCCTACAAGCTAGAAAGAAGCATTCTGTGAAACTTGTTTGTGATGTGTGTACTCAACTAACAGAGTTGAACCTTTCTTTTCACAGAGCAGTTTTGAAACACTCTTTTTGTAGAATCTGTGAGGGGATATTTGGATAGATTTCAGGATTTCGTTGGAAACGGGAATATCTTCATACAAAATCTCGACAGAAGCATTCTCAGAAACTTCCTTCTGATATGTGCATTCAAGTCACAGAGTTGAATATTCCCTTTCACAGAGTA
Organism: Homo sapiens; assembly: GCF_000001405.40. NCBI lineage: Eukaryota > Metazoa > Chordata > Mammalia > Primates > Hominidae > Homo > Homo sapiens. The sequence continues at coordinate 16,966,169 of NC_000013.11, forward strand.
GGTTTGAAACACTCTTTTTGTAGTATCTGGAAGTGGTCATTTGGAGCGCCTTGACGCCCACGGTGAAAAGGGAAATATCTTCCCATAAAAACTAGACAGAAGCAATCTCAGAATCTTCTTTGGGATATATGCACGCAGCTAACAGAGTTGAACCTTTCTATTGACAGAGCAGTTTTGAAACAGTCTTTCTGTGGAATCTGCAAGTGGATATTTGGATAGATTGCAGGATTTCGTTGGAAACGGGATTACGTATAAAAAGTAGACAGCAGCATCCTCAGAAACTTCTTTGTGATGTGTGCATTCAAGTCACAGAGTTGAACATTCCCTTTCGTACAGCAGTTTTGAAACACTCTTTCTGTAGCATCTGGAAGTGAACATTAGGACAGCTTTCAGGTCTATGGTGAGAAAGGAAATATCTTCAAATAAAAACTAGACACAAGCATTCTCATCAACTTGTTTGTGATGTGTGAACTCAGCTAACAGAGGTGGATCTTTCTTTTGATAGAGCAGTTCTGAAAAACACTTTTTGTTGAATCTGCAAGTGGACATTTGGATAGATTTGAAGATTTCGTTGGAAACGGGAATATCTTCATATCAAGTCTAGACAGAAGCATTCTCAGAAACGTCTTTGTGATGTTTGCATTCAACTCATAGAGTTGAACATTCCGTTTCAGAGAGCAGCTTTGAAGCACTCTTTTTGTAGTATGTGCAAGTGGATATTTGGAGCGCTGTGAGGCCTACGGTGAAAAAGCAAATATCTTCCCATAGCCACTAGACAGATAAACATTCTCAGAAACTCCTTTATGACGTATGCACTCACCTAACAGAGAAGAACCTTCCTTTTGACAGAGCAGTTTTGATACACTCTTTTTGTAGAATCTGCAAGTGGATATTTGGATAGCTGTGAAGATTTCGTTGGAAACGGGAATATCTTCCTATAAAATCTAGACAGAAGCATTCTCAGAAACTACTCTGTGATGTCTGCATTCAAGTCACAGAGTTGAACATTGCCTTTCATAGAGCAGGTTTGAAACGCTCTTTTTGTAGTATATGGAAGTGAACGTTTCGGACGGTTTGAGGCCCATGGTGATAAAGGGAATATCTTCCCCTACAAGCTAGAAAGAAGCATTCTGTGAAACTTGTTTGTGATGTGTGTACTCAACTAACAGAGTTGAACCTTTCTTTTTACAGAGCAGTTTTGAAACACTCTTTTTGTAGAATATGCGAGGGGATATTTGGATAGATTTCAGGATTTCTTTGGAAACGGGAATATCTTCATATAAAATCTCGACAGAAGCATTCTCAGAAACTTCTTTGTGATATCTGCATTCAAGTCACAGAGTTGAATATTCCCTTTCACAGAGTAGGTTTGAAACACTCTTTTTGTAGTATCTGGAAGTGGACATTTGGAGCGCCTTGACGCCTATGGTGAAAAGGGAAATATCTTCTCATAAAAAGTAGACACAAGCAATCTCAGAATCTTCTTTGGGATATATGCACGCTGCTAACAGAGTTGAACCTTTCTATTGACAGAGCAGTTTTGAAACAGTCTTTCTGTGGAATCTGCAAGTGGATATTTGGATAGCTTGGAGGATTTCGTTGGAAACGGGATTACGTATAAAAAGTAGACAGCAGCATCCTCCGAAACTTCTTTGTGATGTGTGCATTCAAGTCACAGTAGTTGAACATTCCCTTTCGTACAGCAGTTTTGAAACACTCTTTCTGTAGTATCTGGAAGTGAACATTAGGACAGCTTTCAGCTCTATGGTGAGAAAGGAAATATCTTCAAATAAAAACTAGACAGAAGCATTCTCATAAACTTGTTTGTGATGTGTGAACTCAGCTAACAGAGGTGGATCTTTCGATAGAGCAGTTCTGAAAAACACTTTTTGTTGAATCTGCAAGTGGACATTTGGAAAGATTTGAAGATTTCGTTGGAAACGGGAATATGTTCATATCAAATCTAGACAGAAGCATTCTCAGAGACGTCTTTGTGATGTTTGCATTCAACTCATAGAGTTGAACATTCCCTTTCAGAGAGCAGCTTTGAAGCACTCTTTTTGTAGCATGTGCAAGTGGACATTTGGAGCACCCTGAGGCCTACGGTGAAAAAGCAAATATCTTCCCATAACCACTAGACAGAAACATTCTCAGAAACTCCTTTATGACGTATGCCCTCACCTAACAGAAAAGAACCTTCCTTTTGACAGAGCAGTTTTGATACACTCTTTTTGTAGAATCTGCAAGTGGATATTTGGATAGCTGTGAAGATTTCGTTGGAAACGGGAATATCTTCCTATAAAATCTAGACAGAAACATTCTCAGAAACTGCTCTGTGATGTCTGCATTCAAGTCACAGAGTTGAACATTGCCTTTCATAGAGCAGGTTTGAAACGCTCTTTTTGTAGTATATGGAAGTGGACGTTTCGGACGGTTTGAGGCCCATGGTGATGAAGGGAATATCTTCCCCTACAAGCTAGAAAGAAGCATTCTGTGAAACTTGTTTGTGATGTGTGTACTCAACTAAGAGAGTTGAACCTTTCTTTTCACAGAGCAGTTTTGAAACACTCTTTTTGTAGAATCTGCGAGGGGATATTTGGATACATTTCAGGATTTCGTTGGAAACGGGAATATCTTCATACAAAATCTCGACAGAAGCATTCTCAGAAGCTTCTTTGTGATATGTGCATTTAAGTCACAGAGTTGAATATTCCCTTTCACAGAGTAGGTTTGAAACACTCTTTTTGTAGTATCTGGAAGTGGACATTTGGAGCGCCTTGACGCCTACGGTGAAAAGGGAAATATCTTCTCATAAAAAGTAGACACAAGCAATCTCAGAATCTTCTTTGGGATATATGCACGCAGCTAACAGAGTTGAACCTTTCTATTGACAGAGCAGTTTTGAAACAGTCTTTCTGTGGAAGCTGCAAGTGGATATTTGGATAGGTTGGAGGATTTCGTTGGAAACGGGATTACATATAAAAAGTAGACAGCAGCATCCTCAGAAACTTCTTTGTGATGTGTGCATTCAAGTCACAGAGTTGAACATTCCCTTTCGTACAGCAGTTTTGAAACACTCTTTCTGTAGTATCTGGAAGTGAACATTAGGACAGCTTTCAGCTCTATGGTGAGAAAGGAAATATCTTCAAATAAAAACTAGACAGAAGCATTCTCATAAACTTGTTTCTGATGTGTGAACTCAGCTAACAGAGGTGGATCTTTCTTTTGATAGAGCAGTTCTGAAAAACACTTTTTGTTGAATCTGCAAGTGGACATTTGGATAGATTTGAAGATTTCTTTGTAAACGGGAATATCTTCATATCAAATCTAGACAGAAGCATTCTCAGAAACGTCTTTGTGATGTTGGCATTCAACTCATAGAGTTGAACATTCACTTTCAGAGAGCAGCTTTGAAGCACTCTTTTTGTAGTATGTGCAAGTGGATATTTGGAGCGCTCTGAGGCCTACGGTGAAAAAGCAAATATCTTCCCATAACCACTAGACAGAAACATTCTCAGAAACTCCTTTGTGACGTATGTACTCAACTAACAGAGAAGAACTTTCCTTTTGACAGAGCATTTTTGATACACTCTTTTTGTACTATCTGCAAGTGGATATTTGGATAGCTGTGAAGATTTCGTTGGAAACGGGAATATCTTCCCATAAAACCTAGACAGAAGCATTCTCAGAAACTGCTCTGTGATGTCTGCATTCAAGTCACAGAGTTGAACATTGCCTTTCATAGAGCAGGTTTGAAACGCTCTTTTTTGTAGTATATGGAAGTGGACTTTTCGGACGGTTTGAGGCCCATGGTGATAAAGGGAATATCTTCCCCTACAAGCTAGAAAGAAGCATTGTGTGAAACTTGTTTGTGATGTGTGTACTCAACTAACAGAGTTGAACCTTTCTTTTTACAGAGCAGTTTTGAAACACTCTTTTTGTAGAATCTGCGAGGGGATATTTGGATAGATTCCAGCATTTCGTTGGAAACGGGAATATCTTCATATAAAATCTCGACAGAAGCATTCTCAGAAACTTCTTTGTGATAACTGCATTCAAGTCACAGAGTTGAATATTCCCTTTCACCGAGTAGGTTTGAAACACTCTTTTTGTAGTATCTGGAAGTGGACATTTGGAGCGCCATGACGCCTACGGTGAAAAGGGAAATATCTTCCCATAAAAACTAGACAGAAGCAATCTCAGAATCCTCTTTGGGATATATGCACGCAGCTAACGGAGTTGAACCTTTCTATTGACAGAGCAGTTTTGAAACAGTCTTTCTGTGGAATCTGCAAGTGGATATTTGGATAGCTTGGAGGATTTCGTTGGAAACGGGATTACGTATAAAAAGTAGACAGCAGCCTCCTCAGAAACTTTCCTTGTGATGTGTGCATTCAAGTCACAGGGTTGAACATTCCCTTTCGTACAGCAGTTTTGAAACACTCTTTCTGTAGTATCTGGAAGTGAACATTAGGACAGCTTTCAGGTCTATGGTGAGAAAGGAAATATCTTCAAATAAAAACTAGACAGAAGCATTCTGATAAACTTGTTTGTGAAGTGTGATCTCAGCTAACAGAGGTGGATCTTTCTATTGATAGAGCAGTTCTGAAAAACACTTTGTTGAATCTGCAAGTGGACATTTGGATAGATTTGAAGATTTCGTTGGAAACGGGAATATCTTCATATCAAATCTAGACAGAAGCATTCTCAGAAACGTCTTTGCAATGTTTGCATTCAACTCATAGAGTTGAACATTCCGTTTCAGAGAGCAGCTTTGAGGCACTCTTTTTGTAGTATGTGCAAGTGGATATTTGGAGCGCTCAGAGGCCTACGGTGAAAAAGCAAATATCTTCCCATAACCACTAACAGAAACATTCTCAGAAACTCCTTTATGAGGTATGCACTCACCTAACAGAGAAGAACCTTCCTTTTGACAGAGCAGTTTTGATACACTCTTTTTGTAGAATCTGCAAGTGGATATTTGGATAGCTGTGAAGATTTCGTTGGAAACGGGAATATCTTCCTATAAAATCTAGACAGAAGCATTCTCAGAAACTGCTCTGTGTTGTCTGCATTCAAGTCACAGAGTTGAACATTGCCTTTCATAGAGCAGGTTTGAAACGCTCTTTTTGTAGTATATGGAAGTGGACTTATCGGACGGTTTGAGGCCCATGGTGATAAAGGGAATATCTTCCCCTACAAGCTAGAAAGAAGCATTCTGTGAAACTTGTTTGTGATGTGTGTACTCAACTAACAGAGTTGAACCTTTCTTTTTACAGAGCAGTTTTGAAACACTCTTTTTGTAGAATCTGCGAGGGGATATTTGGATACATTTCAGCATTTCGTTGGAAACGGGAATATCTTCATAAAAAATCTCGACAGAAGCATTCTCAGAAGCTTCTTTGTGATATGTGCATTCAAGTCACAGAGTTGAATATTCCCTTTCACAGAGTAGGTTTGAAACACTCTTTTTGTAGTATCTGGAAGTGGACATTTGGAGCGCCTTGACGCCTACGTTGAAAAGGGAAATACCTTCTCATAAAAAGTAGACAGAAGCAATCTCAGAATCTTCTTTGGGATATATGCACGCAGCTTACAGAGTTGAACCTTTCTATTGACAGAGCAGTTTTGAAACAGTCTTTCTGTGGAATCTGCAAGTGGATATTTGGATAGCTTGGAGGATTTCGTTGGAAACGGGATTACGTATAATAAGTAGACAGCAGCATCCTCAGAAACTTCTTTGTGATGTGTGCATTCAAGTCACAGAGTTGAACATTCCCTTTCGTACAGCAGTTTTGAAACACTCTTTCTGTAGTATCTGGAAGTGAACATTAGGACAGCTTTCAGGTCTATGGAGAGAAAGGAAATATCTTCAAATAAAAACTAGACAGAAGCATTCTCATAAACTTGTTTGTGATGTGTGAACTCAGCTAACAGAGGTGGATCTTTCTTTTGATAGAGCAGTTCTGAAAAACACTTTTTGTTGAATCTGCAAGTGCACATTTGGATAGATTTGAAGATTTCGTTGGAAACGGGAATATCTTCATATCAAATCTAGACAGAAGCATTCTCAGAAACGTCTTTGTCACGTTTGCATTCAACTCATAGAGTTGAACATTCCCTTTCAGAGAGCAGCTTTGAAACACTCTTTTTGTAGTATGTGCAAGTGGATATTTGGAGCGCTCTGAGGCCTACGGTGAAAAAGCAAATATCTTCCCATAACCACTAGACAGAAACATTCTCAGAAACTCCTTTATGACGTATGCACTCACCTAACAGAGAAGAACCTTCCTTTTGACAGAGCAGTTTTGATATACTCTTTTTGTAGAATCTGCAAGTGGATATTTGGATAGCTGTGAAGATTTCGTTGGAAACGGGAATATCTTCCTATAAAATCTAGACAGAAGCATTCTCAGAAACTGCTCTGTGATGTCTGCATTCAAGTCACAGAGTTGAACATTGCCTTTCATAGAGCAGGTTTGAAACACTCTTTTTTTAGTATATGGAAGTGGACGTTTCGGACGGTTTGAGGCCCATGGTGATAAAGGAAATATCTTCCCCTACAAGTTAGAAAGAAGCATTCTGTGAAACTTGTTTGTGATGTGTGTACTCAACTAAGAGAGTTGAACCTTTCTTTTCACAGAGCAGTTTTGAAACACTCTTTTTGTAGAATCTGCGAGGGGATATTTGGATAGATTTCAGCATTTCTTTGGAAACGGGAATATCTTCATATAAAATCTCGACAGAAGCATTCTCAGAAACTTCTTTGTGATATGTGCATTCAAGTCACAGAGTTGAATATTCCCTTTCACAGAGTAGGTTTGAAACACTCTTTTTGTAGTTTCTGGAAGTGGACATTTGGAGCGCCTTGACACCTACGGTGAAAAGGGAAATATCTTCCCATAAAAACTAGACAGAAGCAATCTCAGAATCTTCTTTGGGATATATGCACGCAGCTAACAGAGTTGAATCTTTCTGTTGACAGAGCAGATTTGAAACAGTCTTTCTGTGGAATCTGCAAGTGGATATTTGGATAGCTTGGAGGATTTCGTTGGAAACGGGATTATGTATAAAAAGTAGACAGCAGCATCCTCAGAAACTTCTTTGTGATGTGTGCATTCAAGTCACAGAGTTGAACATTCCCTTTCGTACAGCAGTTTTGAAACACTGTTTCTGTAGTATCTGGAACTGAACATTAGGACAGCTTTAAGGTCTATGGTGAGAAAGGAAATATCTTCAAATAAAAACTAGACAGAAGCATTCTCATCAACTTGTTTGTGATGTGTGAACTCAGCTAACAAAGGTGGATCTTTCTTTTGATAGAGCAGTTCTGAAAAACACGATTTGTTGAATCTGCAAGTGGACATTTGGATAGATTTGAAGATTTCGTTGGAAACGGGAATATCTTCATATCAAATCTAGACAGAAGCATTCTCGGAAACGTCTTTGTCACGTTTGCATTCAACTCATAGAGTTGAACATTCCGTTTCAGAGAGCAGCTTTGAAGCACTCTTTTTGTAGTATGTGCAAGGGGATATTTGGAGCGCTGTGAGGCCTACGGTGAAAAAGCAAATATCTTCCCATAACCACTAGACAGAAACATTCTCAGAAACTCCTTTATGACGTATGCACTCACCTAACAGAGAAGAACCTTCCTTTTGACAGAGCAGTTTTGATACACTTTTTTTGTAGAATCTGCAAGTGGATATTTGGATAGCTGTGAAGATTTCGTTGGAAACGGGAATATCTTCCTATAAAATCTAGACAGAAGCATTCTCAGAAACTGCTCTGTGATGTCTGCATTCAAGTCACAGAGTTGAACATTGCCTTTCATAGAGCAGGTTTGAAACGCTCTTTTTGTAGTATATGGAAGTGGACGTTTCGGACGGTTTGAGACCCATGGTGATAAAGGGAATATATTCCCCTACAAGCTAGAAAGAAGCATTCTGTGAAACTTGTTTGTGATGTGTGTACTCAACTAACAGAGTTGAACCTTTCTTTTTACAGAGCAGTTTTGAAACACTCTTTTTGTAGAATCTGCGAGGGGATATTTGGATACATTTCAGGATTTCGTTGGAAACGGGAATACCTTCATATAAAATCTCGACAGAAGCATTCTCAGAAACTTCTTTGTGATATCTGCATTCAAGTCACAGAGTTGAATATTCCCTTTCACCGAGTAGGTTAGAAACACTCTTTTTGTAGTATCTGGAAGTGGACATTTGGAGCGCCTTGACGCCTACGGTGAAAAGGGAAATATCTTCCCATTAAAACTAGACAGAAGCAATCTCAGAATCTTCTTTGGGATATATGCACGCAGCTAACAGAGTTGAACCTTTCTATTGACAGAGCAGTTTTGAAACAGTCTTTCTGTGGAATCTGCAAGTGGATATTTGGATAGTTGGAGGATTTCGTTGGAAACGGGATTACGTATAAAAAGTAGACAGCAGCATCCTCAGAAACTTCTTTGTGATGTGTGCATTCAAGTCACAGAGTTGAACATTCCCTTTCGTACAGCAGTTTGGAAACACTCTTTCTGTAGTATCTGGAAGTGAACATTAGGACAGCTTTCAGGTCTATGGTGAGAAAGGAAATATCTTCAAATAAAAACTAGACAGAAGCATTCTCATAAACTTGTTCGTGATGTGTGAACTCAGCTAACACACGTGGATCTTTCTTTTGATAGAGCAGTTCTGAAAAACACTTTTTGTTGAATCTGCAAGAGGACAGTTGGATAGATTTGAAGATTTCGTTGGAAACGGGAATATCTTCATATCAAATCTAGACAGAAGCATCTCAGAAACGTCTTTGCGATGTTTGCATTCAACTCATAGAGTTGAACATTCCGTTTCAGAGAGCAGCTTTGAGGCACTCTTTTTGTAGTATGTGCAAGTGGATATTTGGAGCGCTCTGAGGCCTACGGTGAAAAAGCAAATATCTTCCCATAACCACTAGACAGAAACATTCTCAGAAACTCCTTTATGACGTATGCACTCACCTAACAGAAAAGAACCTTCCTTTTGACAGAGCAGTTTTGATACACTCTTTTTGTAGAATCTGCAAGTGGATATTTGGATAGCTGTGAAGATTTCGTTGGAAACGGGAATATCATCCTATAAAATCTAGACAGAAGCATTCTCAGAAACTGCTCTGTGATGTCTGCATTCAAGTCACAGAGTTGAACATTGCCTTTCACAGAGCAGCTTTGAAATGCTCTTTTTGTAGTATATGGAAGTGGACGTTTCAGACGGTTTGAGGCCCATGGTGATAAAGGGAATATCTTCCCCTACAAGCTAGAAAGAAGCATTATGTGAAACTTGTTTGTGATGTGTGTACTCAACTAACAGAGTTGAACCTTTCTTTTTACAGAGCAGTTTTGAAACACTCTTTTTGTAGAATCTGCGAGGGGATATTTGGATAGATTTCAGGATTTCGTTGGAAACGGGAATATCTTCATATAAAATCTCGACAGAAGCATTCTCAGAAACTTCCTTGTGATATGTGCATTCAAGTCACAGGAGTTGAATATTCCCTTTCACAGGAGTAGGTTTGAAACACTCTTTTTGTAGTATCTGGAAGTGGACATTTGGAGCGCCTTGACGCCTACGGTGAAAAGGGAAATATCTTCCCATAAAAACTAGACAGAAGCAATCTCAGAATCTTCTTTGGGATATATGCACGCAGCTAACAGAGTTGAACCTTTCTCTTGACAGAGCAGTTTTGAAACATTCTTTCTGTGGAATCTGCAAGTGGATATTTGGATAGCTTGGAGGATTTCGTTGGAAACGGGATTATGTATAAAAAGTAGACAGCAGCATCCTCAGAAACTTCTTTGTGAAGTGTGCATTCAAGTCACAGAGTTGAACATCCCGTTTCGTACAGCAGTTTTGAAACACTCTTTCTGTAGTATCTGGAAGAAAACATTAGGACAGCTTTCAGGTCTATGGTGAGAAAGGAAATATCTTCAAATAAAAACTAGACAGAAGCATTCTCATAAACTTGTTTGTGATGTGTGAACTCAGCTAACAGAGGTGGATCTTCCCTTTTGATAGAGCAGTTCTGAAAAACTCATTTTGTTGAATCTGCAAGTGGACATTTGGATAGATTTGAAGATTTCGTTGGAAACGGGAATATCTTCATATCAAATCTAGACAGAAGCATTCTCAGAAACGTCTTTGCGATGTTTGCATTCAACTCATAGAGTTGAACATTCCGTTTCAGAGAGCAGCTTTGAGGCACTCTTTTTGTAGTATGTGCAAGTGGATATTTAGAGCGCTCTGAGGCCTACGGTGAAAAAGCAAATATCTTCCCATAACCACTAGACAGAAACATTCTCAGAAACTCCTTTATGACGTATGCACTCACCTAACAGAGAATAACCTTCCTTTTGACAGAGCATTTTTGATACACTCTTTTTGTAGCATCTGCAAGTGGATATTTGGATAGCTGTGAAGATTTCGTTGGAAACGGGAATATCTTCCTATAAAATCTAGACAGAAGCATTCTCAGGAACTGCTCTGCGATGTCTGTATTCAAGTCACAGAGTTGAACATTGCCTTTCATAGAGCAGGTTTGAAACGCTCTTTTTGTAGTATATGGAAGTAGACGTTTCGGACGGTTTGAGGCCCATGGTGATAAAGGGAATATCTTCCCCTACAAGCTAGAAAGAAGCATTCTGTGAAACTTGTTTGTGATGTGTGTACTCAACTAACAGAGTTGAAGCTTTCTTTTTACAGAGCAGTTTTGAAACACTCTTTTTGTAGAATCTGCGAGGGGATATTTGGATAGATTTCAGGATTTCGTTGGAAACGGGAATATCTTCATATAAAATCTCGACAGAAGCATTCTCAGAAACTTCTTTGTGATATCTGCATTCAAGCCACAGAGTTGAATATTCCCTTTCACAGAGTAGGGTTGAAACACTCTTTTTGTAGTATCTGGAAGTGGACATTTGCAGCGCCTTGACACCTACGGTGAAAAGGGAAATATCTTCCCATAAAAACTAGACAGAAGCAATCTCAGAATCTTCTTTGGGATATATGTACGCAGCTAATAGAGTTGAACCTTTCTATTGACAGAGCAGTTTTGAAACAGTCTTTCTGTGGAATCTGCAAGTAGATATTTGGATAGCTTGGAGGATTTCGTTGGAAACGGGATTACGTATAAAAAGTAGACAGCAGCATCCTCAGAAACTTCTTTGTGATGTGTGCATTCAAGTCACAGAGTTGAACATTCCCTTTCGTACAGCAGTTTTGAAACACTCTTTCTGTAGTATCTGGAAGTGAACATTAGGACAGCCTTCAGGTCTATGGTGAGAAAGGAAATATCTTCAAATAAAAACTAGACAGAAGCATTCTGATAAACTTGTTTGTGAAGTGTGATCTCAGCTAACAGAGGTGGATCTTTCTTTTGATAGAGCAGTTCTGAAAAACACTTTGTTGAATCTGCAAGTGGACATTTGGATAGATTTGAAGATTTCGTTGGAAACGGGAATATCTTCATATCAAATACTAGACAGAAGCATTCTCAGAAACGTCTTTGTGATGTTTGCATTCAACTCATAGAGTTGAACATTCCCTTTCAGAGAGCAGCTTTGAAGCACTCTTTTTGTAGTATGTGCAAGTGGATATTTGGAGCGCTCTGAGGCCTACGGTGAAAAAGCAAATATCTTCCCATAACCACAAGACAGAAACATTCTCAGAAACTCCTTTATGACGTATGCACTCACCTAACAGAGAAGAGCCTTCCTTTTGACAGAGCAGTTTTGATACACTCTTTTTGTAGAATCTGCAAGTGGATATTTGGATAGCTGTGAAGATTTCGTTGGAAACGGGAATATCTTCCTATAAAATCTAGACAGAAGCATTCTCAGAAACTGCTCTGTGATGTCTGCATTCAAGTCACAGAGTTGAACATTGCCTTTCCTAGAGCAGGTTTGAAACGCTCTTTTTGTAGTATATGGAAGTGGACGTTTCCGACGGTTTGAGGCCCATGGTGATAAAGGGAATATCTTCCCCTACAAGCTAGAAAGAAGCATTCTGTGAAACTTGTTTGTGATGTGTGTACTCAACTAACAGAGTTGAACCTTGCTTTTCACAGAGCAGTTTTGAAACACTCTTTTTGTAGAATCTGCGAGCGGATATTTGGATAGATTTCAGGATTTCGTTGGAAACGGGAATATCTTCATATAAAATCTCGACAGAAGCATTCTCAGAAACTTCTTTGTGATATGTGCATTCAAGTCACAGAGTTGAATATTCCCTTTCACAGAGTAGGTTTGAAACACTCTTTTTGTAGTATCTGGAAGTGGATATTTGGAGCACCTTGACACCTACGGTGAAAAGGGAAATATCTTCCCATAAAAACTAGACAGAAGCAATCTCAGAATCTTCTTTGGGATATATGCACGCAGCTAACAGAGTTGAACCTTTCTATTGACAGAGCAGTTTAGAAACAGTCTTTCTGTGGAATCTGCAAGTGGATATTTGGATAGATTGGAGGATTTCGTTGGAAACGGGATTACGTATAAAAAGTAGACAGCAGCATCCTCAGAAACATCCTTGTGATGTGTGCATTCAAGTCACAGAGTTGAACATTCCCTTTCGTACAGCAGTTTTGAAACACTCTTTCTGTAGTATCTGGAAGTGAACTTTAGGACAGCTTTCAGGTCTATAGTGAGAAAGGATATATCTTCAAATAAAAACTAGACGGAAGCATTCTCATAAACTTGTTTGTGATGTGTGAACTCAGCTAACAGACGTGGATCTTTCTTTTGATACAGCAGTTTTGAAAAACACTTTTTGTTGAATCTGCAAGTGGACATTTGGATAGATTTGAAGATTTCGTTGGAAACGGGAATATCTTCATATCAAATCTAGACAGAAGCATTCTCAGAAACGTCTTTGTGATGTTTGCATTCAACTCATAGCGAGTTGAACATTCCCTTTCAGAGAGCAGCTTTGAAGCACTCTTTTTGTAGTATGTGCAAGTGGATATTTGGAGCGCTCTGAGGCCTACGGGGAAAAAGCAAATATCTTCTCCATAACCACTAGACAGGAACATTCTCAGAAATTCCTTTATGACGTATGCACTCACGTAACAGAGAAGAACCTTCCTTTTGACAGAGCAGTTTTGATACACTCTTTTTGTAGAATCTGCAAGTGGATATTTGGATACCTGTGAAGATTTCGTTGGAAACGGGAATATCTTCCTATAAAATCTAGACAGAAGCATTCTCAGAAACTGCTCTGTGATGTCTGCATTCAAGTCACAGAGTTGAACATTGCCTTTCATAGAGCAGGTTTGAAACACTCTTTTTGTAGTATATGGAAGTGGACGTTTCGGACGGTTTGAGGCCCATGGTGATTTGGGGAATATCTTCCCCTACAAGCTAGAAAGAAGCATTCTGTGAAACTTGTTTGTGATGTGTGTACTCAACTAACAGAGTTGAACCTTTCTTTTTACAGAGCAGTTTTGAAACACTCTTTCTGTAGAATCTGCGAGGGGATATTTGGATAGATTTCAGCATTTCGTTGGAAACGGGAATATCTTCATATAAAATCTCGACAGAAGCATTCTCAGAAACTTCTTTGTGATAACTGCATTCAAGTCACAGAGTTGAATATTCCCTTTCACCGAGTAGGTTTGAAACACTCTTTTTGTAGTATCTGGAAGTGGACATTTGGAGCGCCATGACGCCTACGGTGAAAAGGGAAATATCTTCCAATAAAAACTAGACAGAAGCAATTTCAGAATCTTCTTTGGGATATATGCACGCAGCTAACAGAGTTGAACCTTTCTATTGACAGAGCAGTTTTGAAACAGTCTTTCTGTGGAATCTGCAAGCGGATATTTGGATAGTTGGAGGATTTCGTTGGAAACGGGATTACGTATAAAAAGTAGACAGCAGCATCCTGAGAAACTTACTTTGTGATGTGTGCATTCAAGTCACAGAGTTGAACATTCCCTTTCGTACAGCAGTATTGAAACACTCTTTCTGTAGTATCTGGAAGTGAACATTAGGACAGCTTTCAGGTCTATGGTGAGAAAGGAAATATCTTCAAATAAAAAGTAGACAGAAGCATTCTCATAAACTTGTTTGTGATGTGTGAACTCAGCTAAGAGACGTGGATCTTTCTTTTGATAGAGCAGTTCTGAAAAACACTTTTTGTTGAATCTGCAAGTGGACATTTGGATAGATTTGAAGATTTCGTTGGAAACGGGAATATCTTCATATCAAATCTAGACAGAAGCATTCTCAGAAACGTCTTTGTGATGTTTGCATTCAACTCATAGAGTTGAACATTCCGTTTCAGAGAACAGCTTTGAAGCACTCTTTTTGTAGTATGTGCAAGTGGATATTTGGAGCGCTCTGAGGCCTACGGTGAAAAAGCAAATATCTTCCCATAACCACTAGACAGAACCATTCTCAGAAACTCCTTTATGACGTATGCACTCACCTAACAGAGAAGAACCTTCCTTTTGACAGAGCACTTTTGATACACTCTTTTTGTAGAATCTGCAAGTGGATATTTGGATAGCTGTGAAGATTTCGTTGGAAACGGGAATATCTTCCTATAAAATCTAGACAGAAGTATTCTCAGAAACTGCTCTGAGATGTCTGCATTCAAGTCACAGAGTTGAACATTGCCTTTCATAGAGCAGGTGTGAAACGCTCTTTTTGTAGTATATGGAAGTGGATGTTTCGGACGGTTGGAGGCCCATGGTGATAAAGGGAATATCTTCCCCTACAAGCTAGAAAGAAGCATTCTGTGAAACTTGTTTGTGATGTGTGTACTCAACTAACAGGGTTGAACCTTTCTTTTTACAGAGCAGTTTTGAAACACTCTTTTTGTAGAATCTGCGAGGGGATATTTGGATAGATTTCAGGATTTCTTTGGAAACGGGAATATCTTCATATAAAATCTCGACAGAAGCATTCTCAGAAACTTCTTTGTCATATGTGCATTCAAGTCACAGAGTTGAATATTCCCTTTCACAGAGTAGGTTTGAAACACTCTTTTTGTAGTATCTGGAAGTGGACATTTGGAGCGCCTTGACGCCTACGGTGAAAAGGGAAATATCTTCCCATAAAAACTAGACAGAAGCAATCTCGGAATCTTCTTTGGGATATATGCACGCAGCTAACAGAGTTGAACCTTTCTATTGACAGAGCAGTTTTGAAACAGTCTTTCTGTAGAATCTGCAAGTGGATATTTGGATAGCTTGGAGGATTTCGTTGGAAACGGGATTACGTATAAAAAGTAGACAGCAGCATCCTCAGAAACTTCTTTGTGATGTGTGCATTCAAGTCACAGAGTTGAACATTCCCTTTCGTACAGCAGTTTTGAAACACTCTTTCTGTAGTATCTGGAAGTGAACATTAGGACAGCTTTCAGCTCTATGGTGAGAAACGAAATATCTTCAAATAAAAACTAGACAGAAGCATTCTCATAAACTTGTTTGTGATGTGTGAACTCAGCTAACAGAGGTGGATCTTTCTTTTGATAGAGCAGTTCTGAAAACCACTTTTTGTTGAATCTGCAAGTGGACATTTGGATAGATTTGAAGATTTCGTTGGAAACGGGAATATCTTCATATCAAATCTAGACAGAAGCATTCTCAGAAACGTCTTTGCGATGTTTGCATTCAACTCATAGAGTTGAACATTCCGTTTCAGAGAGCAGCTTTGAGGCACTCTTTTTATAGTATGTGCAAGTGGATATTTGGAGCGCTCTGAGGCCTACGGTGAAAAAGCAAATATCTTCCCATAACCACTAGACAGAAAGCATTCTCAGAAACTGCTCTGTGATGTCTGCATTCAAGTCACAGAGTTGAACATTGCCTTTCATAGAGCAGGTTTGAAATGCTCTTTTTGTAGTATATGGAAGTGGACTTTTCGGACGGTTTGAGGCCCATGGTGATAAAGGGAATATCTTCCCCTACAAGCTAGAAAGAAGCATTCTGTGAAACTTGTTTGTGATGTGTGTACTCAACTAACAGAGTTGAACATTTCTTTTCACAGAGCAGTTTTGAAACACTCTTTTTGTAGAATCTGCGAGCGGATATTTGGATAGATTTCAGGATTTCGTTGGAAACGGGAATATCTTCCTATAAAATCTAGACAGAAGCATTCTCAGAAACTTCTTTGTGATATGTGCATTCAAGTCACAGATTTGAATGTTCCCTTTCACAGAGAAGGTTTGAAACACTCTTTTTCTAGTATCTGGAAGTGGACATTTGGAGCGCCTTGACGCCTACGGTGAAAAGGGAAATATCTTCCCATAAAAACTAGACAGAAGCAATCTCAGAATCTTCTTTGGGATATATGCACGCAGCTAACAGAGTTGAACCATTCTATTGACTGAGCAGATTTGAAACAGTCTTTCTGTGGAATCTGCAAGTGGATATTTGGATAGATTGGAGGATTTCGTTGGAAACGGGATTACGTATAAAAAGTAGACAGCAGCATCCTCAGAAACTTCTTTGTGATGTGTGCATTCAAGTCACAGAGTTGAATATTCCCTTTCGTACAGCAGTTTTGAAACACTCTTTCTGTAGTATCTGGAAGTGAACATTAGGACAGCTTTCAGGTCTATGGTGAGAAAGGAAATATCTTCAAATAAAAACTAGACAGAAAGCATTCTCATAAACTTGTTTGTGATGTGTGAACTCAGCTAACAGAGGTGGATCTTTCTTTTGATAGAGCAGTTCGGAAAAACACTTTTTGTTGAATCTGCAAGTGGACATTTGGATAGATTTGAAGATTTCGTTGGAAACGGGAATATCTTTATATCAAATCTAGACAGAAGCATTCTCGGAAACGTCTTTGTCATGTTTGCATTCAACTCATAGAGTTGAACATTCCGTTTCAGAGAGCAGCTTTGAAGCACTCTTTTTATAGTATGTGCAAGGGGATATTTGGAGTGCTCTGAGGCCTAAGGTGAAAAAGCAAATATCTTCCCATAACCACTAGACAGAAACATTCTCAGAAACTCCTTTATGACGTATGCACTCACCTAACAGAGAAGAACCTTCCTTTTGACAGAGCAGTTTTGATACACTCTTTTTATAGAATCTGCAAGTGGATATTTGGATAGCTGTGAAGATTTCGTTGGAAACGGGAATATCTTCCTATAAAATCTATACAGAAGCATTCTCAGAAACTGCTCTGTGATGTCTGCATTCAAGTCACAGAGTTGAACATTGCCTTTCCTAGAGCAGGTTTGAAACGCTCTTTTTTAGTATATGGAAGTGGACGTTTCAGACGGTTTGAGGCCCATGGTGTTAAAGGGAATATCTTCCCCTACAAGCTAGAAAGAAGCATTCTGTGAAACTTGTTTGTGATGTGTGTACTCAACTAACAGAGTTGAACCTTTCTTTTCACAGAGCAGTTTTGAAACACTCTTTTTGTAGAATCTGCGAGGGGATATTTGGATAGATTTCAGCATTTCGTTGGAAACAGGAATATCTTCATATAAAATCTCGACAGAAGCATTCTCAGAAACTTCTTTGTGATATGTGCATTCAAGTCAGAGATTTGAATATTCCCTTTCACAGAGTAGGTTTGAAACACTCTTTTTGTAGTATCTGGAAGTGGTCATTTGGAGCGCCTTGATGCCCACGGTGAAAAGGGAAATATCTTCCCATAAAAACTAGACAGAAGCAATCTCAGAATCTTCTTTGGGATATATGCACGCAGTTAACAGAGTTGAACCTTTCTATTGACAGAGCAGTTTTGAAACAGTCTTTCTGTGGAATCTCCAAGTGGATATTTGGATAGCTTGGAGGATTTCGTTGGAAACGGGATTACGTATAAAAAGTAGACAGCAGCATCCTCAGAAACTTCTTTGTGATGTGTGCATTCAAGTCACAGGAGTTGAACATTCCCTTTCATACAGCAGTTTTGAAACACTCTTTCTGTAGTATCTGGAAGTGAACATTAGGACAGCTTTCAGCTCTATGGTGAGAAAGGAAATATCTTCAAATAAAAACTAGACAGAAGCATTCTCCTAAACTTGTTTGTGATGTGTGAACTCAGCTAACAGACGTGGATCTTTCTTTTGATACAGGAGTTTTGAAAAACACTTTTTGTTGAATCTGCAAGTGGACATTTGGATAGATTTGAAGATTTCGTTGGAAACGGGAATATCTTCATATCAAATCTAGACAGAAAGCATTCTCAGAAACGTCTTTGTGATGTTTACATTCAACTCATAGAGTTGAACATTCCCTTTCAGAGAGCAGCTTTGAAGCACTCTTTTTGTAGCATGTGCAAGTGGACATTTGGAGCGCTCTGAGGTCTACGGGGAAAAAGCAAATATCTTCCCATAACCACTAGACAGAAACATTCTCAGAAACTCCTTTATGATGTATGCACTCACCTAACAGAGAAGAACCTTCCTTTTGACAGAGCAGTTTTGATACACTCTTTTTGTAGAATCTGCAAGTGGATATTTGGATACCTGTGAAGATTTCGTTGGAAACGGGAATATCTTCCTATAAAATGTAGACAGAAGCATTCTCAGAAACTGCTCTGTGATGTCTGCATTCAAGTCACAGAGTTGAACATTACCTTTCATAGAGCAGGTTTGAAACGCTCTTTTTGTAGTATATGGAAGTGGATGTTTCGGACGGTTGGAGGCCCATGGTGATAAAGGGAATATCTTCCCCTACAAGCTAGAAAGAAGCATTCTGTGAAAGTTGTTTGTGATGTGTGTACTCAACTAACCGAGTTGAACCTTTCTTTTTACAGAGCAGTTTTGAAACACTCTTTTTGTAGAATCTGCGAGGGGATATTTGGATAGATTTCAGGATTTCGTTGGAAACGGGAATATCTTCATATAAAATCTCGACAGAAGCATTCTCAGAAACTTCTTTGTGATATCTGCATTCAAGTCACAGAGTTGAATATTCCCTTTCACAGAGTAGGTTTGAAACACTCTTTTTGTAGTATCTGGAAGTGGACATTTGGAGCGCCTTGACACCTACCGTGAAAAGGGAAATATCTTCCCATAAAAACTAGACAGAAGCAATCTCAGAATCTTCTTTGGGATATATGCACGCAGCTAACAGAGTTGAACCTTTCTATTGACAGAGCAGTTTTGAAACAGTCTTTCTGTGGAATCCGCAAGTGGATATTTGGATAGCTTGGAGGATTTCGTTGGAAACGGGATTACGTATAAAAAGTAGACAGCAGCATCCTCAGAAACTTCTTTGTGATGTGTGCATTCAAGTCACAGAGTTGAACATTCCCTTTTGTACAGCAGTTTTGAAACACTCTTTCTGTAGTATCTGGAAGTGAACATTAGGACAGCTTTCAGCTCTATGGTGAGAAAGGAAATATCTTCAAATAAAAACTAGACAGAAGCATTCTCAGTAAACGTCTTTGTGATGTTTGCATTCAACTCATAGAGTTGAACATTCCGTTTCAGAGAGCAGCTTTGAAGCACTCTTTTTGTAGTATGTGCAAGGGGATATTTGGAGCGCTCTGAGGCCTACGGTGAAAAAGCAAATATCTTCCCATAACCACTAGACAGAAACATTCTCAGAAATTCCTTTATGACGTATGCACTCACCTAACAGAGAAGAACCTTCCTTTTGACAGAGCAGTTTTGATACACTCTTTTTGTAGAATCTGCAAGTGGATATTTGGATACCTGTGAAGATTTCGTTGGAAACGGGAATAACTTCCTATAAAATCTAGACAGAAGCATTCTCAGAAACTGCTCTGTGATGTCTGCATTCAAGTCACAGAGTTGAACATTGCCTTTCATAGAGCAGGTTTGAAACACTCTTTTTGTAGTATATGGAAGTGGACGTTTCGGACGGTTTGAGGCCCATGGTGATTTAGGGAATATCTTCCCCTACAAGCTAGAAAGAAGCATTCTGTGAAACATGCTTGCGATGTGTGTACTCAACTAACAGTGTTGAACCTTTCTTTTTACAGAGCAGTTTGGAAACACTCTTTTTGTAGAATCTGCGAGGGGATATTTGGATAGATTTCAGGATTTCGTTGAAAACGGGAATATCTTCATATAAAATCTCGACAGAAGCATTCTCAGAAACTTCCTTGTGATATGTGCATTCAAGTCACAGAGTTGAATATTCCCTTTCACAGAGTAGGTTTGAAACACTCTTTTTGTAGTATCTGGAAGTGGACATTTGGAGCGCCTTGACGGCCCACGGTGAAAAGGGAAATATCTTCCCATAAAAACTAGACAGAAGCAATCTCAGAATCTTCTTTGGGATATATGCACGCAGTTAACAGAGTTGAACCTTTCTATTGACAGAGCAGTTTTGAAACAGTCTTTCTGTGGAATCTGCAAGTGGATATTTGGATAGCTTGGAGGATTTCGTTGGAAATGGGATTACGTATAAAAAGTAGACAGCAGCATCCTCAGAAACTTCTTTGTGATGTGTGCATTCAAGTCACAGAGTTGAACATTCCCTTTCGTAAAGCAGTTTTGAAACACTCTTTCTGTAGTATCTGGAAGTGAACATTAGGACAGCTTTCAGGTCTATGGTGAGAAAGGAAATATCTTCAAATAAAAACTAGACAGAAGCATTCTCATAAACTTGTTTGTGATGTGTGAACTCAGCTAACAGAGGTGGATCTTTCTTTTGATAGAGCAGTTCTGAAAAACACTTTTTGTTGAATCTGCAAGTGGACATTTGGATAGATTTGAAGATTTCTTTGGAAACGGGAATATCTATATATCAAATCTAGACAGAAGCATTCTCGAAAACGTCTTTGTGATGTTTGCATTCAACTCATAGAGTTGAACATTCCGTTTCAGAGAGCAGCTTTGAGGCACTCATTTTGTAGTATGTGCAAGTGGATATTTGGAGCGCTCTGAGGCCTTCGGTGAAAAAGCAAATATCTTCCCATAACCACTAGACAGAAACATTCTCAGAAACTCCTTTATGACGTATGTACTCAACTAACAGAGAAGAACCTTCTTTTTGACAGTGCAGTTTTGATACACTCTTTTTGTAGAATCTGCAAGTGCATATTTGGATAGCTGTGAAGATTTCGTTGGAAACGGGAATATCTTCCTATAAAATCTAGACAGAAGCATTCTCAGAAACTGCTCTGTGATGTCTGCATTCAAGTCACAGAGTTGAACATTGCCTTTCATAGAGCAGGTTTGAAACGCTCTTTTTGTAGTATATGGAAGTGGATGTTTCGGACGGTTGGAGGCCCATGGTCATAAAGGGAATATCTTCCCCTACAAGCTAGAAAGAAGCATTCTGTGAAACTTGTTTGTGATGTGTGTACTCAACTAACAGAGTTGAACCTTTCTTTTTACAGAGCAGTTTTGAAACACTCTTTTTGTAGAATCTGCGAGGGGATATTTGGATAGATTTCAGGATTTCATTGGAAACGGGAATATCTTCATATAAAATCTCGACAGAAGCATTCTCAGAAACTTCTTTGTGATATCTGCATTCAAGTCACAGAGTTGAATATTCCCTTTGACAGAGTAGGTTTGAAACACTCTTTTTGTAGTATCTGGAAGTGGACATTTGGAGCGCCTTGACACCTACGGTGAAAAGGGAAATATCTTCCCATAAAAACTAGACAGAAGCAATCTCAGAATCTTCTTTGGGATATATGCACGCAGCTAACAGAGTTGAACCTTTCTATTGACAGAGCAGTTTTGAAACAGTCTTTCTGTGGAATCTGCAAGTGGATATTTGGATAGCTTGGAGGATTTCGGTGGAAACGGGATTACGTATAAAAAGTAGACAGCAGCATCCTCAGAAACTTCTTTGTGATGTGTGCATTCAAGTCACAGAGTTGAACATTCCCTTTCGTACAGCAGTTTTGAAACACTCTTTCTGTAGTATCTGGAAGTGAACATTAGGACAGCTTTCAGGTCTATGGTGAGAAAGGAAATAACTTCAAATAAAAACTAGACAGAAGCATTCTCATAAATTTGTTTGTGATGTGTGAACTCAGCTAACAGACGTGGATCTTTCTTTTGATACAGCAGTTTTGAAAAACACTTTTTGTTGAGTCTGCATGTGGACATTTGGATAGATTTGAAGATTTCGTTGGAAACGGGAATATCTTCATATCAAATCTAGACAGAAGCATTCTCAGAAACGTCTTTGTGATGTTTGCATTCAACCCATAGAGTTGAACATTCCGTTTCAGAGAGCAGCTTTGAAGCACTCTTTTTGTAGTATGTGCAAGGGGATATTTTGAGCGCTCTGAGGCCTAAGGTGAAAAAGCAAATATCTTCCCATAACCACTAGACAGAAACATTCTCAGAAACCCCTTTATGACGTATGCACTCACCTAACAGAGAAGAACCTTCCTTTTGACTGAGCAGTTTTGATACACTCTTTTTGTAGAATCTGCAAGTGGATATTTGGATAGCTGTGAAGATTTCGTTGGAAACGGGAATATCTTCCTATAAAATCTAGACAGAAGCATTCTCAGAAACTGCTCTGTGATGTCTGCATTCAAGTCACAGAGTTGAACATTGCCTTTCATAGAGCCGGTTTGAAACGCTCTTTTTGTAGTATATGGAAGTGGATGTTTCGGACGGTTGGAGGCCCATGGTGATAAAGGGAATATCTTCCCCTACAAGCTAGAAAGAAGCATTCTGTGAAACTTGTTTGTGATGTGTGTACTCAACTAACAGAGTTGAACCTTTCTTTTTACAGAGCAGTTTTGAAACACTCTTTCTGTAGAATCTGCGAGGGGATATTTGGATAGATTTCAGGATTTCGTTGGAAACCGGAATATCTTCATATAAAATCTCGACAGAAGCATTCTCAGAAAATTCTTTGTGATATGTGCATTCAAGTCACAGAGTTGAATATTCCCTTTCACAGAGTAGGTTTGAAACACTCTTTTAGTAGTATCTGGAAGTGGACATTTGGAGCGCCTTGACGCCTACGGTGAAAAGGGAAATATCTTCCCATAAAAACTAGACAGAAGCAATCTCAGAATCTTCTTTGGGATATATGCACGCAGCTAACAGAGTTGAACCTTTCTATTGACAGAGCAGTTTTGAAACAGTCTTTCTGTGGAATCTGCAAGTGGATATTTGGATAGATTGGAGGATTTCGTTGGAAACGGGATTACGTATAAAAAGTAGACAGCAGCATCCTCAGAAACTTCTTTGTGATGTGTGCATTCAAGTCACAGGGTTGAACATTCCCTTTCGTACAGCAGTTTTGAAACACTCTTTCTGTAGTATCTGGGAGTGAACATTAGGACAGCTTTCAGGTCTATGGTGAGAAAGGAAATATCTTCAAATAAAAACTAGACAGAAGCATTCTCATAAACTTGTTTGGTGATGTGTGAACTCAGCTAACAGAGGTGGATCTTTCTTTTGATAGAGCAGTTCTGAAAAACACTTTTTGTTGAATCTGCAAGTGGACATTCGGATAGATTTGAAGATTTCATTGGAAACGGGAATATCTTCATATCAAATCTAGACAGAATCATTCCCAGAAACGTCTTTGTGATGTTTGCATTCAACTCATATAGTTGAACATTCCCTTTCAGAGAGCAGCTTTGAAGCACTCTTTTTGTAGTATGTGCAAGGGGATATTTGGAGCGCTCTGAGGCCTACGGTGAAAAAGCAAATATCTTCGCATAACCACTAGACAGAAACATTCTCAGAAACTCCTTTATGACGTATGCACTCACCTAACAGAGAAGAACCTTCCTTTTGACAGAGCAGATTTGATACACTCTTTTTATAGAATCTGCAAGTGGATATTTGGATAGCTGTGAAGATTTCGTTGGAAACGGGAATATCTTCCTATAAAATCTAGACAGAAGCATTCTCAGAAACTGCTCTGTGATGTCTGCATTCAAGTCACAGAGTTGAACATTGCCTTTCATAGAGCAGGTTTGAAACGCTCTTTTTGTAGTATATGGAAGTTGACGTTTCGGACGGTTTGAGGCCCATGGTGATAAAGGGAATATCTTCCCCTACAAGCTAGAAAGAAGCATTCTGTGAAACTTGTTTGTGATGTGTGTACTCAACTAACAGAGTTGAACCTTTCTTTTTACAGAGCAGTTTTGAAACACTCTTTTTGTAGAATCTGCGAGGGGATATTTGGATAGATTTCAGGATTTCGTTGGAAACGGGAATATCTTCAAATAAAATCTCGACAGATGCATTCTCAGAAACTTCTTTGTGATATGTGCATTCTAGTCACAGAGTTGAATATTCCCTTTCATAGAGTAAGTTTGAAACACTCTTTTTGTACTATCTGGAAGTGGACATTTGGAGCGCCTTGACGCCTACGGTGAAAAGGGAAATATCTTCCCATAAAAACTAGACAGAAGCAATCTCAGAATC
This sequence comes from Homo sapiens, assembly GCF_000001405.40. Lineage (NCBI taxonomy): Eukaryota > Metazoa > Chordata > Mammalia > Primates > Hominidae > Homo > Homo sapiens. The sequence continues at coordinate 16,990,501 of NC_000013.11, forward strand.
TTCTTTGGGATATATGCACGCAGCTAACAGAGTTGAACCTTTCTATTGACAGAGCAGTTTTCAAACAGTCTTTCTGTGGAATCTGCAAGTGGATATTTAGATAGCTTGGAGGATTTCGTTGGTAACGGGATTACGTATAAAAATTAGCAGCATCCTCAGAAACTTCCTTGTGATGTGTGCATTCAAGACACAGAGTTGAACATTCCCTTTCGTACAGCAGTTTTGAAACACTCTTTCTGTAGTATCTGGAAGTGAACATTAGGACAGCTTTCAGGTCTATCGTGAGAAAGGAAATATCTTCACATAAAAACTAGACAGAAGCATTCTCATAAACTTGTTTGTGATGTGTGAACTCAGCTAACAGACGTGGATCTTTCTTTTGATATAGCAGTTTTGAAAAACACTTTTTGTTGAATCTGCAAGTGGACATTTGGATAGATTTGAAGATTTCGTTGGAAACGGGAATATCTTCATATCAAATCTAGACAGAAGCATTCTCAGAAACGTCTTTGTGATGTTTGCATTCAACCCATAGAGTTGAACATTCCGTTTCAGAGAGCAGCTTTGAAGCACTCTTTCTGTAGTATGTGCAAGGGGATATTTTGAGCGCTCTGAGGCCTAAGGTGAAAAAGCAAATATCTTCCCATAACCACTAGACAGAAACATTCTCAGAAACTCCTTTATGACGTATGCACTCACCTAACAGAGAAGAACCTTCCTTTTGACTGAGCAGTTTTGATACACTCTTTTTGTAGAATCTGCAAGTGGATATTTGGATAGCTGTGAAGATTTCGTTGGAAACGGGAATATCTTCCTATAAAATCTAGACAGAAGCATTCTCAGAAACTGCTCTGTGATGTCTGCATTCAAGTCACAGAGTTGAACATTGCCTTTCGTAGAGCAGGTTTGAAACGCTCTTTTTGTAGTATATGGAAGTGGACGTTTCGGACGGTTTGAGGCCCATGGTGATAAAGGGAATATCTTCCCCTACAAGCTAGAAAGAAGCATTCTGTGAAACTTGTTTGTGATGTGTGTACTCAACTAACAGAGTTGAACCTTTCTTTTTACATAGCAGTTTTGAAACACTCTTTTTGTAGAATCTGCGAGGGGATATTTGGATAGATTTCAGGATTTTGTTGGAAACGGGAATATCTTCATATAAAATCTCGACAGAAGCATTCTCAGAAACTTCCTTGTGATATGTGCATTCAAGTCACAGAGTTGAATATTCCCTTTCACAGAGTAGGTTTGAAACACTCTTTTTGTAGTATCTGGAAGTGGACATTTGGAGCGTCTTGACACCTACGGTGAAAAGGGAAATATCTTCCCATAAAAACTAGACAGAAGCAATCTCAGAATCTTCTTTGGGATATATGCACGCAGCTAACAGAGTTGAACCTTTCTATTGCCAGAGCAGTTTTGAAACAGTCTTTCTGTGGAATCTGCAAGTGGATATTTGGATAGCTTGGAGGATTTCGTTGGAAACGGGATTACGTATAAAAAGTAGACAGCAGCATCCTCAGAAACTTCTTTGTGATGTGTGCATTCAAGTCACAGAAGTTGAACATTCCCTTTCGTACAGCAGTTTTGAAACACTCTTTCTGTAGTATCTGCAAGTGAACATTAGGACAGCTTTCAGGTCTGTGGTGAGAAAGGAAATATCTTCAAATAAAAACTAGACAGAAGCATTCTCATAAACTTGTTTGTGATGTGTGAACTCAGCTTACAGAGGTGGATCTTTCTTTTGATAGAGCAGTTCTGAAAAACACTTTTTGTTGAATCTGCAAGTGGACATTTGGATAGATTTTAAGATTTCGTTGGAAACGGGAATATCTTCATATCAAATCTAGACAGAAGCATTCTCAGAAACGTCGTTGTAATGTTTGCATTCAACTCATAGAGTTGAACATTCCGATTCAGAGAGCAGCTTTGAGGCACTCTTTTTGTAGTATGTGCAAGTGGATATTTGGAGCGCTCTGAGGCCTACGGTGAAAAAGCAAATATCTTCCCATAACCACTAGACAGAAACATTCTCAGAAACTTCTTTATGACGTATGTACTCAACTAACAGAGAAGAACCTTCCTTTTGACAGAGCAGTTTTGATACACTCTTTTTGTAGAATCTGCAACTGGATATTTGGATAGCTGTGAAGAATTCGTTGGAAACGGGAATATCTTCCTATAAAATCTAAAGAAAAGCATTCTCAGAAACTGCTCTGTGATGTCTGCATTCAAGTCACAGAGTTGAACATTGCCTTTCATAGAGCAGGTTTGAAACGCTCTTTTTGTAGTATATGGAAGTTGACGTTTCACACGGTTTGAGGCCCATGGTGATAAAGGAAATATCTTCCCCTACAAGCTAGAAAGAAGCATTGTGTGAAACTTGTTTGTGATGTGTGTACTCAACTAACAGAGTTGAACCTTTCTTTTTACAGAGTAGTTTTGAAACACTCTTTTTGTAGAATCTGCGCGGGGATATTTGGATACATTTCAGGATTTCGTTGGAAACGGGAATATCTTCATATAAAATCTCGACAGAAAGCATTCTCAGAAACTTCTTTGTGATATGTGCATTCAAGTCACAGAGTTGAATATTCCCTTTCACAGAGTAGGTTTGAAACACTCTTTTTGTAGTATCTGGAAGTGGACATTTGGAGCGCCTTGACACCTACGGTGAAAAGGGAAGTATCTTCCCATCAAAACTAGACAGAAGCAATCTCAGAATCTTCTTTGGGATATATGCACGCAGCTAACAGAGTTGAACCTTTCTATTGACAGAGCAGTTTTGAAACAGTCTTTCTGTGGAATCTGCAAGTGGATATTTGGATAGCTTGGAGGATTTCGTTGGAAACGGGATTATGTATAAAAAGTAGACAGCAGCATCCTCAGAAACTTCTTTGTGATGTGTGCATTCAAGTCACAGAGTTGAACATTCCCTTTCGTACAGCAGTTTTGAAACACTCTTTCTGTAGTATCTGGAAGTGAACATTAGGACAGCTTTCAAGTCTATGGTGAGAAAGGAAACATCTTCAAATAAAAACTAGACAGACGCATTCTCATAAACTTGTTTGTGATGTGTGAACTCAGCTAACAGAGGTGGATCTTTCTTTTGATAGAGCAGTTCTGAAAAACACTTTTTGTTGAATCTGCAAGTGGACATTTGGATAGATTTGAAGATTTCGTTGGAAACGGGAATATCTTCATATCAAATCTAGACAGAAGCATTGTCAGAAACGTCTTTGTCATGTTTGCATTCAACTCATAGAGTTGAACATTCCCTTTCAGAGAGCAGCTTTGAAACACTCTTTTTGTAGTATGTGCAAGTGGATATTTGGAGCGCTTTGAGGCCTACGGGGAAAAAGCAAATATCTTCCCATAACCACTAGACAGAAACATTCTCAGAAACTCCTTTATGACGTATGCACTCACCTAACAGAAAAGAACCTTCCTTTTGACAGAGCAGTTTTGATACACTCTTTTTGTAGAATCTGCAAGTGGATATTTGGATAGCTGTGAAGATTTCGTTGGAAACGGGAATATCTTCCTATAAATCTAGACAGAAGCATTCTCAGGAACTGCTCTGTGATGTCTGCATTCAAGTCACAGAGTTGAACATTGCCTTAACTAGAGCAGGTTTGAAACGCTCTTTTTGTAGTATATGGAAGTGGACGTTTCGGACGTTTTGAGGCCCATGGTGATGAAGGGAATATCATCCCCTACAAGCTAGAAAGAAGCATTGTGTGAAACTTGTTTGTGATGTGTGTACTCAACTAACAGAGTTGAACCTTTCTTTTTACAGAGCAGTTTTGAAACACTCTTTTTGTAGAATCTGCGAGGGGATATTTGGATACATTTCAGGATTTCGTTGGAAACGGGAATATCTTCATATAAAATCTCGACAGAAGCATTCTCAGAAACTTCTTTGTGATATCTGCCTTCAAGTCACAGAGTTGAATATTCCCTTTCACACAGTAGGTTTGAAACACTCTTTTTGTAGTATCTGGAAGTGGACATTTGGAGCGCCTTGACACCTACGGTGAAAAGGGAAATATCTTCCCATAAAAACTAGACAGAAGCAATCTCAGAATCTTCTTTGGGATATATGCACGCAGCTAACAGAGTTGAACCTTTCTATTGACAGAGCAGTTTTGAAACAGTCTTTCTGTGGAATCTGCAAGTGGATATTTGGATAGCTTGGAGGATTTCGTTGGAAAAGGGATTACGTATAAAAAGTAGACAGCAGCATCCTCAGAAACTTCTTTGTGATGTGTGCATTCAAGTCACAGAGTTGAACATTCCCTTTCGTACAGCAGTATTGAAACACTCTTTCTGTAGTATCTGGAAGTGAACATTAGGACAGCTTTCAGGTCTATGGTGAGAAAGGAAATATCTTCAAATAAAAACTAGACAGAAGCATTCTCATAAACTTGTTTGTGATGTATGAACTCAGCTAACAGAGGTGGATCTATCTTTTGATAGAGCAGTTCTGAAAAACACTTTTTGTTGAATCTGCAAGTGGACATTTGGATAGTTTTGAAGATTTCGTTGGAAACGGGAATATCTTCATATCAAATCTAGACAGAAGCATTCTCAGAAACGTCTTTGTGATGTTTGCATTCAACCCATAGAGTTGAACATTCCCTTTCAGAGAGCAGCTTTGAAGCACTCTTTTTGTAGTATGTGCAAGGGGATATTTGGAGCGCTCTGAGGCCTAAGGTGAAAAATCAAATATCTTCCCATAACCACTAGACAGAAACATTCTCAGAAACTTCTTTATGACGTATGTACTCAACTAGCAGAGAAGAACTTTCCTTTTGACACAGCTTTTTGGATACACTCTTTTTGTAGTATCTGCATGTGGATATTTGATTAGCTGTGAAGATTTCGTTGGAATCGGGAATATCTTCCTATAAAGTCTGGACAGAAGCATTCTCAGAAACTGCTCTGTGATGTCTGCATTCAGGTCACAGAGTTGAACATTGCCTTTCATAGAGCAGGTTTAAAACACTCTTTTTTTACTATATGGAAGTGGACGTTTCGGACGGTTTGAGGCCCATGGTGATAAAGGAAATATCTTCCCCTAGAAGCAAGAAAGAAGCATTCTGTGAAACTTGTTTGTGATGTGTGTACTCAACTAACAGAGTTGAACCTTTCTTTTTACAGAGCAGTTTTGAAACACTCTTTTTGTAGAATCTGCGAGGGGATATTTGGATAGATTTCAGGATTTCTTTGGAAACGGGAATATCTTCATATAAAATACTCGACAGAAGCATTCTCAGAAACTTCTTTGTGATATCTGCATTCAAGTCAGAGAGTTGAATATTCCCTTTCACAGAGTAGGTTTGAAACACTCTTTTTGTAGTATCTGGAAGTGGACATTTGGAGCGCCTTGACACCTACGGTGAAAAGGGAAATATCTTCCCATAAAAACTAGACAGAAGCAATCTCAGAATCTTCTCTGGGATATATGCACGCAGCTAACAGAGTTGAACCTTTCTATTGACAGAGCAGTTTTGAAACAGTCTTTCTGTGGAATCTGCAAGTGGATATTTGGATAGCTTGGAGGATTTCGTTGGAAACGGGATTACGTACAAAAAGTAGACAGCAGCATCCTCAGAAACTTCTTTGTGATGTGTGCATTCAAGTCACAGAGTTGAACATTCCCTTTCATAGAGCAGTTTTGAAACACTGTTTCTGTAGTATCTGGAAGTGAACATTAGGACAGCTTTCAGGTCTATGGTGAGAAAGGAAATATCTTCAAATAAAAACTAGACAGAAGCATTCTCATAAACTTGTTTGTGATGTGTGAACTCAGCTAACAGACGTGGATCTTTCTTTTGATACAGCAGTTTTGAAAAACACATTTTGTTGAATCTGCAAGTGGACATTTGGATAGATATGAAGATTTCGTTGGAAACGGGAATATATTCATATCAAATCTAGACAGAAGCATTCTCAGAAACGTCTTTGTGATGTTTGCATTCAACTCATAGAGTTGAACATTCCCTTTCAGAGAGCAGCTTTGAAGCACTCTTTTTGTAGCATGTGCAAGTGGACATTTGGAGCGCCCTGAGGCCTACGGGGAAAAAGCAGATATCTTCCCATAACCACTAGACAGAAACATTCTCAGAAACTCCTTTATGATGTATGCACTCACCTAACGGAAAAGAACCTTCCTTTTGACAGAGCAGTTTTGATACACTCTTTTTGTAGAATCTGCAAGTGGATATTTGGATAGCTGTGAAGATTTCGTTGGAAACGGGAATATCTTCCTATAAAATCTAGACAGAAGCATTCTCAGAAACTGCTCTGTGATGTCTGCATTCAAGTCACAGAGTTGAACATTGCCTTTCATAGAGCAGGTTTGAAATGTTCTTTTTGTAGTATATGGAAGTGGACGTTTCAGACGGTTTGAGGCCGATGGTGATAAAGGGAATATCTTCCCCTACAAGCTAGAAAGAAGCATTCTGTGAAACTTGTTTGTGATGTGTGTACTCAAGTAACAGAGTTGAACCTTTCTTTTTACAGAGCAGTTTTGAAACACTCTTTTTGTAGAATCTGCGAGGGGATATTTGTATAGATTTCAGGATTTCGTTGGAAACGGGAATATCTTCATATAAAATCTCGACAGAAGCATTCTCAGAAACTTCATTGTGATATCTGCATTCAAGTCACAGAGTTGAATATTCCCTTTCACAGGGTAGGTTTGAAACACTCTTTTTGTAGTATCTGTAAGTGGACATTTGGAGCGCCTTGACACCTAAAGTGAAAAGGGAAATATCTTCCCATAAAAACTAGACAGAAGCAATCTCAGAATCTTCTTTGGGATATATGCACGCAGCTAACAGAGTTGAACCTTTCTATTGACAGAGCAGTTTTGAAACAGTCTTTCTGTGGAATCTGCAAGTGGATATTTGGATAGCTTGGAGGATTTCTTTGGAAACGGGATTACGTATAAAAAGTAGACAGCAGCATCCTCAGAAACTTCTTTGTGATGTATGCATTCAAGTCCCAGAGTTGAACATTCCCTTTCGTACAGCAGTTTTGAAACACTCTTTCTGTAGTATCTGGAAGTGAACATTAGGACAGATTTCAGGTCTATGGTGAGAAAGGAAATATCTTCAAATAAAAAGTAGACAGAAGCATTCTCATAAACTTGTTTGTGATGTGTGAACTCAGCTAACAGAGGTGGATCTTTCTTTTGATAGAGCAGTTCTGAAAAACACTTTTTGTTGAATCTGCAAGTGGACATTTGGATAGATTTGAAGATTTCGTTGGAAACGGGAATATCTTCATATCAAATCTAGACAGGAAAGCATTCTCAGAAACGTCTTTGTGATGTTTGCATTCAACTCACAGTATTTGAACATTCCCTTTCAGAGAGCAGCTTTGAAGCACTCTTTTTGTAGTATGTGCAAGGGGATATTTGGAGCGCTCTGAGGCCTACGGTGAAAAAGCAAATATCTTCCCATAACCACTAGACAGAAACATTCTCAGAAACTTCTTTATGACGTATGTACTCAACTAGCAGAAAAGAACTTTCCTTTTGACAGAGCTTTTTTGATACACTCTTTTTGTAGTATCTGCAAGTGGATATTTGGATAGCTGTGAAGATTTCTTTGGAATCGGGAATATCTTCCTATAAAGTCTGGACAGAAGCATTCTCAGAAACTGCTCTGTGATGTCTGCATTCAAGTCACAGAGTTGAACATTGCCTTTCATAGAGCAGGTTTCAAACACTCTTTTTTTAGTATATGGAAGTGGACGTTTCGGACGGTTTGAGGCCCATGGTGATAAAGGAAATATCTTCCCCTACAAGCTAGAAAGAAGCATTGTGTGAAACTTGTTTGTGATGTGTGTACTCAACTAACAGAGTTGAACCTTTCTTTTTACAGAGCAGTTTTGAAACACTCTTTTTGTAGAATCTGCAAGGGGATATTTGGATAGATTTCAGGATTTCGTTGGACACGGGAATATCTTCATATAAAATCTCGACAGAAGCATTCTCAGAAACTTGTTTGTGATATGTGCATTCAAGTCACAGAGTTGAATATTCCCTTTCACAGAGTAGGTTTGAAACACTCTTTTTGTAATATCTGGAAGTGGACATTTGGAGCGCCTTGACGCCTACGGTGAAAAGGGAAATATCTTCCCATAAAAACTAGACAGAAGCAATCTCAGAATCTTCTTTGGGATATATGCACGCAGCTAACAGAGTTGAACCTTTCTATTGACAGAGCAGTTTTGAAATAGTCTTTCTGTGGAATCTGCAAGTAGATATTTGGATAGCTTGGAGGATTTCGTTGGAAACGGGATTACGTATAAAAAGTAGACAGCAGCATCCTCAGAAACTTCTTTGTGATGTGTGCATTCAAGTCACAGAGTTGAACATTCCCTTTCGTACAGCAGTTTTGAAACACTCTTTCTGTAGTATCTGGAAGTGAACATTAGGACAGCTTTCAGCTCCATGGTGAGAAAGGAAATATCTTCAAATAAAAACTAGACAGAAGCATTCTCATAAACTTGTTTGTGATGTGTGAACTCAGCTAACAGAGGTGGATCTTTCTTTTGATAGAGCAGTTCTGAATAACACTTTTTGTTGAATCTGCAAGTGGACATTTGGATAGATTTGAAGATTTCGTTGGAAACGGGAATATCTTCATATCAAATCTAGACAGAAACATTCTCAGAAACGTCTTTGTGATGTTTGCATTCAACTCATGGAGTTGAACATTCCCTTTCAGAGAGCAGCTTTGAAGCACTCTTTTTGTAGTATGTGCAAGTGGATATTTGGAGCGCTCTGTGGCCTACGGGGAAAAAGCAAATATCTTCCCATAACCACTAGACAGAAACATTCTCAGAAACTCCTTTATGACGTATGTACTCAACTAACAGAGAAGAACCTTCTTTTTGACAGAGCAGTTTTGATACACTCTTTTTGTAGAATCTCCAAGTGGATATTTGGATAGCTGTGAAGATTTCGTTGGAAACGGGAATATCTTCCTATAAAATCTAGACAGAAGCATTCTCAGAAACTGCTCTGTGATGTCTGCATTCAAGTCACAGAGTTGAACATTGCCTTTCATAGAGCAGGTTTGAAACGCTCTTTTTGTAGTATATAAAAGTGGACGTTTCGGACGGTTTGAGGCCCATGGTCATAAAGGGAATATCTTCCCCTACAAGCTAGAAAGAAGCATTCTGTGAAACTTGTTTGTGATGTGTGTACTCAACTAACAGAGTTGAACCTTTCTTTTTACAGAGCAGTTTTGAAACACTCTTTTTGTAGAATCTGCGAGGGGATATTTGGATAGATTTCAGGATTTCGTTGGAAACGGGAATATCTTTATATAAAATCTCGACAGAAGCATTCTCAGAAACTTCTTTGTGATATGTGCATTCAAGTCACAGAGTTGAATATTCCCTTTCACAGAGTAGGTTTGAAACACTCTTTTTGTAGTATCTGGAAGTGGACATTTGGAGCGCCTTGACACCTACGGTGAAAAGGGAAATATCTTCCCATAAAAACTAGACAGAAAGCAATCTCAGAATCTTCTTTGGGATATATGCACGCAGCTAACAGAGTTGAACCTTTCTATTGACAGAGCAGTTTTGAAACAGTCTTTCTGTGGAATCTGCAAGTGGATATTTGGATAGCTTGGAGGATTTCGTTGGAAACGGGATTAAGTATAAAAAGTAGACAGAGCATCCTCAGAAACTTCTTTGTGATGTGTGCATTCAAGTCACAGAGTTGAACATTCCCTTTCGTACAGCAGTGTTGAAACACTCTTTATGTAGTATCTGGAAGTGAACATTAGGACAGCTTTCAGGTCTATGGTGAGAAAGGAAATATCTTCAAATAAAAACTAGACAGAAGCATTCTCATAAACTTGTTTGTGATGTGTGAACTCAGCTAACAGAGGTGGATCTTTCTTTTGATAGAGCAGTTCTGAAAAACACTTTTTGTTGAATCTGCAAGTGGACATTTGGATAGATTTGAATATTTCGTTGGTAACGGGAATATCTTCATATCAAATCTAGACAGAAGCATTCTCAGAAACGTCTTTGCGATGTTTGCATTCAACTCATAGAGTTGAACATTCCGTTTCAGAGAGCAGCTTTGAGGCAATCTTTTTGTAGTATGTGCAAGTGGATATTTGGAGCGCTCTGAGGCCTACGGTGAAAAAGCAAATATCTTCCCATAACCACTAGACAGAAACATTCTCAGAAACTCCTTTATGACGTATGCACTCACCTAACAGAGAAGAACCTTCCTTTTGACAGAGCAGTTTTGATACACTCTTTTTGTAGAATCTGCAAGTGGATATTTGGATAGCTGTGAAGATTTCATTGGAAACGGGAATATCTTCCTATAAAATCTAAACAGAAGCATTCTCAGAAACTGCTCTGTGATGTCTGCATTCAAGTCACAGAGTTGAACATTGCCTTTCATAGAGCAGTTTTGAAACGCTCTTTTTGTACTATATGGAAGAGGACGTTTCGGACGGTTTGAGGCCCATGGTGATAAAGGGAATATCTTCCCCTACAAGCTAGAAAGAAGCATTCTGTGAAACTTGTTTGTGATGTGTGTACTCAACTAACAGAGTTGAACCTTTCTTTTTACAGAGCAGTTTTGAAACACTCTTCTTGTAGAATCTGCGAGGGGATATTTGGATAGATTTCAGGATTTTGTTGGAAACGGGAATATCTTAATATAAAATCTCGACAGAAGCATTCTCAGAAGCTTCTTTGTGATATGTGCATTCAAGTCACAGAGTTGAATATTCCCTTTCACCGAGTAGGTTTGAAACACTCTTTTTGTAGTATCTGGAAGTGGACATTTGGAGCGCCTTGACGCCTACGGTGAAAAGGGAAATATCTTCCCATAAAAACTAGACAGAAGCAATCTCAGAATCTTCTTTGGGATATATGCACGCAGCTAACAGAGTTGAACCTTTCTATTGACAGAGCAGTTTTGAAACAGTCTTTCTGTGGAATCTGCAAGTGGGATATTTGGATAGCTTGGAGGATTTCGTTGGAAACGGGATTAAGTATAAAAAGTAGACAGCAGCCTCCTCAGAAACTTCTCTGTGATGTGTGCATTCAAGTCACAGAGTTGAACATTCCCTTTCGTACAGCAGTTTTGAAACACTCTTTCTGTAGTATCTGGAAGTGAACATTAGGACAGCTTTCAGGTCTATGGTGAGAAAGGAAATATATTCAAATAAAAACTAGACAGAAGAATTCTCATCAACTTGTTTGTGATGTGTGAACTCAGCTAACACACGTGGATCTTTCTTTTGATAGAGCAGTTCTGAAAAACACTTTGTTGAATCTGCAAGTGGACATTTGGATAGATTTCAAGATTTCGTTGGAAACGGGAATATCTTCATATCAAATCTAGACAGAAGCATCCTCAGAAACGTCTTGTGATGTTTGCATTCAACTCATAGAGTTGAACATTCCGTTTCAGAGAGCAGCTTTGAAGCACTCTTTTTGTAGTATGTGCAAATGGATATTTGGATCGCTGTGAGGCCTAAGGTGAAAAAGCAAATATCTTCCCATAACCACTAGACAGAAACATTCTCAGAAACTCCTTTATGACGTATGCACTCACCTAACAGAGAAGAACCTTCCTTTTGACAGAGCAATTTTGATACACTCTTTTTGTAGAATCTGCAAGTGGATATTTGGATAGCTGTGAAGATTTCGTTGGAAACGGGAATATCTTCCTATAAAATCTAGACAGAAGCATTCTCAGAAACTGCTCTGTGATGTCTGCATTCAAGTCACAGAGTTGAACATTGCCTTTCATAGAGCAGGTTTGAAACGCTCTTTTTGTAGTATATGGAAGTGGACATTTCGGACGGTTTGAGGCCCATGGTGATAAAGGGAATATCTTCCCCTACAAGCTAGAAAGAAGCATTCTGTGAAACTTGTTTGTGATGTGTGTACTCAAGTAACAGAGTTGAACCTTTCTTTTTACAGAGCAGTTTTGAAACACTCTTTTTGTAGAATCTGCGAGGGGATATTTGGATAGATTTCAGGATTTCGTTGGAAACGGGAATATCTTCATACAAAATCTCGACAGAAGCATTCTCAGAAACTTCTTTGTGATATCTGCCTTCAAGTCACAGAGTTGAATATTCCCTTTCTCAGAGTAGGTATGAAACACTCTTTTTGTAGTATCTGGAAGTGGACATTTGGAGCGACTTGACACCTACGGTGAAAAGGGAAATATCTTCCCATAAAAACTAGACAGAAGCAATCTCAGAATCTTCTTTGGGATATATGCACGCAGCTAACAGAGTTGAACCTTTCTATTGACCGAGCAGTTTTGAAACAGTCTTTCTGTGGAATCTGCAAGTGGATATTTTGATAGTTGGAGGATTTCGTTGGAAACGGGATTACGTATAAAAAGTAGACAGCCGCATCCTCAGAAACTTCTTTGTGATGTGTGCATTCAAGTCACAGAGTTGAACATTCCCTTTCGTACAGCAGTTTTGAAACACTCTTTCTGTAGTATCTGGAAGTGAACATTAGGACAGCTTTCAGGTCGATGGTGAGAAAGGAAATATCTTCAAATAAAAACTAAACAGAAGCATTCTCATAAACTTGTTTGTGATGTGTGAACTCAGCTAACAGACGTGGATCTTTCTTTTGATACAGCAGTTTTGAAAAACACTTTTTGTTGAATCTGCAAGTGGACATTTGGATAGATTTGAAGATTTCCGTTGGAAACGGGAATATCTTCATATCAAATCTAGACAGAAGCATTCTCAGAAACGTCTTTGTGATGTTTGCATTCAACTCATAGAGTTGAACATTCCGTTTCAGAGAGCAGCTTTGAAGCACTCTTTTTGTAGTATGTGCAAGGGGATATTTTGAGCGCTCTGAGGCCTAAGGTGAAAAAGCAAATATCTTCCCATAACCACTAGACAGAAACATTCTCAGAAACTCCTTTATGACGTATGTACTCAACTAACAGAGAAGAACCTTCCTTTTGACAGAGCAGTTTTGATACCCTCTTTTTGTAGAATCTGCAAGTGGATATTTGGATAGCTGTGAAGATTTCGTTGGAAACGGGAATATCTTCCTATAAAATCTAGACAGAAGCATTCTCAGAAACTGCTCTGTGATGTCTGCATTCAAGTCACAGAGTTGAACATTGCCTTTCATAGAGCAGGTTTGAAACGCTCTTTTTGTTGTATATGGAAGTGGACGTTTCGGACGGTTTGAGGCCCATGGTGATAAAGGGAATATCTTCCCCTACAAGCTAGAAAGAAGCATTGTGTGAAACTTGTTTGTGATGTGTGTACTCAACTAACAGAGTTGAACCTTTCTTTTTACAGAGCAGTTTTGAAACACTCTTTTTGTAGAATCTGCGAGCGGATATTTGGATAGATTTCAGGATTTCGTTGGAAACGGGAATATCTTCATATAAAATCTCGACAGAAGCATTCTCAGAAACTTCTTTGTGATATCTGCATTCAAGTCACAGAGTTGAATATTCCCTTTCACAGAGTAGGATTGGAACACTCTTTTTGTAGTATCTGGAAGTGGACATTTGGAGCGCCTTGACGCCTACGGTGAAAAGGGAAATATCTTCCCATAAAAACTAGACAGAAGCAATCTCAGAATCTTCTTTGGGATATATGCACGCAGCTAACAGAGTTGAACCTTTCTATTGACAGAGCAGTTTTGAAACAGTCTTTCTGTGGAATCTGCAAGTGGATATTTGGATAGCTTGGAGGTTTTCTTTGGAAACGGGATTACGTATAAAAAGTAGACTGCAGCATCCTCAGAAACTTCTTTGTGATGTGTGCATTCAAGTCACAGAGTTGAACATTCCCTTTCGTACAGCAGTTTTGAAACACTCTTTCTGTAGTATCTGGAAGTGAACATTAGGACAGCTTTCAGGTCTATGGTGAGAAAGGAAATATCATCAAATGAAAACTAGACAGAAGCATTCTCATAAACTTGTTTGTGATGTGTCAACTCAGCTAAGAGAGGTGGATCTTTCTTTTGATAGAGCAGTTCTGAAAAACACTTTTTGTTGAATCTGCAAGTGGACATTTGGATAGATTTGAAGATTTCGTTGGAAACGGGAATATCTTCATATCAAATCTAGACAGAAGCATTCTCGGAAACGTCTTTGTGATGTTTGCATTCAACTCAAGGAGTTGAACATTCACTTTCAGAGAGCAGCTTTGAAGCACTCTTTTTGTAGTATGTGCAAGTGGATATTTGGATCGCTCTGAGGCCTAAGGTGAAAAAGCAAATATCTTCCCATAACCACTAGACAGAAACATTCTCAGAAACTCCTTTATGACGTATGCACTCACCTAACAGAAAAGAACCTTCCTTTTGACAGAGTAGTTTTGATACACTCTTTTTGTAGAATCTGCAAGTGGATATTTGGATAGCTGTGAAGATTTCGTTGGAAACGGGAATATCTTCCTATAAAATCTAGACAGAAGCATTCTCAGAAACTGCTCTGTGATGTCTGCATTCAAGTCACAGAGTTGAACATTGCCTTTCATACAGCAGGTTTGAAACGCTCTTTTTGTAGTATATGGAAGTGGACTTATCGGACGGTTTGAGGCCCATGGTGATAAAGGGAATATCTTCCCCTACAAGCTAGAAAGAAGCATTCTGTGAAACTTGTTTGTGATGTGTGTACTCAACTAACAGAGTTGAACCTTTCTTTTTACAGAGCAGTTTTGAAACACTCTTTTTGTAGAATCTGTGAGGGGATATTTGGATAGATTTCAGGATTTTGTTGGAAACGGGAATATCTTCATATAAAATCTCGACAGAAGCATTCTCAGAACCTTCTTTGTGATATCTGCATTCAAGTCACAGAGTTGAATATTCCCTTTCACTGAGTAGGTTTGAAACACTCTTTTTGTAGTATCTGGAAGTAGACATTTGGAGCGCCTTGACGCCTACGGTGAAAAGGGAAATATCTTCTCATAAAAAGTAGACAGAAGAAATCTCAGAATCTTCTTTGGGACATATGCACGCAGCTAACAGAGTTGAACCTTTCTATTGACAGAGCAGTTTTGAAACAGTCTTTCTGTGGAATCTGCAAGTGGATATTTGGTTAAATTGGAGGATTTCGTTGGAAACGGGATTACGTATAAAAATAGACAGCAGCATCCTCAGAAACTTCTTTGTGATGTGTGCATTCAAGTCACAGAGTTGAACATTCCCTTTCGTACAGCAGTTTTGAAACACTCTTTCTGTAGTATCTGGAAGTGAACATTAGGCCAGCTTTCAGGTCTATGGTGAGAAAGGAAATATCTTCAAATAAAAACTAGACAGAAGCATTCTCATAAACTTGTTTGTGATGTGTGAACTCAGCTAACAGAGGTGGATCTTTCTTTTGATAGAGCAGTTTTGAAAAACACTTTTTGTTGAATCTGCAAGTGGACATTTGGATAGATATGAAGATTTCGTTGGAAACGGGAATATCTTCATATCAAATCTAGACAGAAAGCATTCTCAGAAACGTCTTTGTGATGTTTGCATTCAACTCATAGAGTTGAACATTCCGTTTCAAAGAGCAGCTTTGAGGCACTCTTTTTGTAGTATGTGCAAGTGGATATTTGGAGCGCTCTGAGGCCTACGGTGAAAAAGCAAATATCTTCCCATAACCACTAGACAGAAACATTCTCAGAAACTCCTTTATGACGTATGCACTCACCTAACAGAGAAGAACCTTCCTTTTGACAGAGCAGTTTTGATACACTCTTTTTGTAGAATCTGCAAGTGGATATTTGGATAGCTGGGAAGATTTCGTTGGAAACGGGAATATCTTCCTATAAAATCTAGACAGAAGCATTCTCAGCAAACTGCTCTGTGATGTCTGCATTCAAGTCACAGAGTTGAACATTGCCTTTCATAGAGCAGGTTTGAAACGCTCTTTTTGTAGTATATGTAAGTAGACGTTTCGGACGGTTTGAGGCCCATGGTGATAAAGGGAATATCTTCCCCTACAAGCTAGAAAGAAGCATTCTGTGAAACTTGTTTGTGATGTGTGTACTCAACTAACAGAGTTGAACCTTTCTTTTTACAGAGCAGTTTTGAAACACTCTTTTTGTAGAATCTGCGAGGGGATATTTGGATAGATTTCAGGATTTCGATGGAAACGGGAATATCTTCATATAAAATCTCGACAGAAGCATTCTCAGAAACTTCTTTGTGATATCTGCATTCAAGTCACAGAGTTGAATATTCCCTTTCACAGAGTAGGTTTGAAACACTCTTTTTGTAGTATCTGGAAGTGGACATTTGGAGCACCTTGACACCTATGGTGAAAAGGGAAATATCTTCCGATAAAAACTAGACAGAAGCAATCTCAGAATCTTCTTTGGGATATATGCACGCAGCTAACAGAGTTGAACCTTTCTATTGACAGAGCAGTTTTGAAACAGTCTTTCTGTGGAATCTGCAAGTGGATATTTGGATAGCTTGGAGGATTTCGTTGGTAACGGGATTACGTATAAAAAGTAGACAGCAGCATCCTCAGCAAACTTCTTTGTGATGTGTGCATTCAAGTCACAGTAGTTGAACATTCCCTTTCGTACAGCAGTTTTGAAACACTCTTTCTGTAGTATCTGGAAGTGAACATTAGGACAGCTTTCAGGTCTATGGTGAGAAAGGAAATATCTTCAAATAAAAACTAGACAGAAGCATTCTGATAAACTTGTTTGTGAAGTGTGAACTCAGCTAACAGAGGTGGATCTTTCTTTTGATAGAGCAGTTCTGAAAAACACTTTTTGTTGAATCTGCAAGTGGACATTTGGATAGATTTGAAGATTTCGTTGGAAACGGGAATATCTTCATATCAAATACTAGACAGAAGCATTCTCAGAAACGTCTTTGTGATGTTTGCATTCAACTCATAGAGTTGAACATTCCCTTTCAGAGAGCAGCTTTGAAGCACTCTTTTTGTAGTATGTGCAAGTGGACATTTGGAGCGCTCTGAGGCCTACGGTGAAAAAGCAAATATCTTCCCATAACCACTAGACAGAAACATTCTCAGAAACTCCTTTATGACGTATGCACTCACCTAACAGAGAAGAACCTTCCTTTTGACAGAGGAGTTTTGATACACTCTTTTTGTAGAATCTGCAAGTGGATATTTGGATAGCTGTGAAGATTTCGTTGGAAACGGGAATATCTTCCTATAAAATCTAGACAGAAGCATTCTCAGAAACTGCTCTGTGATGTCTGCATTCAAGTCACAGAGTTGAACATTGCCTTTCATAGAGCAGGTTTGAAACGCTCTTTTTTTAGTATATGGAAGTGGACTTATCGGACGGTTTGAGGCCCATGGTGATAAAGGGAATATCTTCCCCTACAAGCTAGAAAGAAGCATTCTGTGAAACTTGTTTGTGATGTGTGTACTCAACTAACAGAGTTGAACCTTTCTTTTTAAAGAGCAGTTTTGAAACACTCTTTTTGTAGAATCTGCGAGGGGATATTTGGATAGATTTCAGGATTTCGTTGGAAACGGGAATATCTTCTTATAAAATCTCGACAGAAGCATTCTCAGAAACTTCTTTGTGATATCTGCATTACAGTCACAGAGTTGAATATTCCCTTTCACAGAGGAGGTTTGAAACACTCTTTTTATAGTATCTGGAATTGGACATTGGAGCGCCTTGACGCCTACGGTGAAAAGGGAAATATCTTCCCATAAAAACTAGACAGAAGCAATCTCAGAATCTTCTTTGGGATATATGCACGCAGCTAACAGAGTTGAACCTTTCTATTGACAGAGCAGTTTTGAAACAGTCTTTCTGTGGAATCTGCAAGTGGATATTTGGATAGCTTGGAGGATTTCTTTGGAAACGGGATTACGTATAAAAAGTAGACAGCACCATCCTCAGAAACTTCTTTGTGATGTGTGCATTCAAGTCACAGAGTTGAACATCCCGTTTCGTACAGCAGTTTTGAAACACTCTTTCTGTAGTATCTGGAAGTAAGCATTAGGATAAGCATTAGGACAGCTTTCAGGTCTATGGTGAGAAAGGAAATATCTTCAAATAAAAACTAGACAGAAGCATTCTCATAAACTTGTTTGTGATGTGTGAACTCAGCTAACAGAGGTGGATACTTCTTTTGATAGAGCAGTTCTGAAAAACACTTTTAGTTGAATCTGCAAGTGGACATTTGGATAGATTTGAAGATTTCGTTGGAAACGGGAATATCTTCATATCAAATCTAGACAGAAGCATTCTCAGAAACGTCTTTGTGATGTTTGCATTCAACTCATAGAGTTGAACATTCCGTTTCAGAGAGCAGCTTTGAAGCACTCTTTTTGTAGTATGTGCAAGTGGATATTTGGATCGCTGTGAGGCCTAAGGTGAAAAAGCATATATCTTCCCATAACCACTAGACAGAAACATTCTCAGAAACTGCTTTATGACGTATGCACTCACCTAACAGAGAAGAACCTTCCTTTTGACAGAGCAGCTTTGATACACTCTTTTTGTAGAATCTGCAAGTGGATATTTGGATAGCTGTGAAGATTTCGTTGGAAACGGGAATATCTTCCTATAAAATCTAGACAGAAGCATTCTCAGAAACTGCTCTGTGATGTCTGCATTCAAGTCACAGAGTTGAACATTGCCTTTCATAGAGCAGGTTTGAAACGCTCTTTTTGTAGAATATGGAACTGGATGTTTCGGACGGTTGGAGGCCCATGGTGATAAAGGGAATATCTTCCCCTACAAGCTAGAAAGAAGCATTGTGTGAAACTTCTTTGTGATGTGTGTACTCAACTAACAGAGTTGAACCTTTCTTTTTACAGAGCAGTTTTGAAACACTCTTTTTGTAGAATCTGCAAGGGGATATTTGGATACATTTCAGGATTTCGTTGGAAACGGGAATATCTTCATATAAAATCTCGACAGAAGCATTCTCAGAAACTTCTTTGTGATATCTGCATTCAAGTCACAGAGTTGAATATTCCCTTTCACAGAGTAGGTTTGAAACACTCTTTTTGTAGTATCTGGAAGTGGACATTTGGAGCGTCTTGACACCTACGGTGAAAAGGGAAATATCTTCCCATAAAAACTAGACAGAAGCAATCTCAGCAATCTTCTTTGGGATATATGTACGCAGCTAATAGAGTTGAACCTTTCTATTGACAGAGCAGTTTTGAAACAGTCTTTCTGTGGAATCTGCAAGTGGATATTTGGATAGCTTGGAGGATTTCGTTGGAAACGGGATTACGTATAAAAAGTAGACAGCAGCATCCTCAGAAACTTCTTTGTGATGTGTGCATTCAAGTCACAGAGTTCAACATTCCCTTTCGTACAGCAGTTTTGAAACACTCTTTCTGTAGTATCTGGAAGTGAACATTAGGACAGCTTTCAGGTCTATGGTGAGAAAGGAAATATCTTCAAATAAAAACTATACAGAAGCATTCTCATAAACTTGTTTGTGATGTGTGAACTCAGCTAACAGAGGTGGATCTTTCTTTTGATAGTGCAGTTCTGAAAAACACTTTTTGTTGAATCTGCAAGTGGACATTTGGATAGATTTGAAGATTTCGTTGGAAACGGGAATATCTTCATATCAAATCTAGACAGAAGCATTCTCAGAAACGTCTTTGCGATGTTTGCATTCAACTCATAGAGTTGAACATTCCGTTTCAGAGAGCAGCTTTGAAGCACTCTTTTTGTAGTATGTGCAAGGGGATATTTGGAGCGCTCTGAGGCCTACGGTGAAAAAGCAAATATCTTCCCATAATCACTAGACAGAAACATTCTCAGAAACTCCTTTATGACGTATGCACTCATCTAACAGAGAAGAACCTTCCTTTTGACAGAGCAGTTTTGATACACTCTTTTTGTAGAATCTGCAAGTGGATATTTGGATAGCTGTGAAGATTTCGTTGGAAACGGGAATATCTTCCTATAAAATCTAGACAGAAGCATTCTCAGAAACTGCTCTGTGATGTCTGCATTCAAGTCACAGAGTTGAACATTGCCTTTCATAGAGGAGGTTTCAAACACTCTTTTTGTAGTATATGGAAGTGGACGTTTCGGACGGTTTGAGGCCCATGGTGATAAAGGGAATATCTTCCCCTACAAGCTAGAAAGAAGCATTCTGTGAAACTTGTTTGTGCTGTGTGTACTCAACTAACAGAGTTGAACCTTTCTTTTTACAGAGCAGTTTTGAAACACTCTTTTTGTAGAATCTGCGAGGGGATATTTGGATAGATTTCAGGATTTCGTTGGAAACGGGAATATCTTCATATAAAATCTCGACAGAAGCATTCTCAGAAACTTCTTTGTGATATGTGCATTCAAGTCACAGAGTTGAATATTCCCTTTCAGAGAGTAGGTTTGAAACACTCCTTTTGTAGTATCTGGAAGTGGACATTTGGAGCGCCTTGACGCCTACGGTGAAAAGGGAAATATCTTCCCATAAAAACTAGACAGAAGCAATCTCAGAATCTTCTTTGGGATATATGCACGCAGCTAACAGAGTTGAACCTTTCTATTGACAGAGCAGTTTTGAAATAGTCTTTCTGTGGAATCTGCAAGTAGATATTTGGATAGCTTGGAGGATTTCGTTGGAATCGGGATTACGTATAAAAAGTAGACAGCAGCATCCTCAGCAAACTTCTTTGTGATGTGTGCATTCAAGTCACAGAGTTGAACATTCCCTTTCGTACAGCAGTTTTGAAACACTCTTTCTGTAGTAACTGGAAGTGAACACTAGGACAGCTTTCAGGTCTATGGTGAGAAAGGAAATATCTTCAAATAAAAACTAGACAGAAGCATTCTCATAAACTTGTTTGTGATGTGTGAACTCAGCTAACAGAGGTGGATCTTTCTTTTGATAGAGCAGTTCTGAAAAACACTTTTTGATGAATCTGCAAGTGGACATTTGGATAGATTTGAAGATTTCGTTGGAAACGGGAATATCTTCATATCAAATCTAGACAGAAGCATTCTCAGAAACGTCTTTGTGATGCTTGCATTCAACTCATAGTAGTTGAACATTCCCTTCCAGAGAGCAGCTTTGAAGCACTCTTTTTATAGTATGTGCAAGGGGATATTTGGAGCGCTCTGAGGCCTAAGGTGAAAAAGCAAATATCTTCCCATAACCACTAGACAGAAACATTCTCAGAAACTCCTTTATGACGTATGCACTCAACTAACAGAAAAGAACCTTCCTTTTGACAGAGCAGTTTTGATACACTCTTTTTGTAGAATCTGCAAGTGGATATTTGGATAGCTGTGAAGATTTCGTTGGAAACGGGAATATCTTCCTATAAAATCTAGACAGAAGCATTCTCAGAAACTGCTCTGTGATGTCTGCATTCAAGTCACAGAGTTGAACATTGCCTTTCATAGAGCAGGTTTGAAACGCTCTTTTTGTAGTATATGGAAGTAGACGTTTCGGACGGTTTGAGGCCCATGGTTATAAAGGGAATATCTTCCCCTACAAGCTAGAAAGAAGCATTCCGTGAAACTTGTTTGTGATGTGTGTACTCAACTAACAGAGTTGAACCTTCCTTTTCACAGAGCAGTTTTGAAACACTCTTTTTGTAGAATCTGCGAGGGGATATTTGGATAGATTTCAGGATTTCGTTGGAAACGGGAATATCTTCATATAAAATCTCGACAGAAGCATTCTCAGAAACTTCTTTGTGATATGTGCATTCAAGTCACAGAGTTGAATATTCCCTTTCACAGAGTAGGTTTGAAACACTCTTTTTGTAGTATCTGGAAGTGGACATTTGGAGCGCCTTGACACCTACGGTGAAAAGTGAAATATCTTCCCATAAAAACTAGACAGAAGCAATCTCAGAATCTTCTTTGAGATATATGCACGCAGCTAATAGAGTTGAACCTTTCTATTGACAGAGCAGTTTTGAAACAGTCTTTCTGTGGAATCTGCAAGTGGATATTTGGATAGCTTGGAGGATTTCGTTGGAAACGGGATTACGTATAAAAAGTAGACAGCAGCATCCTCAGAAACTTCCTTGTGATGTGTGCATTCAAGTCACAGAGTTGAACATTCCCTTTCATACAGCAGTTTTGAAACACTCTTTCTGTAGTATCTGGAAGTGAACATTAGGACAGCTTTCAGGTCTATGGTGAGAAAGGAAATATCTTCAAATAAAAACTAGACAGAAAGCATTCTCATAAACTTGTTTGTGATGTGTGAACTCAGCTAACAGAGGTGGATCTTTCTTTTGATAGAGCAGTTCTGAAAAACACTTTTTGTTGAATCTGCAAGTGGAGATTTGGATAGATTTGAAGATTTCGTTGGAAACGGGAATATCTTCATATCAAATCTAGACAGAAGCATTCTCAGAAACGTCTTTGTGATGTTTGCATTCAACTCATAGAGTTGAACATTCCGTTTCAGAGAGCAGCTTTGAAGCACTCTTTTTGTAGTATGTGCAAGTGGATATTTGGAGAGCTCTGACGCCTACGGTGAAAAAGCAAATATCTTCCCATAACCACTAGACAGAAACATTCTCAGAAACTCCTTTATGACGTATGCACTCACCTAACAGAGAAGAACCTTCCTTTTGACAGAGCAGGTTTGATACACTCTTTTTGTAGAATCTGCAAGTGGATATTTGGATAGCTGTGAAGATTTTGTTGGAAACGGGAATATCTTCCTATAAAATCTAGACAGAAGCATTCTCAGAAACTGCTCTGTGATGTCTGCATTCAAGTCACAGAGTTGAACATTGCCTTTCATAGAGCAGGTTTGAAACGCTCTTTTTGTAGTATATGGAAGTGGATGTTTCAGACGGTTGGAGGCCCATGGTGATAAAGGGAATATCTTCCCCTACGAGCTAGAAAGAAGCATTCTGTGAAACTTGTTTGTGATGTGTGTACTCAACTAACAGAGTTGAACCTTTCTTTTCACAGAGCAGTTTTGAAACACTCTTTTTGTAGAATCTGCGAGGGGATATTTGGATAGATTTCAGCATTTCGTTGGAAACGGGAATATCTTCATATAAAATCTCGACAGAAGCATTCTCAGAAACTTCTTTGTGATATGTGCATTCAAGTCACAGAGTTGAATATTCCCTTTCACAGAGTAGGTTTGAAACACTCTTTTTGTAGTGTCTGGAAGTGGACATTTGGAGCGCCTTGACGCCTACGGTGAAAAGGGAAATATCTTCCCATAAAAACTAGACAGAAGCAATCTCAGAATCTTCTTTGGGATATATGCACGCAGCTAACAGAGTTTAACCTTTCTATTGACAGAGCAGTTTTGAAACAGTGTTTCTGTGGAATCTGCAAGTGGATATTTGGATAGATTGGAGGATTTCGTTGGAAACGGGATTACATATAAAAAGTAGACATCAGCATCCTCAGAAACTTCTTTGTGATGTGTGCATTCAAGTCACAGAGTTGAACATTCCCTTTCGTACAGCAGTTTTGAAACACTCTTTCTGTATTATCTGGGAGTGAACATTAGGACAGCTTTCAGGTCTATGGTGAGAAAGGAAATATCTTCAAATAAAAACTAGACAGAAAGCATTCTCATAAACTTGTTTGTGATGTGTGAACTCAGCTAACAGAGGTGGATCTTTCTTTTGATAGAGCAGTTCTGAAAAACACTTTTTTTTGAATCTGCAAGTGGACATTTGGATAGATTTGAAGATTTCTTTGGAAACGGGAATATCTTCATATCAAATCTAGACAGAAGCATTCTCAGAAACGTCTTTGTGATGTTTGCATTCAACTCATAGAGTTGAACATTCCGTTTCAGAGAGCAGCTTTGAAGCACTCTTTTTGTAGTATGTGCAAGTGGATATTTGGAGCGCTCTGAGGCCTACGGGGAAAAAGCAAATATCTTCCCATAAACACTAGACTGAAACATTCTCAGAAACTCCTTTATGACGTATGCACTCACCTAACAGAGAAGAACCTTCCTTTTGACAGAGCAGTTTTGATACACTCTTTTTGTAGAATCTGCAAGTGCATATTTGGATAGCTGTGAAGATTTCGTTGGAAACGGGAATATCTTCCTATAAAATCTAGACAGAAGCATTCTCAGAAACTGCTCTGTGATGTCTGCATTCAAGTCACAGAGTTGAACATTGCCTTTCATGGAGCAGGTTTGAAACGGTCTTTTTGTAGTATATGGAAGTGGACGATTCGGACGGTTTGAGTCCCATGGTGATAAAGGGAATATCTTCCCCTACAAGCTAGAAAGAAGCATTCTGTGAAACTTGTTTGTGATGTGTGTACTCAACTAACAGAGTTGAACCTTTCTTTTTACAGAGCAGTTTTGAAACACTCTTTTTGTAGAATCTGCGAGGGGATATTTGGATAGATTTCAGGATTTCCTTGGAAACGGGAATATCTTCATATAAAATCTCGACAGAAGCATTCTCATAAACTTCTTTGTGATGTGTGAACTCAGCTAACCGAGGTGGATCTTTCTTTTGATAGAGCAGTTCTGAAAAAAACTTTTTGTTGAATCTGCAAGTGGACATTTGGATAGATTTGAAGATTTCGTTGGGAACGGGAATATCTTCATATCAAATCTAGACAGAAGCAATCTCAGAATCTTCCTTGGGATATATGCACGCAGTTAACAGAGTTGAACCTTTCTATTGACAGAGCAGTTTTGAAACAGTCTTTCCGTGGAATCTGCAAGTGGATATTTGGTTAGCTTGGAGGATTTCGTTGGAAACGGGATTACGTATAAAAATTAGACAGCAGCATCCTCAGAAACTTCTTTGTGATGTGTGCATTCAAGTCACAGATTTGAACATTTCCTTTCGTACAGCAGCTTTGAAACACTCTTTCTGTAGTATCTGGAAGTGAACATTAGGACAGCTTTCAGGTCTATGGTGAGAAAGGAAATATCTTCAAATAAAAACTAGACAGAATCATTCTCATAAACTTGTTTGTGATGTGTGAACTCAGCTAACAGAGGTGGATCTTTCTTTTGATAGAGCAGTTCTGAAAAACACTTTTTGTTGAATCTGCAAGTGGACATTTGGATAGATTTGAAGATTTCGTTGGAAACGGGAATATCTTCATATCAAATCTAGACAGAAAGCATTCTCAGAAACGTCTTTGCGATGTTTGCATTCAACTCATAGAGTTGAACATTCCCTTTGAGTGAGTAGCTTTGAAGCACTCTTTTTGTAGCATGTGCAAGTGGACATTTGGAGCGCCCTGAGGCCTACGGGGAAAAAGCAAATATCTTCCCATAACCACTAGACAGAAACATTCTCAGAAACTCCTTTATGACCTATGCACTCACCTAAAAGAGAAGAACCTTCCTTTTGACAGAGCAGTTTTGATACACTCTTTTTGTAGAATCTGCAAGTGCATATTTGGATAGCTGTGAAGATTTCGTTGGAAACGGGAATATCTTCCTATAAAATCTAGACAGAAGCATTCTCAGAAACTGCTCTGTGATGTCTGCATTCAAGTCACAGAGTTGAACATTGCCTTTCATTTAGCAGGTTTGAAACGCTCTTTTTGTAGTATATGGAAGTGGACGTTTCGGACGGTTTGAGGCCCATGGTGATAAAGGCAATATCTTCCCCTACAAGCTAGAAAGAAGCATTCTGTGAAACTTGTTTGTGATGTGTGTACTCAACTAACAGAGTTGAACCTTTCTTTTTACAGAGCAGTTTTGAAACACTCTTTTTGTAGAATCTGCGAGGGGATATTTGGATACATTTCAGCATTTCGTTGGAAACGGGAATATCTTCATACAAAATCTCGACAGAAGCATTCTCAGAAACTTCCTTGTGATATGTGCATTCAAGTCACAGAGTTGAATATTCCCTTTCACAGAGTAGGTTTGGAACACTCTTTTTGTAGTATCTGGAAGTGGACATTTGGAGCGCCTTGACGCCCACGGTGAAAAGGGAAATATCTTCCCATAAAAACTAGACAGAAGCAATCTCAGAATCTTCTTTGGGATATATGCACGCAGCTAACAGAGTTGAACTTTTCTATTGACAGAGCAGTTTTGAAACAGTCTTTCTGTGGAATCTGCAAGTGGATATTTGGATAGCTTGGAGGATTTCGTTTGAAACGGGATTACGTATAAAAAGTAGACAGCAGCATCCTCAGAAACTTCTTTGTGATGTGTGCATTCAAGTCACAGAGTTGAACATTCCCTTTCGTACAGCAGTTTTGAAACACTCTTTCTGTAGTATCTGAAGTGAACAATAGGACAGCTTTCAGGTCTATGGTGAGAAAGGAAATATCTTCAAATAAAAACTAGACAGAAGCATTCTGATAAACTTGTTTTTGAAGTGTGAACTCAGCTAACAGAGGTGGATCTTTCTTTTGATAGAGCAGTTCTGAAAAACACTTTGTTGAATCTGCAAGTGGACATTTGGATAGATTTGAAGATTTCGTTGGAAACGGGAATATCTTCATATCAAATCTAGACAGAAGCATTCTCAGAAACGTCTTTGTGATGATTGCATTTAACTCATAGAGTTGAACATTCCGTTTCAGAGAGCAGCTTTGAAACACTCTTTTTGTAGTATGTGCAAGTGGATATTTGGAGCGCTCTGAGGCCTAAGGTGAAAAAGCAAATATCTTCCCATAACCACTAGACAGAAACATTCTCAGAAACTTATTTATGACGTATGTACTCAAGTAGCAGAGAAGAACTTTCCTTTTGACAGAGAACTTTGGATACACACTTTTTGTAGTATCTGCAAGTGGATATTTGGATAGGTGTGAAGATTTCGTTGGAAACGGGAATATCTTCATATCAAATCTGACAGAAGCATTCTCAGAAACTGCTCTGTGATGTCTGCATTCAAGTCACAGAGTTGAACATTGCTTTTCATAGAGCAGGTTTGAAACGCTCTTTTTGTAGTATATGGAAGTAGACGTTTCGGACGGTTTGAGGCCCATGGTGATAAACGGAATATCTTCCCCTACAAGCTAGAAAGAAGCATTCTGTGAAACTTGTTTGTGATGTGTGTACTCAACTAACAGAGTTGAACCTTTCTTTTTACAGAGCAGTTTTGAAACACTCTTTTTGTAGAATCTGCGAGGGGATATTTGGATTGATTTCAGGATTTCGTTGGAAACGGGAATATCTTCATATAAAATCTCGACAGAAGCATTCTCAGAAACTTCTTTGTGATATCTGCATTCAAGTCACAGAGTTGAATATTCCCTTTCACAGAGTAGGTTTGAAACACTCTTTTTGTAGTATCTGGAAGTGGACATTTGGAGAGCCTTGACGCCTACGGTGAAAAGGGAAATATCTTCCCATAAAAACTAGACAGAAGCAATCTCAGAATCTTCTTTGTGATATATGCACGCAGCTAACAGAGTTGAACCTTTCTATTGACAGAGCAGTTTTGAAA
This sequence comes from Homo sapiens, assembly GCF_000001405.40. Classification (NCBI taxonomy): domain Eukaryota; kingdom Metazoa; phylum Chordata; class Mammalia; order Primates; family Hominidae; genus Homo; species Homo sapiens. The sequence goes on from NC_000013.11 coordinate 17,017,862, forward strand.
CAGTCTTTCTGTGGAATCTGCAAGTGGATATTTGGATAGCTTGGAGGATTTCGTTGGAAACGGGATTACGTATAAAAATTAGACAGCAGCATCCTCAGAAACTTCTTTGTGATGTGTGCATTCAAGTCACAGTGTTGAACATTCCCTTTCGTACAGCAGTTTTGAAACACTCTTTCTGTAGTATCTGGAAGTGAACATTAAGACAGCTTTCAGGTCTATGGTGAGAAAGGAAATATCTTCAAATAAAAACTAGACAGAAGCATTCTCATAAACTTGTTTGTGATGTGTGAACTCAGCTAACAGAGGTGGATCTTTCTTTTGATAGAGCAGTTCTGAAAAACACTTTTTGTTGAATCTGCAAGTGGACATTTGAATAGATTTGAAGATTTCGTTGGAAACGGGAATATCTTCATATCAAGTCTAGACAGAAGCATTCTCAGAAACGTCTTTGTGATGTTGGCATTCAAATCATAGAGTTGAACATTCCGTTTCAGAGAGCAGCTTTGAGGCACTCTTTTTGTAGTATGTGCAAGTGGATATTTGGAGCGCTCTGAGGCCTACGGTGAAAAAGCAAATATCTTCCCATAACCACTAGACAGAAACATTCTCAGAAACTTCTTTATGACGTATGTACTCAACTAACAGAGAAGAACCTTCCTTTTGACAGAGCAGTTTTGATACACTCTTTTTGGAGAATCTGCAAGTGGATATTTGGATATCTGTGAAGAATTCCTTGGAAACGCAAATATCTTCCTATAAAATCTAAACAAAAAGCATTCTCAGAAACTGCTCTGTGATGTCTGCATTCAAGTCACAGAGTTGAACATTGCCTTTCATAGAGCAGGTTTGAAAGGCTCTTTTTGTAGTATATGGAAGTGGACGTTTCGGACGGTTGGAGGCCCATGGTGATAAAGGGAATATCTTCCCCTACAAGCTAGAAAGAAGCATTCTGTGAAACTTGTTTGTGATGTGTGTACTCAACTAACAGAGTTGAACCTTTCTTTTTACAGAGCAGTTTTGAAACACTCTTTTTGTATAATCTGCGAGGGGATATTTGGATAGATTTCAGGATTTCGTTGGAAACGGGAATATCTTCATATAAAATCTCGACAGAAGCATTCTCAGAAACTTCCTTGTGATATGTGCATTCAAGTCACAGAGTTGAATATTCCCTTTCACAGAGTAGGTTTGAAACACTCTTTTTGTAGTATCTGGAAGTGGACATTTGGAGCGCCTTGAAACCTACGGTGAAAAGGGAAATATCTTCCCATAAAAACTAGACAGAAGCAATCTCAGAATCTTCTTTGGGATATATGCACGCAACTAACAGAGTTGAACCTTTCTATTGACAGAGCAGTTTTGAAACAGTCTTTCTGTGGAATCTGCAAGTGGATATTTGGATAGCTTGCAGGATTTCTTTGGAAATGGGATTACGTATAAAAAGTAGACAGCAACATCCTCAGAAACTTCTTTGTGATGTGTGCATTCAACTCACAGAGTTGAACATTCCCTTTCGTACAGCAGTTTTGAAACACTCTTTCTGTAGTAACTGGAAGTGAACATTAGGACAGCTTTCAGGTCTATGGTGAGAAAGGAAATATCTTCAAATAAAAACTAGACAGAAGCATTCTCATAAACTTGTTTGTGATGTGTGAACTCAGCTAACAGAGGTGGATCTTTCTTTTGATACAGCAGTTTTGAAAAACACTTTTTGTTGAATCCGCAAGTGGACATTTGGATAGATTTGAAGATTTCGTTGGAAACGGGAATATCTTCATATCAAATCTAGACAGAAGCATTCTCAGAAACGTCTTTGTGATGTTTGCATTCAACTCATAGAGTTGAACATTCCGTTTCAGAGAGCAGCTTTGAGGCACTCTTTTTGTAGTATGTGCAAGTGGATATTTGGACCGCTCTGAGGCCTACGGTGAAAAAGCAAATATCTTCCCATAACCACTAGACAGAAACATTCTCAGAAACTCCTTTATGACGTGTGCACTCACCTAACAGAGAAGAACCTTCCTTTTGACAGAGCAGTTTTGATACACTCTTTTTGTAGAATTTGCAAGTGGATATTTGGATAGCTGTGAAGATTTCGTTGGAAACGGGAATATCTTCCTATAAAATCTAGACAGAAGCATTCTCAGAAACTGCTCTGTGATGTCTGCATTCAAGTCACAGAGTTGAACATTGCCTTTCATAGAGCAGGTTTGAAACGCTCTTTTTGTAGTATATGTAAGTAGACGTTTCGGACGGTTTGAGGCCCATGGTGATAAAGGGAATATCTTCCCCTACAAGCTAGAAAGAAGCATTCTGTGAAACTTGTTTGTGATGTGTGTACTCAACTAACAGAGTTGAACCTTTCTTTTTACAAAGCAGTTTTGAAACACTCTTTTTGTAGAATCTGCGAGGGGATATTTGGATAGATTTCAGGATTTCGTTGGAAACGGGAATATCTTCATATAAAATCTCGACAGAAGCATTCTCAGAAACTTCTTTGTGATATGCGCATTCAAGTCACAGTGTTGAATATTCCCTTTCACAGAGTAGGTTTGAAACACTCTTTTTGTAGTATCTGGAAGTGGACATTTGGAGCGCCTTGACACCTATGATGAAAAGGGAAATATCTTCCCATAAAAACTAGACAGAAGCAATCTCAGAATCTTCTTTGGGATATATGCACGCAGCTAACAGAGTTGAACCTTTCTATTGACAGAGCAGTTTTGAAACAGTCTTTCTGTGGAATCTGCAAGTGGATATTTGGATAGCTTGGAGGATTTCGTTGGAAACGGGATTACATATACAAAGTAGACAGCAGCATCCTCAGAAACATCCTTGTGATGTGTGCATTCAAGTCACAGAGTTGAACATTCCCTTTCGTACAGCAGTTTTGAAACACTCTTTCTGTAGTATCTGGAAGTGAACTTTAGCACAGCTTTCAGGTCTATGGTGAGAAAGGAAATATCTTCAAATAAAAACTAGACAGAAGCATTCTCATAAACTTGTTTGTGATGTGTGAACTCAGCTAACAGAGGTGGATCTTTCTTTTGATAGAGCAGTTCTGAAAAACACTTTTTGTTGAATCTGCAAGTGGACATTTGGATAGATTTGAAGATTTCGTTGGAAATGGGAATATCTTCATATCAAATCTAGACAGAAGCATTCTCAGAAACGTCTTTGTGATGTTTGCATTCAACTCATAGAGTTTAACATTCCGTTTCAGAGAGCAGCTTTGAAGCACTCTTTTTGTAGTATGTGCAAGTGGATATTTGGAGCGCTCTGAGGCCTACGGTGAAAAAGCAAATATCTTCCCATAACCACTAGACAGAAACATTCTCAGAAACTCCTTTATGACGTATGTACTCAACTAACAGAGAAGAACCTTCCTTTTGACAGAGCAGATTTGATACACTCTTTTTGTAGAATCTGCAAGTGGATATTTGGATAGCTGTGAAGATTTCGTTGGAAACGGGAATATCTTCCTATAAAATCTAGACAGAAGCATTCTCAGAAACTGCTCTGTGATGTCTGCATTCAAGTCACAGATTTGAACATTGCCTTTCATAGAGCAGGTTTGAAACGCTCTTTTTGTAGTATATGGAAGTGGACGTTTCGGACGGTTTGAGGCCCATGGTGATAAAGGGAATATCTTCCCCTACAAGCTAGAAAGAAGCATTCTGTGAAACTTGTTTGTGATGTGTGTACGCAACTAACAGAGTTGAACCTTTCTTTTTACAGAGCAGTTTTGAAACACTCTTTTTGTAGAATCTGCGAGGGGATATTTGGATACATTTCAGCATTTCGTTGGAAACGGGAATATCTTCATATAAAATCTCGACAGAAGCATTCTCAGAAACTTCTTTGTGATATCTGCCTTCAAGTCACAGAGTTGAATATTCCCTTTCACAGAGTAGGTTTGAAACACTCTTTTTGTAGTATCTGGAAGTGGACATTTGGAGCGCCTTGACGCCTACGGTGAAAAGGGAAATATCTTCCCATAAAAAATAGACAGAAAGCAATCTCAGAATCTTCTTTGGGATATATGCACGCAGCTAACAGAGTTGAACCTTTCTATTGACAGAGCAGTTTTGAAACAGTCTTTCTGTGGAATCTGCAAGTGGATATTTGGATAGCTTGGAGGATTTCGTTGGAAACGGGATTACGTATCAAAAGTAGACAGCAGCATCCTCAGAAACTTCTTTGTGATGTGTGCATTCAAGTCACAGAGTTGAACATTCCCTTTCGTACAGCAGTTTTGAAACACTCTTTCTGTAGTATCTGGAAGTGAACATTAGGACAGCTTTCAGGCCTATGGTGAGAAAGGAAATATCTTCAAATAAAAACTAGACAGAAGCATTCTCATAAACTTGTTTGTGATGTGTGTACTCAGCTAACAGACGTGGATCTTTCTTTTGATAGAGCAGTTCTGAAAAACACTTTTTGTTGAATCTGCAAGTGGACATTTGGATAGATTTGAAGATTTCGTTGGAAACGGGAATATCTTCATATCAAATCTAGACAGAAGCATTCTCAGAAACGCCTTTGTGATGTTTGCATTCAACTCATAGAGTTGAACATTCCCTTTCTGAGAGGAGCTTTGAAGCACTCTTTTTGTAGTATGTGCAAGTGGACATTTGGACCGCTTTGAGGCCTACGGGGAAAAAGCAAATATCTTCCCATAACCACTAGACAGGAACATTCTCAGAAACTTCTTTATGACGTATGTACTCAACTAGCAGAGAAGAACTTTCCTTTTGACAGAGCATTTCTGATACACTCTTTTTGTACTATCTGCAAGTGGATATTTGGATAGCTGTGAAGATTTCGTTGGAAACGGGAATATCTTCCTATAAAGTCTGGACAGAAGCATTCTCAGAAACTGCTCTGTGATGTCTGCATTCAAGTCACAGAGTTGAACATTGCCGTTCATAGAGCAGGTTTGAAACACTCTTTTTGTAGTATATGGAAGTGGACGTTTCGGACGGTTTGAGGCCCATGGTGATAAAGGGAATATCTTCCCATACAAGCTAGAAAGAAGCATTCTGTGAAACTTGTTTGTGATGTGTGTACTCAACTAACAGAGTTGAACCTTTCTTTTTACAGAGCAGTTTTGAAACACTCTTTTTGTAGAATCTGCGAGGGGATATTTGGATAGATTTCAGGATTTCGTTGGAAACGGGAATGTCTTCATATAAAATCTCGACAGAAGCATTCTCAGAAGCTTCTTTGTGATATGTGCATTCAAGTCACAGAGTTCAATATTCCCTTTCACAGAGTAGGTTTGAAACACTCTTTTTGTAGTATCTGGAAGTGGACATTTGGAGCGCCTTGACGCCTACGGTGAAAAGGGTAATATCTTCTCATAAAAAGTAGACAGAAGCAATCTCAGAATCTTCTTTGGGATATATGCACGCAGCTAACAGAGTTGAACCTTTCTATTGACAGAGCAGTTTTGTAACAGTCTTTCTGTGGAATCTGCAAGTGGATATTTGGATAGCTTGGAGGATTACGTTGGAAACGGGATTACGTATAAAAAGTAGACAGCAGCATCCTCAGAAACATCCTTGTGATGTGTGCATTCAAGTCACAGAGTTGAACATTCCCTTTCGTACAGCAGTTTTCAAACACTCTTTCTGTAGTATCTGGAAGTGAACTTTAGGACAGCTTTCAGGTCTATAGTGAGAAAGGATATATCTTCAAATAAAAACTAGACAGAAGCATTCTCATAAACTTGTTTGTGATGTGTGAACTCAGGTAACAGACGTGGATCTTTCTTTTGATACAGCAGTTTTGAAAAACACTTTTTGTTGAATCTGCAAGTGGACATTTGGATAGATTTGAAGATTTCGTTGGAAACGGGAATATCTTCATATCAAATCTAGACAGAAGCATTCTCAGAAACGTCTTTGTGATGTTTCCATTCAACTCATAGAGTTGAACATTCCCTTTCAGAGAGCAGCTTTGAAGCACTCTTTTTGTAGTATGTGCAAGTGGATATTTGGAGCGCTCTGAGGCCTACGGTGAAAAAGCAAATATCTTCCCATAACCACTAGACAGAAACATTCTCAGAAACTCCTTTATGACGTATGCACTCACCTAACAGAGGAGAACCTTCCTTTCGACAGAGCAGTTTTGATACACTCTTTTTGTAGAATCTGCAAGTGGATATTGGGATAGCTGTGAAGATTTCGTTGGAAACGGGAATATCTTCCTATAAAATCTAGACAGAAGCATTCTCAGAAACAGCTCTGTGATGTCTGCATTCAAGTCACAGAGTTGAACATTGCCTTTCATAGAGCAGGTTTGAAACGCTCTTTTTGTAGTATATGGAAGTGGACGTTTCGGACGGTTTGAGGCCCATGGTGATAAAGGGAATATCTTCCCCTACAAGCTAGAAAGAAGCATTCTGTGAAAGTTGTTTGTGATGTGTGTACTCAACTAACAGAGTTGAACCTTTCTTTTTACAGAGCAGTTTTGAAACACTCTTTTTGTAGAATCTGCGAGGGGATATTTGGATAGATTTCAGGATTTCATTGGAAACGGGAATATCTTCATATAAAATCTCGACAGAAGCATTCTCAGAAACTTCTTTGTGATATCTGCTTTCAAGTCACAGAGTTGAATATTCCCTTTCACAGAGTAGGTTTGAAACACTCTTTCTGTAGTATCTGGAAGTGGACATTTGGAGCGCCTTGACACCTACGGTGAAAAGGGAAATATCTTCCCATAAAAACTAGACAGAAGCAATCTCAGAATCTTCTTTGGGATATATGCACGCAGCTAACGGAGTTGAACATTTCTATTGACAGAGCAGTTTTGAAACAGTCGTTCTGTGGAATCTGCAAGTGGATATTTGGATAGCTTGGAGGATTTCGTTGGAAACGGGATTACGTATAAAAAGTAGACAGCAGCATCCTCAGAAACTTCTTTGTGATGTGTGCATTCAAGTCACAGAGTTGAACATTCCCTTTCGTACAGCAGTTTTGACACACTCTTTCTGTAGCATCTGGAAGTGAACATTAGGACAGCTTTCAGGTCTATGGTGAGAAAGGAAATATCTTCAAATAAAAACTAGACAGAAGCATTCTCATAAACTTGTTTGTGATGTGTGAACTCAGCTAACAGAGGTGGATCTTTCTTTTGATAGAGCAGTTCTGAAAAACACTTTTTGTTGAATCTGCAAGTGGACATTAGGATAGATTTGAAGATTTCGTTGGAAACGGGAATATCTTCATATCAAATCTAGACAGAAGCATTCTCAGAAACGTCTTTGTCATGTTTGCATTCAACTCATAGAGTTGAACATTCCCTTTCAGAGAGCAGCTTTGAAACACTCTTTTTGTAGTATGTGCAAGTGGATATTTGGAGCGCTCTGAGGCCTACGGTGAAAAAGCAAATATCTTCCCATAACCACGAGACAGAAACATTCTCAGAAACTCCTTTATGACGTATGTACTCAACTAACAGAGAAGAACCTTCCTTTTGACAGAGCAGTTTTGATACACTCTTTTTGTAGAATCTGCAAGTGGATATTTGGATAGCTGTGAAGATTTCGTTGGAAACGGGAATACCTTCCTATAAAATCTAGACAGAAGCATTCTCAGAAACTGCTCTGTGATGTCTGCATTCAAGTCACAGAGTTGAACATTGCCTTTCATAGAGCAGGTTTGAAACGCTCTTTTTGTAATATATGGAAGTGGACTTTTCGGACGGTTTGAGGCCCATGGTGATAAAGGGAGTATCTTCCCCTACAAGCTAGAAAGAAGCATTCTGTGAAACTTGTTTGTGATGTGTGTACTCAACTAACAGAGTTGAACCTTCCTTTTTACAGAGCAGTTTTGAAACACTCTTTTTGTAGAATCTGCGAGGGGATATTTGGATAGATTTCAGGATTTCGTTGGAAACGGGAATATCTTCATATAGAAATCTCGACAGAAGCATTCTCAGAAACTTCTTTGTGATATGTGCATTCAAGTCACAGAGATGAATATTCCCTTTCACAGAGTAGGTTTGAAACACTCTTTTTGTACTATCTGGAAGTGGACATTTGGAGCGCCTTGACGCCTACGGTGAAAAGGGAAATATCTTCCCATAAAAACTAGACAGAAGCAATCTCAGAATCTTCTTTGGGATATATGCACGCAGCTAACAGAGTTGAACCTTTCTATTGACAGAGCAGTTTTGAAACAGTCTTTCTGTGGAATCTGCAAATGGATATTTGGATAGCTTGGAGGATTTCGTTGGAAACGGGATTACGTATAAAAAGTAGACAGCAGCATCCTCAGGAACCTTCTTTGTGATGTGTGCATTCAAGTCACAGAGTTGAACATTCCCTTTCGTACAGCAGTTTTGAAACACTCTTTCTGTAGTAACTGGAAGTGAACATTAGGACAGCTTTCAGGTCTATGGTGAGAAAGGAAATATCTTCAAATAAAAACTAGACAGAAGCATTCTCATAAACTTGTTTGTGATGTGTGAACTCAGCTAACAGAGGTGGATCTTTCTTTTGATAGAGCAGTTCTGAAAAACACTTTTTGTTGAATCTGCAAGTGGACATTTGGATAGATTTGAAGATTTCGGTGGAAACGGGAATATCTTCATATCAAATCTAGACAGAAGCATTCTTGGAAACGTCTTTGTGATGTTTGCATTCAACTCATAGAGTTGAACATTCCCTTTCAGAGAGCAGCTTTGAAGCACTCTTTTTGTAGTATGTGCAAGTGGATATTTGGAGCGCTCTGAGGCCTACGGTGAAAAAGCAAATATCTTCCCATAACCACTACACAGAAACATTCTCAGAAACTCCTTTATGACGTATGCACTCACCTAACAGAGAAGAACCTTCCTTTTGACAGAGCAGTTTTGATACACTCTTTTTGTAGAATCTACAAGTGGATATTTGGATAGCTGTGAAGATTTCGTTGGAAACGGGAATATCTTCCTATAAAATCTAGACAGAAGCATTCTCAGAAACTGCTCTGTGATGTCTGCATTCAAGTCACAGAGCTGAACATTGCCTTTCATAGAGCAGGTTTGAAACGCTCTTTTTGTAGTATATGTAAGTGGACGTTTCGGACGGTTTGAGGCCCATGGTGATAAAGGGAATATCTTCCCCTACAAGCTAGAAAGAAGCATTCTGTGAAACTTGTTTGTGATGTGTGTACTCAACTAACAGAGTTGAACCTTTCTTTTTACAGAGCAGTTTTGAAACACTCTTTTTGTAGAATCTGCGAGGGGATATTTGGATAGATTTCATGATTTCGTTTGAAACGGGAATATCTTCATATAAAATCTCGACAGAAGCATTCTCAGAAACTTCTTTGTGATATGTGCATTCAAGTCACAGAGTTGAATATTCCCTTTCACAGAGTAGGTTTGAAACACTCTTTTTGTAGTATCTGGAAGTGGACATTTGGAGCGCCTTGACACCTACGGTGAAAAGGGAAATATCTTCCCATAAAACTAGACAGAAGCAATCTCAGAATCTTCTTTGGGATATATGCACGCAGGTAACAGAGTTGAACCTTTCTATTGACAGAGCAGTTTTGAAACAGTCTTTCTGTGGAATCTGCAAGTGGATATTTGGATAGCTTGGAGGATTTCGTTGGAAACGGGATTACGTATAAAAAGTAGACAGCAGCATCCTCAGAAACTTCTTTGTGATGTGTGCATTCAAGTCACAGAGTTGAACATTCCCTTTCGTACAGCAGTTTTGAAACACTCTTTCTGTAGTATCTGGAAGTGAACATTACGACAGCTTTCAGGTCTATGGTGAGAAAGGAAATATCTTCAAATAAAAACTAGACAGAAGCATTCTCATAAACTTGTTTGTGATGTGTGAACTCAGCTAACAGAGGTGGATCTTTCTTTTGATAGAGCAGTTCTGAAAAACACTTTTTGTTGAATCTGCAAGTGGACATTTGGATAGATTTCAAGATTTCGTTGGAAACGGGAATATCTTCATATCAAATCTAGACGGAAGCATTCTCAGAAACGTCTTTGTGATGTTTGCATTCAACTCATAGAGTTGAACATTCCGTTTCAGAGAGCAGCTTTGAGGCACTCTTTTTGTACTATGTGCAAGTGGATATTTGGAGCGCTCTGAGGCCTACGGTGAAAAAGCAAATATCTTCCCATAACCACTAGACAGAAACATTCTCAGAAACTCCTTTATGACGTATGTACTCAACTAACAGAGAAGAACCTTCCTTTTGACAGAGCAGTTTTGATACACTCTTTTTGTAGAATCTGCAAGTGGATATTTGGATAGCTGTGAAGATTTCGTTGGAAACGGGAATACATTCCTATAAAATCTAGACAGAAGCATTCTCAGAAACTGCTCTGTGATGTCTGCATTCAAGTCACAGAGTTGAACATTGCCTTTCCTAGAGCAGGTTTGAAACGCTCTTTTTGTAGTATATGGAAGTGGACGTTTCGGACGGTTTGAGGCCCATGGTGATAAAGGGAATATCTTCCCCTACAAGCTAGAAAGAAAGCATTCTGTGAAACTTGTTTGTGATGTGTGTACTCAACTAATAGAGTTGAACCTTTCTTTTTACAGAGCAGTTTTGAAACACTCTTTTTGTAGAATCTGCGAGGGGATATTTGGATAGATTTCAGGATTTCGTTGGAAACGGGAATATCTTCATAGAAAATCTCGACAGAAGCATTCTCAGAAGCTTCTTTGTGATATGTGCATTCAAGTCACAGAGTTGAATATTCCCTTTCACAGAGTAGGTTTGAAACACTCTTTTTGTAGTATCTGGAAGTGGACATTTGGAGCGCCTTGACGCCTACGGTGAAAAGGGAAATATCTTCTCATAAAAAGTAGACACAAGCAATCTCAGAATCTTCTTTGGGATATATGCACGCAGCTAACAGAGTTGAACCTTTCTATTGACAGAGCAGTTTTGAAACAGTCTTTCTGTGGAATCTGCAAGTGGATATTTGGATAGCTTGGAGGATTTCGTTGGAAACGGGATTACGTATAAAAAGTACACAGCAGCATCCTCAGAAACTTCTTTGTGATGTGTGCATTCAAGTCACAGAATTGAACATTCCCTTTCGTACAGCAGTTTTGAAACACTCTTTCTGTAGTATCTGGAAGTGAACTTTAGGAGAGCTTTCAGGTCTATAGTGAGAAAGGAAATATCTTCAAATAAAAACTAGACAGAAGCATTCTCCTAAACTTGTTTGTGATGTGTGAACTCAGCTAACAGACGTGGATCTTTCTTTTGATACAGCAGTTTTGAAAAACACTTTTTGTTGAATCTGCAAGTGGACATTTGGATAGATTTGAAGATTTCGTTGGAAACGGGAATATCTTCATATCAAATCTAGACAGAAGCATTCTCAGAAACGTCTTTGTGATGTTTACATTCAACTCATAGAGTTGAACATTCCCTTTCAGAGAGCAGCTTTGAAGCACTCTTTTTGTAGCATGTGCAAGTGGACATTTGGAGCGCTCTGAGGTCTACGGGGAAAAAGCAAATATCTTCCCATAACCACTAGACAGAAACATTCTCAGAAACTCCTTTATGACGTATGCACTCACCTAACAGAAAAGAACCTTCCTTTTGACAGAGCAGTTTTGATACACTCTTTTTGTAGAATCTGCAAGTGGATATTTGGATAGCTGTGAAGATTTCGTTGGAAACGGGAATATCTTCCTATAAAATCTCGACAGAAGCATTCTCAGAAACTGCTCTGTGATGTCTGCATTCAACTCACAGAGTTGAACATTGCCTTTCATAGAGCAGGTTTGAAACGCTCTTTTTGTAGTATATGGAAGTGGACGTTTCGGACGGTTTGAGGCCCATGGTGATAAAGGGAATATCTTCCCCTACAAGCTAGAAAGAAAGCATTCTGTGAAACTTGTTTGTGATGTGTGTACTCAACTAACAGAGTTGAACCTTTCTTTTTACAGAGCAGTTTTGAAACACTCTTTTTGTAGAATCTGCGAGGGGATATTTGGATACATTTCAGCATTTCGTTGGAAACGGGAATATCTTCATATAAAATCTCGACAGAAGCATTCTCAGAAACTTCTTTGTGATATCTGCATTCAAGTCACAGAGTTGAATATTCCCTTTCACAGAGTAGGTTTGAAACACTCTTTTTGTAGTATCTGGAAGTGGACATTTGGAGCGCCTTGACACCTACGGTGAAAAGGCAAATATCTTCCCATAAAAACTAGACAGAAGCAATCTCAGAATCTTCTTTGGGATATATGCACGCAGCTAACAGAGTTGAACCTTTCTACTGACAGAGCAGTTCTGAAACAGTCTTTCTGTGGAATATGCAAGTGGATATTTGGATAGCTTGGAGGATTTCGTTGGAAACGGGATTACGTATAAAAAGTAGACAGCAGCATCCTCAGAAACTTCTTTGTGATGTGTGCATTCAAGTCACAGAGTTGAACATTCCCTTTCGTACAACAGTTTTGAAACACTCTTTCTGTAGTATCTGGAAGTGAACATTAGGACAGCTTTCAGGTCTATGGTGAGAAAGGAAATATCTTCAAATAAAAACTAGACAGAAGCATTCTCATAAACTTGTTTGTGATGTGTGAACTCAGCTAACAGAGGTGGATCTTTCTTTTGATAGAGCAGTTCTGAAAAACACTTTTTGTTGAATCTGCAAGTGGACATTTGGATAGATTAGAAGATTTCGTTGGAAACGGGAATATCTTCATATCAAATCTAGACAGAAGCATTCTCAGAAACGTCTTTGCGATGTTTGCATTCAACTCATAGAGTTGAACATTCCGTTTCAGAGAGCAGCTTTGAGGCACTCTTTTTGTAGTATGTGCAAGTGGATATTTGGAGCCCTCTGAGGCCTACGGTGAAAAAGCAAATATCTTCCCATAACCACTAGACAGAAACATTCTCAGAAACTCCTTTGTGACGTATGCACTCACCTAACAGAAAAGAACCTTCCTTTTCACAGAGCAGTTTTGATACACTCTTTTTGTAGAATCTGCAAGTGGATATTTGGATAGCTGTGAAGATTTCGTTGGAAACGGGAATATCTTCCTATAAAATCTAGACAGAAGCATTCTCAGAAACTGCTCTGTGATGTCTGCATTCAAGTCACAGAGTTGAACATTGCCTTTCCTAGAGCAGGGTTGAAATGCTCTTTTTGTAGTATATGGAAGTGGACGTTTCGGACGGTTTGAGGCCCATGGTGATAAAGGGAATATCTTCCCCTACAAGCTAGAAAGAAGCATTCTGTGAAACTTGTTTGTGATGTGTGTACTCAACTAACAGAGTTGAACCTTTCTTTTTACAGAGCAGTTTTGAAACACTCTTTTTGTAGAATCTGCGAGGGGATATTTGGATACATTTCAGGATTTCGTTGGAAACGGGAATATCTTCATATAAAATCCCGACAGAAGCATTCTCAGAAGCTTCTTTGTGATATGTGCATTCAAGTCACAGAGTTGAATATTCCCTTTCACAGAGTAGGTTTGAAACACTCTTTTTGTAGTATCTGGAAGTGGACATTTGGAGCGCCTTGACGCCTACGTTGAAAAGGGAAATATCTTCTCATAAAAAGTAGACAGCAGCAATCTCAGAATCTTCTTTGGGATATATGCACGCAGCTAACAGAGTTGAACCTTTCTATTGACAGAGCAGTTTTGAAACAGTCTTTCTGTGGAATCTGCAAGTGGATATTTGGATAGCTTGGACGATTTCGTTGGAAACGGGATTACGTATAAAAAGTAGACAGCAGCCTCCTCAGAAACTTCTTTGTGATGTGTGCATTCAAGTCACAGAGTTGAACATTCCCTTTCGTACAGCAGTTTTGAAACACTCTTTCTGTAGTATCTGGAAGTGAACATTAGGACAGCTTTCAGGTCTATGGTGAGAAAGGAAATATCTTCAAATAAAAACTAGACAGAAGCATTCTCATAAACTTGTTTGTGATGTGTGAACTCAGCTAACAGACGTGGATCTTTCTTTTGATACAGCAGTTTTGAAAAACACTTTTTGATGAATCTGCAAGTGGACATTTGGATAGATTTGAAGATTTCGTTGGAAACGGGAATATCTTCATATCAAATCTAGACAGAAGCATTCTCAGAAACGTCTTTGGGATGTTTGCATTCAACTCATACAGTTGAACATTCCGTTTCAGAGAGCAGCTTTGAAGCACTCTTTTTGTAGTATGTGCAAGTGGATATTTGGAGCGCTCTGAGGCCTACGGTGAAAAAGCAAATATCTTCCCATAACCACTAGACAGAAACATTCTCAGAAACTCCTTTATCACGTATGCACTCACCCAACAGAGAAGAACCTTCCTTTTGACAGAGCAGTTTTGATACACTCTTTTTGTAGAATCTGCAAGTGGATATTTGGATAGCTGTGAAGATTTCGTTGGAAACGGGAATATCTTCCTATAAAATCTAGACAGAAGCATTCTCAGAAACTGCTCTGTGATGTCTGCATTCAAGTCACAGAGTTGAACATTGCCTTTCCTAGAGCAGGTTTGAAACGCTCTTTTTGTAGTATATGGAAGTGGACGTTTCGGACGGTTTGAGGCCCATGGTGATAAAGGGAATATCTTACCCTACAAGCTAGAAAGAAGCATTCTGTGAAACTTGTTTGTGATGTGTGTACTCAACTAACAGAGTTCAACCTTTCTTTTTACAGAGCAGTTTTGAAACACTCTTTCTGTAGAATCTGCGAGGGGATATTTGGATAGATTTCAGGATTTCGTTGGAAACGGGAATATCTTCATATAAAATCTCGACAGAAGCATTCTCAGAAACTTCTTTGTGATATGTGCATTCAAGTCACAGAGTTGAATATTCCCTTTCACAGAGTAGGTTTGAAACACTCCTTTTGTAGTATCTGGAAGTGGACATTTGGAGCGCCTTGACGCCTACGGTGAAAAGGGAAATATCTTCCCATAAAAACTAGACAGAAGCAATCTCAGAATCTTCTTTGTGATATATGCACCCAGCTAACAGAGTTGAACCTTTCTATTGACAGAGCAGTTTTGAAACAGTCTTTCTGTGGAATCTGCAAGTGGATATTTGGATAGCTTGGAGGATTTCGTTGGAAACGGGATTACGTATAAAAAGTAGACAGCAGCATCCTCAGAAACTTCTTTGTGATGTGTGCATTCAAGTCACAGAGTTGAACATTCCCTTTCGTACAGCAGTGTTGAAACACTCTTTCTGTAGTATCTGGAAGTGAACATTAGGACAGCTTTCAGGTCTATGGTGAGAAAGGAAATATCTTCAAATAAAAACTAGACAGAAGCATTCTGATAAACTTGTTTGTGAAGTGTGAACTCAGCTAACAGAGGTGGATCTTTCTTTTGATAGAGCAGTTCTGAAAAACACTTTGTTGAATCTGCAAGTGGACATTTGGATAGATTTGAAGATTTCGTTGGAAACGGGAATATCTTCATATCAAATCTAGACAGAAGCATTCTCAGAAACGTCTTTGTGATGTTTGCATTCAACTCATAGAGTTGAACATTCCCTTTCAGAGAGCAGCTTTGAAGCACTCTTTTTGTAGTATGTGCAAGTGGATATTTGGAGAACTCTGAGGCCTACGGTGAAAAAGCAAATATCTTCCCATAACCACTAGACAGAAACATTCTCAGAAACTCCTTTATGACGTATGTACTCAACTAACAGAGAAGAACCTTCTTTTTGACTGAGCAGTTTTGATACACTCTTTTTGTAGAATCTGCAAGTGCATATTTGGATAGCTGTGAAGATTTCGTTGGAAACGGGAATATCTTCCTATAAAATCTAGACAGAAGCATTCTCAGAAACTGCTCTGTGATGTCTGCATTCAAGTCACAGAGTTGAATATTCCCTTTCACAGAGTAGGTTTGAAACACTCTTTTTGTAGTATCTGGAAGTGGACATTTGGAGCGCCTTGACGCCTACGGTGAAAAGGGAAATATCTTCCCATAAAAACTAGACAGAAGCATTCTGTGAAACTTGTTTGTGATGTGTGTACTCAACTAACAGAGTTGAACCTTTCTTTTTACAGAGCAGTTTTGAAACACTCTTTTCGTAGAATCTGCGAGGGGATATTTGGATAGATTTCAGGATTTCGTTGGAAACGGGAATATCTTCATATAAAATCTCGACAGAAGCATTCTCTGAAACTTCTTTGTGATATGTGCATTCAAGTCACAGAGTTGAATATTCCCTTTCACAGAGTAGGTTTGAAACACTCTTTTTGTAGTATCTGGAAGTGGACATTTGGAGCGCCTTGACGCCTACGGTGAAAAGGGAAATATCTTCTCATAAAAAGTAGACAGAAGCAATCTCAGAATCTTCTTTGGTATATATGCACGCAGCTAACAGAGTTGAACCTTTCTATTGACAGAGCAGTTTTGAAACAGTCTTTCTGTGGAATCTGCAAGTGGATATTTGGATAGCTTGGAGGATTTCGTTGGAAACGGGATTACGTATAAAAAGTAGACAGCAGCATCCTCAGAAACTTCTTTGTGATGTGTGCATTCAAGTCACAGAGTTGAACATTCCCTTTCGTACAGCAGTTTTGAAACACTCTTTCTGTAGTATCTGGAAGTGAACATTATGACAGCTTTCAGGTCTATGGTGAGAAAGGAAATATCTTCAAATAAAAACTAGACAGAAGCATTCTCATAAACTTGTTTGTGATGTCTGAACTCAGCTAACAGGTGGATCTTTCTTTTGATAGAGCAGTTCTGAAAAACACTTTTTGTTGAATCTGCAAGTGGACATTTGGATAGATTTGAAGATTTCGTTGGAAACGGGAATATCTTCATATCAAATCTAGACAGAAGCATTCCCAGAAACGTCTTTGTGATGTTTGCATTCAACTCATAGAGTTGAACATTCCCTTTCAGAGAGCAGCTTTGAAGCACTCTTTTTGTAGTATGTGCAAGGGGATATTTGGAGTGCTCTGAGGCCTACGGTGAAAAAGCAAATATCTTCCCATAACCACTAGACAGAAACATTCTCAGAAACTCCTTTATGACGTATGCACTCACCTAACAGAGAAGAACCTTCCTTTTGACAGTGCAGTTTTGATACACTCTTTTTGTAGAATCTGCAAGTGGATATTTGGATAGCTGTGAAGATTTCGTTGGAAACGGGAATATCTTCCTATAAAATCTAGACAGAAGCATTCTCAGAAACTGCTCTGTGATGTCTGCATTCAACTCACAGAGTTGAACATTGCCTTTCATAGAGCAGGTTTGAAACACTCTTTTTGTAGTATATGGAAGTGGACGTTTCGGACGGTTTGAGGCCCATGGTGATAAAGGGAATATCTTCCCCTACAAGCTAGAAAGAAGCATTCTGTGAAACTTGTTTGTTATGTGTGTACTCAACTAACAGAGTTGAACCTTTCTTTTCACAGAGCAGTTTTGAAACACTCTTTTTGTAGAATCTGCGAGGGGATATTTGGATAGATTTCAGGATTTCGTTGGAAACGGGAATATCTTCATATAAAATCTCGACAGAAGCATTCTCAGAAACGTCTTTGTGATATGTATATTCAAGTCACAGAGTTGAATATTCCCTTTCACAGAGTAGGTTTGAAACACTCTTTTTGTAGTATCTGGAAGGGGACATTTGGAGCACCTTGACGCCTACGGTGAAAAGGGAAATATCTTCCCATAAAAACTAGACAGAAGCAATCTCAGAATCTTCTTTGGGATATATGCACGCAGCTAACAGAGTTGAACCTTTCTATTGACAGAGCAGTTTTGAAACAGTCTTTCTGTGGAATCTGCAAGTGGATATTTGGATAGATTAGAGGATTTCGTTGGAAACGGGATTACGTATAAAAAGTAGACAGCAGCATCCTCAGAAACTTCTTTGTGATGTGTGCATTCAAGTCACAGAGTTGAACATTCCCTTTCGTACAGCAGTTTTGAAACACTCTTTCTGTAGTATCTGGAAGTGAGCATTAGGAGAGCTTTCAGGTCTATGGTGAGAAAGGATATATCTTCAAATAAAAACTAGACAGAAGTATTCTGATAAACTTGTTTGTGAAGTGTGAACTCAGCTAACAGAGGTGGATCTTTCTTTCGAAACAGCAGTTTCGAAAAACACTTTTTGTTGAATCTGCAAGTGGACATTTGAATAGATTTGAAGATTTCGTTGGAAATGGGAATATCTTCATATCAAATCTAGACAGAAAGCATTCTCAGAAACGTCTTTGTCATGTTTGCATTCAACTCATAGAGTTGAACATTCCCTTTCAGAGAGCAGCTTTGAAACACTCTTTTTGTAGTATGTGCAAGTGGATATTTGGAGCGCTCTGAGGCCTAAGGTGAAAAAGCAAATATCTTCCCATAACCACTAGACAGAAACATTCTCAGAAACTCCTTTAAACGTATGCACTCACCTAACAGAGAAGAACCTTCCTTTTGACAGAGCAGTTTTGATACACTCTTTTTGTAGAATCTGCAAGTGGATATTTGGATAGCTGTGAAGATTTCGTTGGAAACGGGAATATCTTCCTATAAAATCTAGACAGAAGCATTCTCAGAAACTGCTCTGTGATGTCTGCATTCAAGTCACAGAAGTTGAACATTGCCTTTCATAGAGCAGGTTTGAAACGCTCTTTTTGTAGTATATGGAAGTGGACGTTTCGGACGGTTGGAGGCCCACGGTGATAAAGGGAATATCTTCCCCTACAAGCTAGAAAGAAGCATTCTGTGAAACTTGTTTGTGATGTGTGTACTCAACTAATAGAGTTGAACCTTTCTTTTTACAGAGCAGTTTTGAAACACTCTTTTTGTAGAATCTGCGAGGGGATATTTGGATAGATTTCAGGATTTCGTTGGAAACGGGAATATCTTCATATAAAATACTCGACAGAAGCATTAGCAGAAACTTCTTTGTGATATGTGCATTCAAGTCACAGAGTTGAATATTCCCTTTCACAGAGTAGGTTTGAAACACTCTTTTTTTAGTATCTGGAAGTGGACATTTGGAGCGCCTTGACGCCTATGGTGAAAAGGGAAATATCTTCCCATAAAAACTAGACAGAAGCAATCTCAGAATCTTCTTTGTGATATATGCACGCAGCTAACAGAGTTTAACCTTTCTATTGACAGAGCAGTTTTGAAACAGTCTTTCTGTGGAATCTGCAAGTGGATATTTGGATAGATTGGAGGATTTCGTTGGAAACGGGATTACGTATAAAAAGTAGACAGCAGCATCCTCAGAATCTTCCTTGTGACGTGTGCATTCAAGTCACAGAGTTGAACATTCCCTTTCGTACAGCAGTTTTGAAAAACTCTTTCTGTAGTATCTGGAAGTGAACTTTAGGAGAGCTTTCAGGTCTATAGTGAGAAAGGATATATCTTCAAATAAAAACTAGACAGAAGAATTCTGATAAACTTGTTTGTGAAGTGTGAACTCAGCTAACACAGGTGGATCTTTCTTTTGATACAGCAGTTTTGAAAAACACTTTGTTGAATCTGCAAGTGGACATTTGGATAGATTTGAAGATTTCGTTGGAAACGGGAATATCTTCATATCAAATCTAGACAGAAGCATTCTCAGAAACGTCTTTGTGATGTTTGCATTCAACTCATAGAGTTGAACATTCCCTTTCAGAGAGCAGCTTTGAAGCACTCTTTTTGTAGTATGTTCAAGTGGACATTTGGAGCGCTTTGAGGCATACGGGGAAAAAGCAAATATCTTCCCATAACCACTAGACAGAAACATTCTCAGAAACTCCTTTATGACGTATGCACTCACCTAACAGAGAAGAACCTTCCTTTTGACAGAGCAGTTTTGATACACTCTTTTTGTAGAATCTGCAAGTGGATATTTGGATAGCTGTGAAGATTTCGTTGGAAATGGGAATATCTTCCTATAAAATCTAGACAGAAGCATTCTCAGAAACTGCTCTGTGATGTCTGCATTCAAGTCACAGAGTTGAACATTGCCTTTCATAGAGCAGGTTTGAAACGCTCTTTTTGTAATATATGGCAGTGGACGTTTCGGACGGTTTGAGGACCATGGTGATAAAGGGAATATCTTCCCCTACAAGCTAGAAAGAAGCATTCTGTGAAACTTGTTTGTGATGTGTGTACTCAACTAACAGAGTTGTACCTTTCTTTTCACAGAGCAGTTTTGAAACACTCTTTTTGTAGAATCTGCGAGGGGATATTTGGATAGATTTCAGGATTTCGTTGGAAACGGGAATATCTTCATATAAAATCTCGACAGAAGCATTCTCAGAAACTTCTTTGTGATATCTGCATTCCAGTCACAGAGTTGAATATTCCCTTTCACAGAGTAGGTTTGAAACACTCTTTTTGCAGTATCTGGAAGTGGACATTTGGAGCGCCTTGACGCCTACGGTGAAAAGGGAAATATCTTCCCATAAAAACTAGACAGAAGCAATCTCCGAATCTTCTTTGGGATATATGCACGCAGCTAACAGAGTTGAACCTTTCTATTGACAGAGCAGTTTTGAAACAGTCTTTCTGTGGAATCTGCAAGTGGATATTTGGATAGCTTGGAGGATTTCGTTGGAAAAGGGATTATGTATAAAAAGTAGACAGCAGCATCCTCAGAAACTTCTTTGTGATGTGTGCATTCAAGTCACAGAGTTGAACATTCCCTTTCGTACAGCAGTTTTGAAACATTCTTTCTGTAGTATCTGGAAGTGAACATTAGGACAGCTTTCAGGTCTATGGTGAGAAAGGAAATATCTTCAAATAAAAACTAGACAGAAGCATTCTCATAAACTTGTTTGTGATGTCTGAACTCAGCTAACAGACGTGGATCTTTCTTTTGATACAGCAGTTTTGAAAAACACTTTTTGTTGAATCTGCAAGTGGACATTTGGATAGATTTGAAGATTTCGTTGGAAACGGGAATATCTTCATATGAAATCTAGACAGAAGCATTCTCAGAAACGTCTTTGTGATGTTTGCATTCAACTCATAGAGTTGAACATTCCCTTTGAGAGAGCAGCTTTGAAGCACTCTTTTTGTAGCATGTGCATGTGGACATTTGGAGCGCCCTGAGGCCTATGGGGAAAAAGCAAATATCTTCCCATAACCACTAGACAGAAACATTCTGAGAAACTCCTTTATGACGTATGCACTCACCTAACCGAGAAGAACCTTCCTTTTGACAGAGCATTTTTGATACACTCTTTTTGTAGAATCTGCAAGTGGATATTTGGATAGCTGTGAAGATTTCGTTGGAAACGGGAATATCTTCCTATAAAATCTAGACAGAAGCATTCTCAGAAACTGCTCTGTGATGTCTGCATTCAAGTCACAGAGTTGAACATTGCCTTTCATAGAGCAGGTTTGAAACGCTCTTTTTGTAGTATATGTAAGTGGACGTTTCGGACAGTTTGAGGCCCATGGTGATAAAGGGAATATCTTCCCCTACAAGCTAGAAAGAAGCATTCTGTGAAACTTGTTTGTGATGTGTGTACTCAACTAACAGAGTTGAACCTTTCTTTTTACAGAGGAGTTTTGAAACACTCTTTTTGTAGAATCTGCGAGGGGATATTTGGATAGATTTCAGGATTTCGTTGGAAACGGGAATATCTTCATATAAAATCTCGACAGAAGCATTCTCAGAAACTTCTTTGTGATATGTGCATTCAAGTCACAGAGTTGAATATTCCCTTTCGCAGTGTAGGTTTGAAACACTCTTTTTGTAGTATCTGGAAGTGGACATTTGGAGCGCCTTGACGCCTACGGTGAAAAGGGAAATATCTTCCCATAAAAACTAGACAGAAGCAATCTCAGAATCTTCTTTGGGATATATGCACGCAGCTAACAGAGTTGAACCTTTCTACTGACAGAGCAGTTTTGAAACAGTCTTTCTGTGGAATCTGCAAGTGGATATTTGGATAGCTTGGAGGATTTCGTTGGAAACGGGATTACGTATAAAAAGTAGACAGCAGCATTCTCAGAAACTTCTTTGTGATGTGTGCATTCAAGTCACAGAGTTGAACATTCCCTTTTGTAGAACAGGTTTGAAACACTCTTTCTGTAGTATCTGGAAGTGAACATTTCGAGAGCTTTCAGGCCTATGGTGAGAAAGGAAATATCTTCAAATAAAAACTAGACAGAAGCATTCTCATAAACTTGTTTGTGATGTGTGAACTCAGCTAACAGAGGTGGATCTTTCGATAGAGCAGTTCTGAAAAACACTTTTTGTTGAATCTGCAAGTGGACATTTGGATAGATTTGAAGATTTCGTTGGAAACGGGAATATCTTCATATCAAATCTAGACAGAAGCATTCTCAGAAACGTCTTTGCGATGTTTGCATTCAACTCATAGAGTTGAACATTCCGTTTCAGAGAGCAGCTTTGAAGCACTCTTTTTGTAGTATGTGCAAGTGGATATTTGGAGCGCTCTGAGGCCTACGGTGAAAAAGCAAATATCTTCCCATAACCACTAGACAGAAACATTCTCAGAAACTCCTTTATGACGTATGCCCTCACCTAACAGAGAATAACCTTCCTTTTGACAGAGCATTTTTGATACACTCTTTTTGTAGCATCTGCAAGTGGATATTTGGATAGCTGTGAAGATTTCGTTGGAAACGGGAATATCTTCCTATAAAATCTAGACAGAAGCATTCTCAGAAACTGATCTGTGATGTCTGCATTCAAGTCACAGAGTTGAACATTGCCTTTCGTAGAGCAGGTTTGAAACGCTCTTTTTGTAGTATATGGAAGTAGACGTTTCGGACGGTTTGAGGCCCATGGTGATAAAGGGAATATCTTCCCCTGCAAGCTAGAAAGAAGCATTCTGTGAAACTTGTTTGTGATGTGTGTACTCAACTAACAGAGTTGAACCTTTCTTTTTACAGAGCAGTTTTGAAACACTCTTTTTGTAGAATCTGTGAGGGGATATTTGGATAGATTTGAGGATTTCGTTGGAAACGGGAATATCTTCATATAAAATCTCGACAGAAGCATTCTCAGAAACTTCTTTGTGATATGTGTATTCAAGTCACAGAGTTGAATACTCCCTTTCACAGAGTAGGTTTGAAAAACTCTTTTTGTAGTATCTGGAAGTGGACATTTGGAGCGCCTTGACGCCTACGGTGAAAAGGGAAATATCTTCCCATAAAAACTAGACAGAAGCAATCTCAGAATTTTCTTTGGGATATATGCACACAGCTAACAGAGTTGAACTTTTCTATTGACATAGCAGTTTTGAAACAGTCTTTCTGTGGAATCTGCAAGTGGATATTTGGATAGCTTGGAGGATTTCGTTGGAAACGGGATTACGTATAAAAAGTAGACAGCAGCATCCTCAGAAACTTTTTTGTGATGTGTGCATTCAAGTCACAGAGTTGAACATTCCCTTTAGTACAGCAGTTTTGAAACACTCTTTCTGTAGTATCTGGAAGTGAACATTAGGACAGCTTTCAGGTCTATGGTGAGAAAGGAAATATCTTCAAATAAAAACTAGACAGAAGCATTGTCATAAACTTGTTTGTGATGTGTGAACTCAGCTAACAGAGGTGGATCTTTCTTTTGATAGAGCAGTTCTGAAAAACACGTTTTGTTGAATCTGCAAGTGGACATTTGGATAGATTTGAAGATTTCGTTGGAAACGGGAATATCGTCATATCAAATCTAGACAGAAGCATTCTCAGAAACGTCTTTGCGATGTTTGCATTCAACTCATAGAGTTGAACATTCCGTTTCAGAGAGCAGCTTTGAGGCACTCTTTTTGTAGTATGTGCAAGTGGATATTTGGAGTGCTCTGAGGCCTACGGTGAAAAAGCAAATATCTTCCCATAACCACTAGACAGAATCATTCTCAGAAACTCCTTTATGACGTATGCACTCACCTAACAGAGAAGAACCTTCCTTTTGACAGAGCAGTTTTGATACACTCTTTTTGTAGAATCTGCAAGTGGATATTGGGATAGCTGTGAAGATTTCGTTGGAAACGGGAATATCTTCATATAAAATCTCGACAGAAGCATTCTCAGAAACTGCTCTGTGATGTCTGCATTCAAGTCACAGAGTTGAACATTGCCTTTCATAGAGCAGGTTTGAAACCCTCTTTTTGTAGTATATGGAAGTGGACTTATCGGACGGTTTGAGGCCCATGGTGATAAAGGGAATATCTTCCCCTACAAGCTAGAAAGAAGCATTCTGTGAAACTTGTTTGTGAGGTGTGTACTCAACTAACAGAGTTGAACCTTTCTTTTTACAGAGCAGTTTTGAAACAGTCTTTTTGTAGAATCTGCGAGGGGATATTTGGATAGATTTCAGGATTTCGTTGGAAACGGGAATATCTTCATATAAAATCTCGACAGAAGCATTCTCAGAAACTTCTTTGTGATATCTGCATTCAAGTAACAGAGTTGAATATTCCCTTTCACATAGTAGGTTTGAAACACTCTTTTTGTAGTATCTGGAAGTGGACATTTGGAGCTCTGTGACGCCTATGGTGAAAAGGAAAATATCTTCCCATAAAAACTAGACAGAAGCAATCTCAGAATCTTCTTTGGGATATATGCACGCAGCTAACAGAGTTGAACCTTACTATTGACAGAGCAGTTTTGAAACAGTCTTTCTGTGGAATCTGCAAGTGGATATTTGGATAGCTTGGAGGATTTCGTTGGAAACGGGATTACGCATAAAAAGTAGACAGCAGCATCCTCAGAAACTTCTTTGTGATGTGTGCATTCAAGTCACAGAGTTGAACATTCCCTTTCGTACAGCAGTTTTGAAACACTCTTTCTGTAGTATCTGGAAGTGAACATTAGGACAGCTTTCAGGTCTAGGGTGAGAAAGGAAATACCTTCAAATAAAAACTAGACAGAAGCATTCTCATAAACTTGTTTGTGATGTCTGAACTCAGCTAACAGAGGTGGATCTTTCTTTTGATAGAGCAGTTCTGAAAAACACTTTTTTTTGAATCTGCAAGTGGACATTTGGATAGATTTGAAGATTTCGTTGGAAACGGGAATATCTTCATATCAAATCTAGACAGAAGCATTCTCAGAAACAGTCTTTGTGATGTTTGCATTCAACTCATAGAGTTGAACATTCCGTTTCAGAGAGCAGCTTTGAAGCACTCTTTTTGTAGTATGTGCAAGTGGATATTTGGAGCGCTCTGAGGCCTACGGTGAAAAAGCAAATATCTTCCCATAACCACTAGACAGAAACATTCTCAGAAACTCCTTTATGAAGTATGTACTCAACTAACAGAGAAGAACCTTCCTTTTGACAGAGCAGTTTTGATACACTCTTTTTGTAGAATCTGCAAGTGGATATTTGGATAGCTATGAAGATTTCGTTGGAAACGGGAATATCTTCCTATAAAATCTAGACAGAAGCATTCTCAGAAACTGCTCTGTGATGTCTGCATTCAAGTCACAGAGTTGAACATTGGTTTTCCTAGAGCAGGTTTGAAACGCTCTTTTTGTAGTATATGGAAGTGGACGTTTCGGACGTTTTGAGGCCCATGGTGATAAAGGGAATATCTTCCCCTACAAGCTAGAAAGAAGCATTCTGTGAAACTTGTTTGTGATGTGTGTACTCAACTAACAGGGTTCAACCTTTCTTTTTACAGAGCAGTTTTGAAACAATCTTTTTGTAGAATCTGCGAGGGGATATTTGGATAGATTTCAGGATTTCGTTGGAAACGGGAATATCTTCATAGAAAATCTCGACAGAAGCATTCTCAGAAACTTCTTTGTGATATGTGCATTCAAGTCACAGAGTTGAATATTCCCTTTCACAGAGTAGGTTTGAAACACTCTTTTTATAGTATCTGGAAGTGGACATTTGGAGCGCCTTGACACCTACGGTGAAAAGGGAAATATCTTCCCATAAAAACTAGACAGAAGCAATCTCAGAATCTTCTTTGGGATATATGCATGCAGCTAACAGAGTTGAACCTTTCTATTGACAGAGCAGTTTTGAAACAGTCTTTCTGTGGAATCTGCAAGTGGATATTTGGATAGCTGGGAGGATTTCGTTGGAAACGGGATTACGTATAAAAAGTAGACAGCAGCATCCTCAGAAACTTCTTTGTGATGTGTGCATTCAAGTCACAGAGTTGAACATTCCCTTTCGTACAGCAGTTTTGAAACACTCTTTCTGTAGTATCTGCAAGTGTACATTAGGACAGCTTTCAGGTCTATGGTGAGAAAGGAAATATCTTCATATGAAAACTAGACAGAAGCATTCTCATAAACTTGTTTGTGATGTGTGAACTCAGCTAACAACGGTGGATCTTTCTTTTGATAGAGCAGTTCTGAAAAACACTTTTTGTTGAATCTGCAAGTGGACATTTGGATAGTTTTGAAGATTTCCTTGGAAACGGGAATATCTTCATATCAAATCTAGACAGAAGCATTCTCAGAAACGTCTTTGCGATGTTTGCATTCAACTCATAGAGTTGAACATTCCGTTTCAGAGAGCAGCTTTGAGGCACTCTTTTTGTAGTATGTGCAAGTGGATATTTGGAGCGCTCTGAGGCCTACGGTGAAAAAGCAAATATCTTCCCATAACCACTAACAGAAACATTCTCAGAAACTCCTTTATGACGTATGCACTCACCTAACAGAAAAGAACCTTCCTTTTGACAGAGCAGTTTCGATACACTCTTTTTGTAGAATCTGCAAGTGGATATTTGGATAGCTGTGAAGATTTCGTTGGAAACGGGAATATCTTCCTATAAAATCTAGACAGAAGCATTCCCAGAAACTGCTCTGTGATGTCTGCATTCAAGTCACAGAGTTGAACATTGCCTTTCATAGAGCAGGTTTGAAACGCTCTTTTTGTAGTATATGGAAGTGGACTTATCGGACGGTTTGAGGCCCATGGTGATAAAGGGAATATCTTCCCCTACATGCTAGAAAGAAGCATTCTGTGAAACTTGTTTGTGATGTGTGTACTCAACTAACAGAGTTGAACCTTTCTTTTCACAGAGCAGTTTTGAAACACTCTTTTTGTAGAATCTGCGAGGGGATATTTGGATAGATTTCAGCATTTCGTTGGAAACGGGAATATCTTCATATAAAATACTCGACAGAAGCATTCTCAGAAACTACTTTGTGATATGTGCATTCAAGTCACAGAGTTGAATATTCCCTTTCACAGAGTAGGTTTGAAACACTCTTTTTGTAGTATCTGGAAGTGGACATTTGGAGCGCCTTGACACCTACGGTGAAAAGGGAAATATCTTCCCATAAAAACTAGACAGAAGCAATCTCAGAATCTTCTTTGGGATATATGCACGCAGCTAACAGAGTTGAACCTTTCTATTGACAGAGCAGTTTTGAAACAGTCTTTCTGTGGAATCTGCAAGTGGATATTTGGATAGCTTGGAGGATTTCGTTGGAAACGGGATTACGTATAATAAGTAGACAGCAGTATCCTCAGAAACTTCTTTGTGATGTGTGCATTCAAGTCACAGAGTTGAACATTCCCTTTCGTACAGCAGTTTTGAAACACTCTTTCTGTAGTATCTGGAAGTGAACATTAGGACAGCTTTCAGCTCTATGGTGAGAAACAAAATATCTTCAAATAAAAACTAGACAGAAGCATTCTCATAAACTTGTTTGTGATGTGTGAACTCAGCTAAGAGACGTGGATCTTTCTTTTGATAGAGCTGTTCTGAAAAACACGTTTTGTTGAATCTGCAAGTGGACATTTGGATAGATTTGAAGATTTCGTTGGAAACGGGAATATCTTCATATCAAATCTAGACAGAAGCATTCTCGGAAACGTCTTTGTCATGTTTGCATTCAACTCATAGAGTTGAACATTCCGTTTCAGAGAGCAGCTTTGAAGCACTCTTTTTGTAGTATGTGCAAGGGGATATTTGGAGCGCTCTGAGGCCTAAGGTGAAAAAGCAAATATCTTCCCATAACCACTAAACAGAAACATTCTCAGAAACTCCTTTATGACGTATGCACTCACCTAACAGAGAAGAACCTTCCTTCTGACAGAGCAGTTTTGATACACTCTTTTTGTAGAATCTGCAAGTGGATATTTGGATAGCTGTGAAGATTTCGTTGGAAACGGGAATATCTTCCTATAAAATCTAGACAGAAGCATTCTCAGTAAACTGCTCTGTGATGTCTGCATTCAAGTCACAGAGTTGAACATTGCCTTTCATAGAGCAGGTTTGAAACGCTCTTTTTGTAGTATATGGAAGTGGATGTTTCGGACGGTTGGAGGCCCATGGTGATAAAGGGAATATCTTCCCCTACAAGCTAGAAAGAAGCATTCTGTGAAACTTGTTTGTGAGGTGTGTACTCAACTAACAGAGTTGAACCTTTCTTTTTACAGAGCAGTTTTGAAACACTGTTTTTGTAGAATCTGCGAGGGGATATTTGGATAGATTTCAGGATTTCGTTGGAAACGGGAATATCTTCATATAAAATCTCGACAGAAGCATTCTCAGAAACTTCTTTGTGACATGTGCATTCAAGTCACAGAGTTGAATATTCCCTTTCACAGAGTAGGTTTGAAACACTCTTTTTGTAGTATCTGGAAGTGGACATTTGGAGCGCCTCGACGCCTACGGTGAAAAGGGAAATATCTTCCCATAAAAACTAGACAGAAGCAGTCTCAGAATCTTCTTTGGGATATATGGACACAGCTAACAGAGTTGAACTTTTCTATTGACAGAGCAGTTTTGAAACAGTCTTTCTGTGGAATCTGCAAGTGGATATTTGGATAGCTTGGAGGATTTCGTTGGAAACGGGATTACGTATAAAAAGTAGACAGCAGCATCCTCAGAAACTTCTTTGTGATGTGTGCATTCAAGTCACAGAGTTGAACATTCCCTTTCGTACAGCAGTTTTCAAACACTCTTTCTGTAGTATCTGGAAGTGAACATTAGGACAGCTTTCAGCTCTATGGTGAGAAAGGAAATATCTTCAAATAAAAACTAGAGAGAAGCATTCTCATAAACTTGTTTGTGATGTGTGAACTCAGCTAACAGAGGTGGATCTTTCTTTTGATAGAGCAGTTCTGAAAAACACTTTTTGTTGAATCTGCAAGTGGACATTTGGATAGATTTGAAGATTTCTTTGGAAACGGGAATATCTTCATATCAAATCTAGACAGAAGCATTCTCAGAAACGTCTTTGCGATGTTTGCATTCAACTCATAGAGTTGAACATTCCGTTTCAGAGAGCAGCTTTGAGGCACTCTTTTTGTAGTATGTGCAAGTGGATATTTGAAGCGCTCTGAGGCCTACGGTGAAAAAGCAAATATCTTCCCATAACCACTAACAGAAACATTCTCAGAAACTCCTTTATGACGTATGTACTCAACTAACAGAGAAGAACCTTCCTTTTGACAGAGCAGTTTTGATAGACTCTTTTTGTAGAATCTGCAAGTGGATATTTGGATAGCTGTGAAGATTTCGTTGGAAACTGGAATATCTTCCTATAAAATCTAGACAGAAGCATTCTCAGAAACTGCTCTGTGATGTCTGCATTCAAGTCACAGAGTTGAACATTGCCTTTCCTAGAGCAGGTTTGAAACGCTCTTTTTGTAGTATATGGAAGTGGACGTTTCGGACGGTTTGAGGCCCATGGTGATGAAGGGAATATCTTCCCCTACAAGCTAGAAAGAAGCATTCTGTGATACTTGTTTGTGATGTGTGTACTCAACTAACAGAGTTGAACCTTTCTTTTTACAGAACAGTTTTGAAACACTCTTTTTGTAGAATCTGAGAGGGGATATTTGGATAGATTTCAGGATTTCG
The DNA here is from genome assembly GCF_000001405.40 of Homo sapiens. NCBI lineage: Eukaryota > Metazoa > Chordata > Mammalia > Primates > Hominidae > Homo > Homo sapiens. Next base: position 17,047,579 of record NC_000013.11, read on the forward strand.
TTGGAAACGGGAATATCTTCATATAAAATCTCGACAGAAGCATTCTCAGAAACTTCTTTGTGATATGTGCATTCAAGACACAGAGTTGAATATTCCCTTTCACAGAGTAGGTTTGAAACACTCTTTTTGTAGTATCTGGAAGTGGACATTTGGAGCGCCTTGACGCCTACGGTGAAAAGGGAAATATCTTCCCATAAAAACTAGACAGAAGCAATCTCAGAATCTTCTTTGGGATATATGCACGCAGCTAACAGAGTTGAACCTTTCTATCGACAGAGCAGTTTTGAAACAGTCTTTCTGTGGAATCTGCAAGTGGATATTTCGATAGCTTGGAGGATTTCGTTGGAAACGGGATTACGTATAAAAAGTAGACAGCAGCATCCTCAGAAACATCTTTGTGATGTGGGCATTCAAGTCACAGAGTTGAACATTCCCTTTCGTACAGCAGTTTTGAAACACTCTTTCTGTAGTATCTGGAAGTGAACATTAGGACAGCTTTCAGGTCTATGGTGAGACAGGAAATATCTTCAAATAAAAACTAGACAGAAGCATTCTCAAGAACTTGTTTGTTATGTGTGAACTCAGCTAACAGAGGTGGATGTTTCTTTTGATAGAGCAGTTTTGAAAAACACTTTTTGTTGAATCTGCAAGTGGACATTTGGATAGATATGAAGATTTCGTTGGAAACGGGAATATCTTCATATCAAATCTAGACAGAAGCATTCTCAGAAACGTCTTTGCGATGTTTGCATTCAACTCACAGAGTTGAACATTCCGTTTCAGAGAGCAGCTTTGAGGCACTCTTTTTGTACTATGTGCAACTGGATATTTGGAGCGCTCTGAGGCCTACGGTGAAAAAGAAAATATCTTCCCATAACCACTAGACAGAAACATTCTCAGAAACTCCTTTATGACGTATGCACTCACTTAACAGAAAAGAACCTTCCTTTTGACAGAGCAGTTTTGATACACTCTTTTTGTACAATCTGCAAGTGGATATTTGGATAGCTGTGAAGATTTCGTTGGAAACGGGAATATCTTCCTATAAAATCTAGACAGAAGCATTCTCAGAAACTGCTCTGTGATGTCTGCATTCAAGTCACAGAGTTGAACATTGCCTTTCATAGAGCAGGTTTGAAACGCTCTTTTTGTAGTATATGGAAGTGGACGTTACGGACGGTTTGAGGCCCATGGTGATAAAGGGAATATCTTCCCCTACAAGCTAGAAAGAAGCATTCTGTGAAACTTGTTTGTGATGTGTGTACTCAACTAACAGAGTTGAACCTTTCTTTTTACAGAGCAGTTTTGAAACACTCTTTTTGTAGAATCTGCGAGGGGATTTTTGGATAGATTTCAGGATTTCGTTGGAAACGGGAATATCTTCATAAAACATCTCGACAGAAGTATTCTCAGAAACTTCTTTGTGATATGTGCATTCAAGTCACAGAGTTGAATATTCCCTTTCACAGAGTAGGTTTGAAACACTCTTTTTGTAGTATCTGGAAGTGGACATTTGGAGCGCCTTGACGCCTACGGTGAAAAGGGAAATATCTTCTCATAAAAAGTAGACAGAAGCAATCTCAGAATCTTCTTTGGGATATATGCACGCAGCTAACAGAGTTGAACCTTTCTATTGACAGAGCAGTTTTGAAACAGTCTTTCTGTGGAATCTGCAAGTGGATATTTGGATAGCTTGGAGGATTTCCTTGGAAACGGGATTACGTACAAAAAGTAGACAGCAGCATCCTCAGAAACTTCTTTGTGATGTGTGCATTCAAGTCACAGAGTTGAACATTCCCTTTCGTACAGCAGTTTTGAAACACTCTTTCTGTAGTATCTGGAAGTGAACATTAGGACAGCTTTCAGGTCTATGGTGAGAAAGGAAATATCTTCAAATAAAAATTAGACAGAAGCATTCTGATAAACTTGTTTGTGAAGTGTGATCTCAGCTAACAGAGGTGGATCTTTCTTTTGATAGAGCAGTTCTGAAAAACACTTTGTTGAATCTGCAAGTGGACATTTGGATAGATTTGAAGATTTCGTTGGAAACGGGAATTTCTTCATATCAAATCTAGACAGAAGCATTCTCAGAAACGTCTTTGTCATGTTTGCATTCAACTCATAGAGTTGAACATTCCGTTTCAGAGAGCAGCTTTGAAGCACTCTTTTTGTAGTATGTGCAAGTGGATATTTGGAGCGCTCTGAGGCCTACGGTGAAAAAGCAAATATCTTCCCATAACCACTAGACAGAAACATTCTCAGAAACTCCTTTACGACGTATGCACTCACCTAACAGAGAAGAACCTTCCTTTTGACAGAGCAGTTTTGATACACTCTTTTTGTAGAATCTGCAAGTGGATATTTGGATAGCTGTGAAGATTTCGTTGGAAACGGGAATATCTTCCTATAAAACCTAGACAGAAGCATTCTCAGAAACTGCTCTGTGATGTCTGCATTCAAGTCACAGAGTTGAACATTGCCTTTCATAGAGCAGGTTTGAAACGCTCTTTTTGTAGTATATGGAAGTAGACGTTTGGAGTGCATTGACGCCTACGGTGAAAAGGGAAATATCTTCCCATAAAAACTAGACAGAAGCATTCTGTGAAACTTGTTTGTGATGTGTGTACTCAACTAACAGAGTTGAACCTTTCTTTTTACAGAGCAGTTTTGAAACACTCTTTTTGTAGAATCTGCGATGGGATATTTGGATACATTTCAGCATTTCGTTGGAAACGGGAATATCTTCATATAAAATACTCGACAGAAGCATTCTCAGAAACTTCTTTGTGATATGTGCATTCAAGTCACAGAGTTGAATATTCCCTTTCACAGAGTAGGTTTGAAACACTCTTTTTGTAGTATCTGGAAGTGGACATTTGGAGCGCCTTGACGCCTTCGGTGAAAAGGGAAATATCTTCCCATAAAAACTAGACAGAAGCAATCTCAGAATCTTCTTTGGGATATATGCACGCAGCTAACAGAGTTGAACCTTTCTATTGACAGTGCAGTTTTGAAATAGTCTTTCTGTGGAATCTGCAAGTAGATATTTGGATAGCTAGGAGGATTTCGTTGGAAACGGGATTACGTATAAAAAGTAGACAGCAGCATCCTCAGAAACTTCTTTGTGATGTGTGCATTCAAGTCACAGAGTTGAACATTCCCTTTCGTAGAGCAGTTTTGAAACACACTTTCTGTAGTATCTGGAAGTGAACATTAGGACAGCTTTCAGGTCTATGGTGAGAAAGGAAATATCTTCAAATAAAAACTAGACAGAAGCATTCTCAAGAACTTGTTTGTTATGTGTGAACTCAGCTAACAGAGGTGGATGTTTCTTTTGATAGAGCAGTTCTGAAAAACACGTTTTGTTGAATCTGCAAGTGGACATTTGGATAGATTTGAAGATGTCGTTGGAAACGGGAATATCTTCATATCAAATCTAGACAGAAGCATTCTCAGAAACGTCTTTGTGATGTTTGCATTCAACTCATAGAGTTGAACATTCCCTTTCAGAGAGCAGCTTTGAAGCACTCTTTTTGTAGTATGTGCAAGTGGATATTTGGAGCGCTCTGAGGCCTAAGGTGAAAAAGCAAATATCTTCCCATAACCACTAGACAGAAACATTCTCAGAAACTCCTTTATGACGTATGCACTCACCTAACAGAGAAGAACCTTCCTTTTGACAGAGCAGTTTTGATACACTCTTTTTGTAGAATCTGCAAGTGGATATTTGGATAGCTGTGAAGATTTCGTTGGAAACGGGAATATCTTTCTATAAAATCTACACAGAAGCATTCTCAGAAACTGCTCTGTGATGTCTGCATTCAAGTCACAGAGTTGAACACTGCCTTTCCTAGAGCAGGTTTGAAACGCTCTTTTTGTAGTATATGGAAGTGGACGTTTCGGACGGTTTGAGGCCCATAGTGATAAAGGGAATATCTTCCCCTACAAGCTAGAAAGAAGCATTCTGTGAAACTTGTTTGTGATGTGTGTAGTCAACTAACAGAGTTGAACCTTTCTTTTTACAGAGCAGTTTTGAAACACTCTTTTTGTAGAATCTGCGAGGGGATATTTGGATAGATTTCAGGATTTCGTTGGAAAGGGGAATATCTTCATATAAAATCTCGACAGAAGCATTCTCAGAAACTTCTTTGTGATATGTGCATTCAAGTCACAGAGTTGAATATTCCCTTTCACAGAGTAGGTTTGAAACACTCTTTTTGTAGTATCTGGAAGTGGACATTTGGAGCGCCTTGACGCCCACGGTGAAAAGGGAAATATCTTCCCATCAAAACTAGACAGAAGCAATCTCAGAATCTTCTTTGGGATATATGCACGCAGCTAACAAAGTTGAACCTTTCTATTGACAGAGCAGTTTTGAAACAGTCTTTCTGTGGAATCTGCAAGTGGATATTTGGATAGATTGGAGGATTTCGTTGGAAACGGGATTACGTATAAAAAGTAGACAGCAGCATCCTCAGAAACTTCTTTGTGATGTGTGCATTCAAGTCACAGAGTTGAACTTTCCCTTTCGTACAGCAGTTTTGAAACACTCTTTCTGTAGTATCTGGGAGTGAACATTAGGACAGCTTTCAGGTCTATGGTGAGAAAGGAAATATCTTCAAATAAAAACTAGACAGAAGCGTTCTCATAAACTTGTTTGTGATGTGTGAACTCAGCTAACAGAGGTGGATCTTTCTTTTGATAGAGCAGTTCTGAAAAACACTTTTTGTTGAATCTGAAAGTGGACATTTGGATAGATTTGAAGATTTCGTTGGAAACGGGAATATCTTCATATCAAATCTAGACAGAAGCATTCTCAGAAACGTCTTTGTGATGTTTGCATTCAACTCATAGAGTTGAACATTCCCTTTCAGAGAGCAGCTTTGAAGCACTCTTTTTGTAGTATGTGCAAGGGGATATTTGGAGCGCTCTGAGGCCGACGGTGAAAAAGCAAATATCTTCCCATAACCACTAGACAGAAACATTCTCAGAAACTCCTTTATGACGTATGTACTCAACTAACAGAGAAGAACATTCCGTTTGACAGAGCAGTTTTGATACACTCTTTTTGTAGAATCTGCAAGTGGATATTTGGATAGCTGTGAAGGTTTCGTTGGAAACGGAAATATCTTCCTATAAAATCTAGACAGAAGCATTCTCAGAAACTGCTCTGTGATGTCTGCATTCAAGTCACAGAGTTGAACATTGTCTTTCATACAGCAGGTTTGAAGCGCTCTTTTTGTAGTATATGGAAGTGGACGTTTCGGACGGTTTGAGGCCCATGGTGATAAAGGGAATATCTTCCCCTACAAGCTAGAAAGAAGCATTGTGTGAAACTTGTTTGTGATGTGTGTACTCAACTAACAGAGTTGAACCTTTCTTTTTACAGAGCAGTTTTGAAACACTCTTTTTGTAGAATCTGCGAGGGGATATTTGGATAGATTTCAGGATTTTGTTGGAAACCGGAATATCTTCATATAAAATCTCGACAGAAGCATTCTCAGAAACTTCTTTGTGATATGTGTGTTCAAGTCACAGAGTTGAATACTCCCTTTCACAGAGTAGGTTTGAAACACTCTTTTTGTAGTATCTGGAAGTGGACATTTGGAGCGCCTTGACGCCTACGGTGAAAAGGGAAATATCTTCCCATAAAAACTAGACAGAAGCAATCTCAGAATCTTCCTTGGGATATATGCACGCAGCTAACAGAGTTGAACCTTTCTATTGACAGAGCAGTTTTGAAACAGTCTTTCTGTGGAATCTGCAAGTGGATATTTGGATAGATTGGAGGATTTCGTTGGAAACGGGATTACGTATAAAAAGTAGACAGCAGCATCCTCAGAAACTTCTTTGTGATGTGTGCATTCAAGTCACAGAGTTGAACATTCCCTTTCGTACAGCAGTTTTGAAACACTCTTTGTGTAGTATCTGGAAGTGAACATTAGGACAGCTTTCAGGTCTATGGTGAGAAAGGAAATATCTTCAAATAAAGACTAGACAGAAGCATTCTCATAAACTTGTTTGTGATGTGTGAACTCAGCTTACAGAGGTGGATCTTTCTTTTGATAGAGCAGTTCTGAAAAACACTTTTTGTTGAATCTGCAAGTGGACATTTGGATAGATTTGAAGATTTCGTTGGAAACGGGAATATCTTCATATCAAATCTAGACAGAAGCATTCTCAGTAAACGTCTTTGTGATGTTTGCATTCAACTCATAGAGTTGAACATTCCCTTTCAGAGAGCAGCTTTGAAGCACTCTTTTTGTAGCATGTGCAAGTGGACATTTGGAGCGCCCTGAGGCCTACGGGGAAAAAGCAAATATCTTCCCATAACCACTAGACAGAAACATTCTCAGAAACTCCTTTATGACGTATGCACTCACCTAACAGAGAAGAACCTTCCTTTTGACAGAGCAGTTTTGATACACTCTTTTTGTAGAATCTGCAAGTGGATATTTGGATACCTGTGAAGATTTCGTTGGAAACGGGAATATCTTCCTATAACATCTAGACAGAAGCATTCTCAGAAACTGCTCTGTGATGTCTGCATTCAAGTCACAGAGTTGAACATTGCCTTTCCTAGATCAGGTTTGAAACGCTCTTTTTGTAGTATATGGAAGTGGACGTTTCGGACGGTTTGAGGCCCATGGTGATAAAGGGAATATCTTCCCCTACAAGCTAGAAAGAAGCATTCTGTGAAACTTGTTTGTGATGTGTGTACTCAAGTAACAGAGTTGAACCTTTCTTTTTACAGAGCAGTTTTGAAACACTCTTTTTGTAGAATCTGCGAGGGGATATTTGGATAGATTTCAGGATTTCGTTGGAAACGGGAATATCTTCATATAAAATCTCGACAGAAGCATTCTCAGGAACTTCTTTGTGATATGTGCATTCAAGTCACAGAGTTGAATATTCCCTTTCACAGAGTAGGTTTGAAACACTCTTTTTGTAGTATCTGGAAGTGGACATTTGGAGCGCCTTGACACCTACGGTGAAAAGGGAAATATCTTCCCATAAAAACTAGACAGAAGCAATCTCAGAATCTTCTTTGGGATATATGCACGCAGCTAACAGAGTTGAACGTTTCTATTGACAGAGCAGTTTTGAAACAGTCTTTCTGTGGAATCTGCAAGTGGATATTTGGATAGCTTGGAGGATTTCGTTGGAAACGGGATTACGTATAAAAAGTAGACAGCAGCATCCTCAGAAACTTCTTTGTGATGTGTGCATTCAAGTCACAGAGTTGAACATTCCCTTTCGTACAGCAGTTTTCAAACACTCTTTCTGTAGTATCTGGAAGTGAACATTAGGACAGCTTTCAGCTCTATGGTGAGAAAGGAAATATCTTCAAATAAAAACTAGACAGAAGCATTCTGATAAACTTGTTTGTGAAGTGTGAACTCAGCTAACGGAGGTGGATCTTTCTTTTGATAGAGCAGTTCTGAAAAACACTTTTTGTTGAATCTGCAAGTGGACATTTGGATAAATTTGAAGATTTCGTTGGAAACGGGAATATCTTCATATCAAATCTAGACAGAAGCATTCTCAGAAACGTCTTTGTGATGTTTGCATTCAACTCATAGAGTTGAACATTCCGTTTCAGAGAGCAGCTTTGAAGCACTCTTTTTGTAGTATGTGCAAGTGGATATTTGGAGCGCTGTGAGGTCTACGGTGAAAAAGCAAATATCTTCCCATAACCACTAGACTGAAACATTCTCAGAAACTCCTTTACGACGTATGCACTCACCTAAGAGAGAAGAACCTTCCTTTTGACAGAGCAGTTTTGATACACTCTTTTTGTAGAATCTGCAAGTGGATATTTGGATAGCTGTGAAGATTTCGTTGGAAACGGGAATATCTTCCTATAAAATCTAGACAGAAGCATTCTCAGAAACTGCTCTGTGATGTCTGCATTCAAGTCACTGAGTTGAACATTGCCTTTCATAGAGCAGGTTTGAAACGCTCTTTTTGTACTATATGGAAGTGGACGTTTCGGACGGTTTGAGGCCCATGGTGATAAAGGGAATATCTTCCCCTACAAGCTAGAAAGAAGCATTCTGTGAAACTTGTTTGTGATGTGTGTACTCAAGTAACAGAGTTGAACCTTTCTTTTTACAGAGCAGTTTTGAAACACTCTTTTTGTAGAATCTGCGAGGGGATATTTGGAGAGATTTCAGGATTTCGTTGGAAACGGGAATATCTTCATATAAAATCTCGACAGAAGCATTCTCAGAAACTTCTTTGTGATATGTGCATTCAAGTCACAGAGTTGAATATTCCCTTTCACAGAGTAGGTTTGAAACACTCTTTTTGTAGTATCTGGAAGTGGACATTTGGAGCCCCTTGACGCCTACGGTGAAAAGGGAAATATCTTCCCATAAAAACTAGACAGAAGCAATCTCAGAATCTTCTTTGGGATATATGCACGCAGCTAACAGAGTTGAACCTTTCTATTGACAGAGCAGTTTTGAAACAGTCTTTCGGTGGAATCTGCAAGTGGATATTTGGATAGCTTGGAGGATTTCGTTGGAAACGGGATTACGTATAAAAAGTAGACAGCAGCATCCTCAGAAACATCCTTGTGATGTGTGCATTCAAGTCACAGAGTTGAACATTCCCTTTCGTACAGCAGTTTTGAAACACTCTTTCTGTAGTATCTGGAAGTGAACTTTAGGACACCTTTCAGGTCTATAGTGAGAAAGGATATATCTTCAAATAAAAACTAGACGGAAGCATTCTCATAAACTTGTTTGTGATGTGTGAACTCAGCTAACAGAGGCGGATCTTTCTTTTGATAGAGCAGTTCGGAAAAACACTTTTTGTTGAATCTGCAAGTGGACATTTGGATAGATTTGAAGATTTCCGTTGGAAACGGGAATATCTTCATATCAAATCTAGACAGAAGCATTCTCAGAAACGTCTTTGCGATGTTTGCATTCAACTCATAGAGTTGAACATTCCGTTTCAGAGAGCAGCTTTGAGGCACTCTTTTTGTAGTATCTGCAAGTGGATATTTGGAGCGCTCTGAGGCCTACGGTGAAAAAGCAAATATCTTCCCATAACCACTAGACAGAAACATTCTCAGAAACTCCTTTATGACGTATGCACTTACCTAACAGAGAAGAACCTTCCTTTTGACAGAGCAGTTTTGATACACTCTTTTTGTAGAATCTGCAAGTGGATATTTGGATAGCTGTGAAGATTTCGTTGGAAACGGGAATATCTTCCTATAAAATCTACACAGAAGCATTCTCAGAAACTGCTCTGTGATGTCTGCATTCAAGTCACAGAGTTGAACATTGCCTTTCATAGAGCAGGTTTGAAACGCTCTTTTTGTAGTATATGGAAGTGGACGTTTCGGACAGTTTGAGGCCCATGGTGATAAAGGGAATATCTTCCCCTACAAGCTAGAAAGAAGCATTGTGTGAAACTTGTTTGTGATGTGTGTACTCAACTAACAGAGTTGAACCTTTCTTTTTACAGAGCAGTTTTGAAACACTCTTTTAGTAGAATCTGCAAGGGGATATTTGGATAGATTTCAGGATTTCGTTGGAAACGGGAATATCTTCATATAAAAATTCGACAGAAGCATTCTCAGAAACTTCCTTGTGATATGTGCATTCAGGTCACAGAGTTGAATATTCCCTTTCACAGAGTAGGTTTGAAACACTCTTTTTGTAGTATCTGGAAGTGGACATTTGGAGCGCCTTGACGCCTACGGTGAAAAGGGAAATATCTTCCCATAAAAACTAGACAGAAGCAATCTCAGAATCTTCTTTGGGATATATGCACGCAGCTAACAGAGTTGAACCTTTCTATTGACAGAGCAGTTTTGAAACAGTCTTTCTGTGGAATCTGCAAGTGGATATTTGGATAGCTTTGAGGATTTCGTTGGAAACGGGATTACGTATAAAAAGTAGACAGCAGCATCCTCCGAAACATCTTTGTGATGTGTGCATTCAAGTCACAGAGTTGAACATTCCCTTTCGTACAGCAGTTTTGAAACACTCTTTCTGTAGTATCTGGAAGTGAACATTAGGACAGCTTTCAGGTCTATGGTGAGAAAGGAAATACCTTCCAATAAAAACTAGACAGAAGCATTCTCATAAACTTGTTTGTGATGTCTGAACTCAGCTAACAGACGTGGATATTTCTTTTGATACAGCAGTTTTGAAAAACACTTTTTGTTGAATCTGCAAGTGGACATTTGGATAGATTTGAAGATTTCGTTGGAAACGGGAATATCTTCATATCAAATCTAGACAGAAGCATTCTCAGAAACGTCTTTGTGATATTTGCATTCAACTCATAGAGTTGAACATTCCCTTCCAGAGAGTAGCTTTGAAGCACTCTTTTTGTAGCATGTGCAAGTGGACATTTGGAGCGCCCTGAGGCCTACGGGTAAAAAGCAAATATCTTCCCATAACCACTAGACAGAAACATTCTCAGAAACTCCTTTATGACGTATGCACTCACCTAACAGAGAAGAACCTTCCCTTTTGACAGAGCAGTTTTGATACACTCTTTTTGTAGAATCTGCAAGTGGATATTTGGATAGCTGTGAAGATTTCGTTGGAAACGGGAATATCTTCCTATAAAATCTAGACAGAAGCATTCTCAGAAACTGCTCTCTGATGTCTGCATTCAAGTCACAGAGTTGAACATTGTCTTTCATAGAGCAGGTTTGAAACGCTCTTTTTGTAGTATATGGAAGTGGACGTTTCGGACGGTTTGAGGCCCATGGTGATAAAGGGAATATCTTCCCCTACAAGCTAGAAAGAATCATTCTGTGAAACTTGTTTGTGATGTGTGTACTCAAGTAACAGAGTTGAACCTTTCTTTTTACAGAGCAGTTTTGAAACACTCTTTTTGTAGAATCTGCGAGGGGATATTTGGAGAGATTTCAGGATTTCGTTGGAAACGGGAATATCTTCATATAAAATCTCGACAGAAGCATTCTCAGAAACTTCTTTGTGATATGTGCATTCAAGTCACAGAGTTGAATATTCCCTTTCACAGAGTAGGTTTGAAACACTCTCTTTGTAGTATCTGGAAGTGGACATTTGGAGCGCCTTGACGCCTACGGTGAAAAGGGAAATATCTTCCCATAATAACTAGACAGAAGCAATCTCAGAATCTTCTTTGGGATATATGCACGCAGCTAACAGAGTTGAACCTTTCTATTGACAGAGCAGTTTTGAAACAGTCTTTCTGTGGAATCTGCAAGTGGACATTTGGATAGCTTGGAGGATTTCGTTGGAAACGGGATTACGTATAAAAAGTAGACAGCAGCATCCTCAGAAACTTCTTTGTGATGTGTGCATTCAAGTCACAGAGTTGAACATTCCCTTTCGTACAGCAGTTTTGAAACACTCTTTCTGTAGTATCTGGAAGTGAACACTAAGACAGCTTTCAGCTCTATGGTGAGAAAGGAAATATCTTCAAATAAAAACTAGACAGAAGCATTCTCATAAACTTGTTTGTGATGTGTGAACTCAGCTAACGGACGTGGATCTTTCTTTTGATACAGCAGTTTTGAAAAACACTTTTTGTTGAATCTGCAAGTGGACATTTGGATAGATTTGAAGATTTCGTTGGAAACGGGAATATCTTCATATCAAGTCCAGACAGAAGCATTCTCAGAAACGTCTTTGTGATGTTTGCATTCAACTCATAGATTTGAACATTCCGTTTCAGAGAGCAGCTGTGAAGCACTCTTTTTGTAGTATGTGCAAGGGGATATTTGGAGCGCTCTGAGGCCTACGGTGAAAAAGCAAATATCTTCCCATAACCACTAGACAGAACATTCTCAGAAACTCCTTTATGACGTATGCACTCACCTAACAGAGAAGAACCTTCCTTTTGACAGAGCAGTTTTGATACACTCTTTTTGTAGAATCTGCAAGTGGATATTTGGATAGCTGTGAAGATTTCGTTGGAAACGGGAATATCTTCCTATAAAATCTAGACAGAAGCATTCTCAGAAACTGCTCTGTGATGTCTGCATTCAAGTCACAGAGTTGAACATTGCCTTTCATAGAGCAGGTTTCAAACGCTCTTTTTGTAGTATATGGAAGTGGACGTTTCGGACGGTTTGAGGCCCATGGTGATGAAGGAAATATCTTCCCCTACAAGCTAGAAAGAAGCATTGTGTGAAACTTGTTTGTGATGTGTGTACTCAACTAACAGAGTTGAACCTTTCTTTTTACACAGCAGTTTTGAAACACTCTTTTTGTAGAATCTGCGAGGGGATATTTGGATAGATTTCAGGATTTCGTTGGAAACGGGAATATCTTCATATAAAATCTCGACAGAAGCATTCTCAGGAAACTTCTTTGTGATATGTGCATTCAAGTCACAGAGTTGAATATTCCCTTTCACAGAGTAGGTTTGAAACACTCTTTTTGTAGTATCTGGAAGTGGACATTTGGAGCGCCTTGACACCTACGGTGAAAAGGGAAATATCTTCCCATCAAAACTAGACAGAAGCAATCTCAGAATTTTCTTTGGGATATATGTACGCAGCTAATAGAGTTGAACCTTTCTATTGACAGAGCAGTTTTGAAACAGTCTTTCTGTGGAATCTGCAAGTGGATATTTGGATAGCTTGGAGGATTTCGTTGGAAACGGGATTACGTATAAAAAGTAGACAGCAGCATCCTCAGAAACATCCTTGTGATGTGTGCATTCAAGTCACAGAGTTGAACATTCCCTTTCGTACAGCAGTTTTGAAACACTCTTTCTGTAGTATCTGGAAGTGAACATTAGGACAGCTTTCAGGTCTATGGTGAGAAAGGAAATATCTTCAAATAAAAACTAGACGGAAGCATTCTCATAAACTTGTTTGTGATGTGTGAACTCAGCTAACAGAGGTTGGATCTTTCTTTTGATAGAGCAGTTCTGAAAAACACTTTTTGTTGAATCTGCAAGTGGACATTTGGATAGATTTGAAGATTTCGTTGGAAACGGGAATATCTTCATATCAAATCTAGACAGAAGCATTCTCAGAAACGTCTTTGTGATGATTGCATTCAACTCATAGAGTTGAACATTCCGTTTCAGAGAGCAGCTTTGAAGCACTCTTTTTGTAGTATGTGCAAGTGGATATTTGGAGTGCTCTGGGGCTTACGGTGAAAAAGCAAATATCTTCCCATAACCACTAGACAGAAACATTCTCAGAAACTCCTTTATGACGTATGCACTCACCTAACAGAGAAGAACCTTCTTTTTGACAGAGCAGTTTTGATACACTCTTTTTGTAGAATCTGCAAGTGGATATTTGGATAGCTGTGAAGATTTCTTTGGAAACGGGAATATCTTCCTATAAAGTATAGACAGAAAGCATTCTCAGAAACTGCTCTGTGATGTCTGCATTCAAGTCACAGAGTTGAACATTGCCTTTCATAGAGCAGGTTTGAAATGCTCTTTTTGTAGTATATGGAAGTGGACGTTTCAGACGGTTTGAGGCCCATGGTGATAAAGGGAATATCTTCCCCTACAAGCTAGAAAGAGCATTCTGTGAAACTTGTTTGTGATGTGTGTACTCAACTAACAGAGTTGAACCTTTCTTTTTACAGAGCGGTTTTGAAACACTCTTTTTGTAGAATCTGCGAGGGGATATTTCGATAGATTTCAGGATTTCGTTGGAAACGGGAATATCTTCATATAAAATCTCGACAGAAGCATTCTCAGAAACTTCTTTGTGATATCTGCCTTCAAGTCACAGAGTTGAATATTCCCTTTCACAGAGTAGGTTTGAAACACTCTTTTTGTAGTATCTGGAAGTGGACATTTGGAGCGCCTTGACGCCTATGGTGAAAAGGGAAATATCTTCCCATAAAAACTAGACAGAAGCAATCTCAGAATCTTCTTTGGGATATATGCACGCAACTAACAGAGTTGAACCTTTCTATTGACAGAGCAGTTTTGAAACAGTCTTTCTGTGGAATCTGCAAGTGGATATTTGGATAGCTTGGAGGATTTCGTTGGAAACGGGATTACGTATAAAAAGTAGACAGCAGCATCCTCAGAAACTTCTTTGTGATGTGTGCATTCAAGTCACAGAGTTGAACATTCCCTTTCATACAGCAGTTTCGAAACACTCTTTCTGTAGTATCTGGAAGTGAACTTTAGGAGAGCTTTCAGGTCTATAGTGAGAAAGGTTATATCTTCAAATAAAAACTAGACAGAAGCATTCTCATCAACTTGTTTGTGATGTGTGAACTCAGCTAACAGAGGTGGATCTTTCTTTTGATAGAGCAGTTCTGAAAAACACGTTTTGTTGAATCTGCAAGTGGACATTTGGATAGATTTGAAGATTTCGTTGGAAACGGGAATATCTTCATATCAAATCTAGACAGAAGCATTCTCAGAAACGTCTTTGTGATGTTTGCATTCAACTCATAGAGTTGAACATTCCGTTTCAGAGAGCAGCTTTGAAGCACTCTTTTTGTAGTATGTGCAAGAGGATATTTGGAGCGCTCTGAGGCCTACGGTGAAAAAGCAAATATCTTCCCATAACCACTAGACAGAAACATTCTCAGAAACTCCTTTATGACGTATGCACTCACCTAACAGAGAAGAACCTTCCTTTTGACAGAGCAGTTTTGATGCACTCTTTTTGTAGAATCTGCAAGTGGATATTTGGATAGCTGTGAAGATTTCGTTGGAAACGGGAATATCTTCCTATAAAATCTAGACAGAAGCATTCTCAGAAACTGCTCTGTGATGTCTGCATTCAAGTCACAGAGTTGAACATTGCCTTTCATAGAGCAGGTTTGAAATGCTCTTTTTGTAGTATATGGAAGTGGACGTTTCAGTCGGTTTGAGGCCCATGGTGATAAAGGGAATATCGTCCCCTACAAGCTAGAAAGAAGCATTCTGTGAAACTTGTTTGTGATGTGTGTACTCAACTAACAGAGTTGAACCTTTCTTTTTACAGAGCAGTTTTGAAACTCTCTTTTTGTAGAATCTGCGAGGGGATATTTGGATAGATTTCAGGATTTCGTTGGAAACGGGAATATCTTCATATAAAATCTCGACAGAAGCATTCTCAGAAACTTCTTTGTGATAGGTGCATTCAAGTCACAGAGTTGAATATTCCCTTTCACAGAGTAGGTTTGAAACACTCTTTTTGTAGTATCTGGAAGTGGACATTTGGAGCGCCTTGACGCCTACGGTGAAAAGGGAAATATCTTCCCATAAAAACTAGACAGAAGCAATCTCAGAATCTTCTTTGGGATATATGCACGCAGCTAACAGAGTTGAACCTTTCTATTGACAGAGCAGTTTTGAAACAGTCTTTCTGTGGAATCTGCAAGTGGATATTTGGAGAGCTTGGAGGATTTCGTTGGAAACGGGATTACGTATAAAAAGTAGACAGCAGCATCCTCCGAAACTTCTTTGTGATGTGTGCATTCAAGTCACAGAGTTGAACATTCCCTTTCGTACAGCAGTTTTGAAACACTCTTTCTGTAGTATCTGGAAGTGAACATTAGGACAGCTTTCAGCTCTATGGTGAGAAAGGAAATATCTTCAAATAAAAACTACACAGAAGCATTCTCATAAACTTGTTTGTGATGTGTGAACACAGCTAACAGAGGTGGATCTTTCTTTTGATAGAGCAGTTCTGAAAAACACTTTTTGTTGAATCTGCTAGTGGACATTTGGATAGATTTGAAGATTTCGTTGGAAACGGGAATATCTTCATATCAAATCTAGACAGAAGCATTCTCAGAAACGTCTTTGTGATGTTTGCATTCAACTCATAGAGTTGAACATTCCGTTTCAGAGAGCAGCTTTGAGGCACTCTTTTTGTAGTATGTGCAAGTGGATATTTGGACCGCTCTGAGGCCTGCGGTGAAAAAGCAAATATCTTCCCATAACCACTAGACAGAAATATTGTCAGAAACTCCTTTATGACGTTTGCACTCACCTAACAGAGAAGAACCTTCCTTTTGACAGAGCAGTTTTGATACACTCTTTTTGTAGAATCTGCAAGTGGATATTTGGATAGCTGTGAAGATTTCGTTGGAAACGGGAATATCTTCCTATAAAATCTAGACAGAAGCATTCTCAGAAACTGCTCTGTGATGTCTGCATTCAAGTCACAGAGTTGAACATTGCCTTTCATAGAGCAGGTTAGAAACGCTCTTTTTGTAGTATATGGAAGTGGATGTTTCGGACGGTTGGAGGCCCATGGTGATAAAGGGAATATCTTCCCCTACAAGCTAGAAAGAAGCATTCTGTGAAACTTCTTTGTGATGTGTGTACTCAACTAACAGAGTTGAACCTTTCTTTTTACAGAGCAGTTTTGAAACACTCTTTTTGTAGAATCTGCGAGGGGATATTTGAATAGATTTCAGGATTTCGTTGGAAACGGGAATATCTTCATAGAAAATCTCGACAGAAGCATTCTCAGAAACTTCTTTGTGATATGTGCATTCAAGTCACAGAGTTGAATATTCCCTTTCACAGAGTAGGTTTGAAACACTCTTTTTGTAGTATCTGGAAGTGGACATTTGGAGCGCCTTGACGCCTACGGTGAAAAGGAAAATATCTTCTCATAAAAAGTAGACAGAAGCAATCTCAGAATCTTCTTTGGAATATATGCATGCAGCTAACAGAGTTGAACATTTCTATTGACAGAGCAGTTTTGAAACAGTCTTTCTGTGGAATCTGCAAGTGGATATTTGGATAGCTTGGAGGATTTCGTTGGAAACGGGATTACGTATAAAAAGTAGACAGCAGCATCCTCAGAAACTTCCTTGTGATGCGTGCATTCAAGTCACAGAGTTGAATATTCCCTTTCGTACAGCAGTTTTGAAACACTCTTTCTGTAGTATCTGGAAGTGAACTTTAGGAGAGCTTTCAGGTCTATAGTGAGAAAGGAAATATCTTCAAATAAAAACTAGACAGAAGCATTCTGATAAACTTGTTTGTGAAGTGTGAACTCAGATAACAGAGTTGGATCTTTCTTTTGATAGAGCATTTCTGAAAAACACTTTTTGTTGAATCTGCAAGTGGACATTTGGATAGATTTGAAGATTTCGTTGGAAACGGGAATATCTTCATATCAAATCTAGACGGAAGCATTCTCAGAAACGTCTTTGTGATGTTTGCATTCAACTCATAGAGTTGAACATTCCGTTTCAGAGAGCAGCTTTGAAGCACTCTTTTTGTAGTATGTGCAAGAGGATATTTGGAGCGCTCTGAGGCCTACGGTGAAAAAGCAAATATCTTCCCATAACCAGTAGACAGAAACATTCTCAGAAACTCCTTTATGACGTGTGCACTCACCTAACAGAGAAGAACCTTCCTTTTGACAGAGCAGTTTTGATACACTCTTTTTGTAGAATCTGCAAGTGGATATTTGGATAGCTGTGAAGATTTCGTTGGAAACGGGAATATCTTCCTATAAAATGTAGACAGAAGCATTCTCAGAACCTGCTCTGTGATGTCTGCATTCAAGTCACAGAGTTGAACATTGCCTTTCCTAGAGCAGGTTTTAACGCTCTTTTTGTAGTATATGGAAGTGGACGTTTCGGACGGTTTGAGGCCCATGGTGATAAAGGGAATATCTTCCCCTACAAGCTAGAAAGAAGCATTCTGTGAAACTTGTTTGTGATGTGTGTACTCAACTAACAGAGTTGAACCTTTCTTTTTACAGAGCAGTTTTGAAACACTCTTTTTGTAGAATCTGCGAGGGGATATTTGGATAGATTTCAGGATTTCGTTCGAAACGGGAATATCTTCATATAAAATCTCGACAGAAGCATTCTCAGAAACTTCTTTGTGATATCTGCATTCAAGTCACAGAGTTGAATATTCCCTTTCACAGAGTAGGTTTGAAACACTCTTTCTGTAGTATCTGGAAGTGGACATTTGGAGCGCCTTGACGCCTATGGTGAAAAGGGAAATATCTTCCCATAAAAACTAGACAGAAGCAATCTCAGAATCTTCTTTGGGATATATGCACGCAGCTAACAGAGTTGAATCTTTCTATTGACAGAGCAGTTTTGAAACAGTCTTTCTGTGTAATCTGCAAGTGGATATTTGGTTAGATTGGAGGATTTCGTTGGAAACGGGATTACGTATAAATAGTAGACAGCAACATCCTCAGAAACTTCTTTGTGATGTGTGCATTCAAGTCACAGAGTTGAACATTCCCTTTCGTACAGCAGTTTTGAAACACTCTTTCTGTAGTATCTGGAAGTGAACATTAGGACAGCTTTCAGGTCTATGGTGAGAAAGGAAATATCTTCAAATAAAAACTAGACAGAAGCATTCTCATAAACTTGTTTGTGATGTCTGAACTCAGCTAACAGAGGTGGATCTTTCTTTTGATAGAGCAGTTCTGAAAAACACTTTTTGTTGAATCTGCAAGTGGACATTTGGATAGATTTGAAGATTTCGTTGGAAACGGGAATATCTTCATATCAAATACTAGACAGAAGCATTCTCAGAAACGTCTTTCTGATGTTTGCATTCAACTCATAGAGTTGAACATTCCGTTTCAGAGAGCAGCTTTGAAGCACTCTTTTTGTAGTATGTGCAAGAGGATATTTGGAGCGCTCTGAGGCCTACGGTGAAAAAGCAAATATCTTCCCATAACCACTAGACAGAAGCATTCTCAGAAACTTCTTTATGACGTATGTACTCAACTAGCAGAGAAGAACTTTCCTTTTGACAGAGCATTTTTGATACACTCTTTTTGTACTATCTGCAAGTGGATATTTGGATAGCTGTGAAGATTTCGTTGGAAACGGGAATATCTTCCTATAAAGTCTGGACAGAAGCATTCTCAGAAACTGCTCTGTGATGTCTGCATTCAAGTCACAGAGTTGAACATTGCCTTTCATAGAGCAGGTTTCAAACACTCTTTTTTTAGTATATGGAAGTGGACGTTTCGGACGGTTTGAGAACCATGGTGATAAAGGAAATATCTTCCCCTACAAGCTAGAAAGAAGCATTCTGTGAAACTTGTTTGTGATGTGTGTACTCAACTAACAGAATTGAACCTTTCTTTTTACAGAGCAGTTTTGAAACACTCTTTTTGTAGAATCTGCGAGGGGATATTTGGATAGATTTCAGGATTTCGTTGGAAACGGGAATATCTTCATATAAAATCTCGACAGAAGCATTCTCAGAAACTTCTTTGTGATATGTGCATTCAAGTCACAGAGTTGAATATTCCCTTTCACAGAGTAGGTTTGAAACACTCTTTTTGTAGTATCTGGAAGTGGACATTTGGAGCGCCTTGACACCTACGGTGTAAAGGGAAATATCTTCCCATAAAAACTAGACAGAAGCAATCTCAGAATCTTCTTTGGGATATATGTACGCAGCTAATAGAGTTGAACCTTTCTATTGACAGAGCAGTTTTGAAACAGTCTTTCTGTGGAATCTGCAAGTGGATATTTGGATAGCTTGGAGGATTTCGTTGGAAACGGGATTACGTATAAAAAGTAGACGGCAGCATCCTCAGAAACTTCTTTGTGATGTGTGCATTCAAGTCACAGAGTTGAACATTCCCTTTCGTACAGCAGTTTTGAAACACTCTTTCTGTAGTATCTGGAAGTGAACATTAGGACAGTTTTCAGGTCTATGGTGAGAAAGGAAATATCTTCAAATAAAAACTAGACAGAAGCATTCTCATAAAATTGTTTGTGATATGTGAACTCAGCTAACAGACGTGGATCTTTCTTTTGATACAGCAGTTTTGAAAAACACTTTTTGTTGAATCTGCAAGTGGACATTTGGATAGATTTGAAGATTTCGTTGGAAACGGGAATATCTTCATATCAAATCTAGATAGAAGCATTCTCAGAAACGTCTTTGTGATGTTTGCATTCAACTCATAGAGTTGAACATTCCGTTTCAGAGAGCAGCTTTGAGGCACTCTTTTTGTAGTATGTGCAAGTGGATATTTGGAGCGCTCTGAGGCCTACGGTGAAAAAGCAAATATCTTCCCATAACAACTAGACAGAAACATTCTCAGAAACTCCTTTATGACGTATGCACTCACCTAACAGAGAAGAACCTTCCTTTTGACAGAGCAGTTTTGATACACTCTTTTTGTAGAATCTGCAAGTGGATATTTGGATAGCTGTGAAGATTTCGCTGGAAACGGGAATATCTTCCTATAAAATCTAGACAGAAGCATTCTCAGAAACTGCTCTGTGATGTCTGCATTCAAGTCACAGAGTTGAACATTGCCTTTGATAGAGCAGGTTTGAAACGCTCTTTTTGTAGTATATGGAAGTGGACGTTTCGGACGGTTTGAGGCCCATGGTGATAAAGGGAATATCTTCCCCTACAAGCTAGAAAGAAGAATTCTGTGAAACTTGTTTGTGATGTGTGTACTCAACTAACAGAGTTGAACCTTTCTTTTTACAGAGCAGTTTTGAAACACTCTTTTTGTAGAATCTGCGAGGGGATATTTGGATAGATTTCAGGATTTCGTTGGAAAGGGGAATATCTTCATATAAAATCTCGACAGAAGCATTCTCAGAAACTTCTTTGTGATATCTGCCTTTAAGTCACAGAGTTGAATATTCCCTTTCACAGAGTAGGTTTGAAACACTCTTTTTGTAGTATCTGGAAGTGGACATTTGGAGCGCCTTGACACCTACGGTGAAAAGGGTAATATCTTCCCATAAAAACTAGACAGAAGCAATCTCAGAATCCTCTTTGGGATATATGCACGCAGCTAACAGAGTTGAACCTTTCTATTGACAGAGCAGTTTTGAAACAGTCTTTCTGTGGTATCTGCAAGTGGATATTTGGATAGCTTGGAGGATTTTGTTGGAAACGGGATTACGTATAAAAAGTAGACAGCAGCATCCTCAGAAACTTCTTTGTGATGTGTACATTGGAGTCACAGAGTTGAACATTCCCTTTCGTACAGCAGTTTTGAAACACTCTTTCTGTAGTATCTGGAAGTGAACATTAGGACAGCTTTCAGGTCTATGGTGAGAAAGGAAATATCCTCAAGTAAAAACTAGACAGAAGCATTCTCATAAACTTGTTTGTGATGTGTGAACTCAGCTAACAGAGGTGGATCTTTCTTTTGATAGAGCAGTTCTGAAAAACACTTTTTGTTGAATCTGGAAGTGGATATTTGGATAGATTTGAAGATTTCGTTGGAAACGGGAATATCTTCATATCAAATCTAGACAGAAGCATTCTCAGAAACGTCTTTGTGATGTTTGCATTCAACTCATAGAGTTGAGCATTCACTTTCAGAGAGCAGCTTTGAAGCACTCTTTTTGTAGTATGTGCAAGTGGATATTTGGAGCGCTGTGAGGCCTACGGTGAAAAAGCAAATATCTTCCCATAACCACTAGACAGAAACATTCTCAGAAACTCCTTTATGACGTATGTACTCAACTAAGAGAGAAGAACCTTCCTTTTCACAGAGCAGTTTTGATACACTCTTTTTGTAGAATCTGCAAGTGGATATTTGGATAGCTGTGAAGATTTCGTTGGAAACGGGAATATCTTCCTATAAAATCTAGACAGAAGCATTCTCAGAAACTACTCTGTGATGTCTGCATTCAAGTCACAGAGTTGAACATTGCCTTTCCTAGAGCAGGTTTGAAACGCTCTTTTTGTAGTATATGGAAGTGGACGTTTCGGATGGTTTGAGGCCCATGGTGATAAAGGGAATATCTTCCCCTACAAGCTAGAAAGAAGCATTCTGTGAAACTTGTTTGTGATGTGTGTACTCAACTAACAGAGTTGAACCTTACTTTTTACAGAGCAGTTTTGAAACACTCTTTTTGTAGAATCTGCGAGGGGATATTTGGATAGATTTCAGGATTTCGTTCGAAACGGGAATATCTTCATATAAAATCTCGACAGAAGCATTCTCAGAAACTTCTTTGTGATATGTGCATTCAAGTCACAGAGTTGAATATTCCCTTTCACAGAGTAGGTTTGAAACACTCTTTTTGTAGTATTTGGAAGTGGACATTTGGAGCGCCTTGACGCCTACGGTGAAAAGGGAAATATCTTCCATAAAAACTAGACAGAAAGCAATCTCAGAATCTTCTTTGGGATATATGCATGCAGCTAACAGAGTTGAACCTTTCTATTGACAGAGCAGTTTTGAAACAGTCTTTCTGTGGAATCTGCAAGTGGATATTTGGATAGCTTGGAGGATTTCGTTGGAAACGGGATTACGTATAAAAAGTAGACAGAGCATTCTCAGAAACTGCTCTGTGATGTCTGCATTCAAGTCACAGAGTTGAACATTCCCTTTCGTACAGCAGTTTTGAAACACTCTTTCTGTAGTATCTGGAAGTGAACTTTAGGAGAGCTTTCAGGTCTATAGTGAGAAAGGATATATCTTCAAATAAAAACTAGACAGAAGCATTCTGATAAACTTGTTTGTGAAGTGTGATCTCAGCTAACAGAGGTGGATCTTTCTTTTGATAGAGCAGTTCTGAAAAACACTTTGTTGAATCTGCAAGTGGACATTTGGATAGATTTGAAGATTTCGTTGGAAACGGGAATATCGTCATAAATCTAGACAGAAACATTCTCAGAAACGTCTTTGTGATGTTTGCATTCAACTCATAGAGTTGAACATTCCCTTTCAGAGAGCAGCTTTGAAGCACTCTTTTTGTAGCATGTGCAAGTGGACATTTGGAGCGCCCTGAGGCCTACGGGGAAAAAGCAAATATCTTCCCATAACCACTAGACAGAAACATTCTCAGAAACTCCTTTATGACGTATGCACTCACCTAACAGAGAAGAACCTTCCTTTTGACTGAGCAGTTTGATACACTCTTTTTGTAGAATCTGCAAGTGGATATTTGGATAGCTGTGAAGATTTCGTTGGAAACGGGAATATCTTCCTATAAAATCTAGACAGAAGCATTCTCAGAAACTACTCTGTGATGTCTGCATTCAAGTCACAGAGTTGAACATTGCCTTTCATAGAGCAGGTTTGAAACGCTCTTTTTGTAGTATATGGAAGTGGATGTTTCGGACGGTTGGAGGCCCATGGTGATGAAGGGAATATCTTCCCCTACAAGCTAGAAAGAGCATTCTGTGAAACTTGTTTGTGATGTGTGTACTCAACTAACAGAGTTGAACCTTTCTTTTTACAGAGCAGTTTTGAAACACTCTTTTTGTAGAATCTGCGAGGGGATATTTGGATAGATTTCAGGATTTCGTTGGAAACGGGAATATCTTCATATAAAATCTCGACAGAAGCATTCTCAGAAACTTCTTTGTGATATCTGCATTCAAGTCACAGAGTTGAATATTCCCTTTCACAGAGTAGGTTTGAAACACTCTTTTTGTAGTATCTGGAAGTGGACATTTGGAGCGCCTTGACGCCTACAGTGAAAAGGGAAATATCTTCCCATAAAAACTAGACAGAAGCAATCTCAGAATCTTCTTTGGGATATATGCACGCAGCTAACAGAGTTGAACCTTTCTATTGACAGAGCAGTTTTGAAACAGTCTTTCTGTGGAATCTGCAAGTGGATATTTGGATAGCTTTGAGGATTTCGTTGGAAACGGGATTACGTATCAAAAGTAGACAGCAGCATCCTCAGAAAACTTCTTTGTGATGTGTGCATTCAAGTCACAGAGTTGAACATTCCCTTTCGTACAGCAGTTTTGAAACACTCTTTCTGTAGTATCTGGAAGTGAACATTAGGACAGCTTTCAGCTCTATGGTGAGAAAGGAAATATCTTCAAATAAAAACTAGACAGAAGCATTCTCATAAACTTGTTTCTGATGTGTGAACTCAGCTAACAGAGGTGGATCTTTCTTTTGATAGAGCAGTTCTGAAAAACACTTTTTGTTGAATCTGCAAGTGGACATTTGGATAGATTTGAAGATTTTCTTTGGAAACGGGAATATCTTCATATCAAATCTAGACAGAAGCATTCTCAGAAACGTCTTTGTGATGTTTGCATTCAACTCATAGAGTTGAACATTCCGTTTCAGAGACCAGCTTTGAAGCACTCTTTTTGTAGTATGTGCAAGTGGATATTTGGAGCGCTCTGAGGCCTACGGTGAAAAAGCAAATATCTTCCCATAACGACTAGACAGAAACATTCTCAGAAACTGCTTTATGACGTATGCACTCACCTAACAGAGAAGAACCTTCCTTTTGACAGAGCAGTTTTGATACACTCCTTTTGTAGAATCTGCAAGTGGATATTTGGATAGCTGTGAAGATTTCGTTGGAAACGGGAATATCTTCCTATAAAATCTAGACAGAAGCATTCTCAGAAACAGCTCTGTGATGTCTGCATTCAAGTCACAGAGTTGAACATTGCCTTTCATAGAGCAGGTTTGAAACGCTCTTTTTGTAGTGTATGGAAGTGGACGTTTCGGACGGTTTGAGACCCATGGTGATAAAGGGAATATATTCCCCTACAAGCTAGAAAGAAGCATTCTGTGAAACTTGTTTGTGATGTGTGTACTCAACTAACAGAGTTGAACCTTTCTTTTTACAGAGCAGTTTTGAAACACTCTTTTTGTAGAATCTGCGAGGGGATATTTCGATAGATTTCAGGATTTCGTTGGAAACGGGAATATCTTCATATAAAATCTCGACAGAAGCATTCTCAGAAACTTCTTTGTGATATGTGCATTCAAGTCACAGAGTTGAATATTCCCTTTCACAGAGTAGGTTTGAAACACTCTTTTTGTAGTATCTGGAAGTGGACATTTGGAGCGCCTTGACACCTACGGTGAAAAGGGAAATATCTTCCCATAAAAACTAGAGAGAAGCAATCTCAGAATCGTCTTTGGGATATATGCACGCAGCTAACAGAGTTGAACCTTTCTATTGAGAGAGCACTTTTGAAACAGTCTTTCTGTGGAATCTGCAAGTGGATATTTGGATAGCTTGGAGGATTTCGTTGGAAACGGGATTACGTATAAAAAGTAGACAGCAGCATCCTCAGAAACTTCTTTGTGATGTGTGCATTCAAGTCACAGAGTTGAACATTCCCTTTCGTACTGCAGTTTTGAAACACTCTTTCTGTAGTATCTGGAAGTGAACATTAGGACAGCTTTCAGGTCTATGGTGAGAAAGGAAATATCTTCAAATAAAAACTAGACAGAAGCATTCTCATCAACTTGTTTGTGATGTGTGAACTCAGCTAACAGAGGTGGATCTTTCTTTTGATAGAGCAGTTCTGAAAAACACTTTTTGTTGAATCTGCAAGTGGACATTTGGATAGATTTGAAGATTTCGTTGGAAACGGGAATATCTTCATATCAAATCTAGACAGAAGCATTCTCAGAAACGTCTTTGTGATGTTTGCATTCAACCCATAGAGTTGAACATTCCGTTTCAGAGAGCAGCTTTGAAGCACTCTTTTTGTAGTATGTGCAAGTGGATATTTGGAGCGCTCTGAGGCCTAAGGTGAAAAAGCAAATATCTTCCCATAACCACTAGACAGAAACATTCTCAGAAACTCCTTTATGACGTATGTACTCAACTAACAGAGAAGAACCTTCCTTTTGACAGAGCAGTTTTGATACACTCTTTTTGTAGAATCTGCAAGTGGATATTTGGATAGCTGTGAAGATTTCGTTGGAAACGGGAATATCTTCCTATAAAATCCAGACAGAAGCATTCTCAGAAACTGCTCTGTGATGTCTGCATTCAAGTCACAGAGTTGAACATTGCCTTTCATAGAGTAGGTTTGAAACGCTCTTTTTGTAGTATATGGAAGTAGACTTTTTGGACGGTTTGAGGCCCATGGTGATAAAGGGAATATCTTCCCCTACAAGCTAGAAAGAAGCATTCTGTGAAACTTGTTTGTGATGTGTGTACTCAACTAACAGAGTTGAACCATTCTTTTTACAGAGCAGTTTTGAAACACTCTTTTTGTAGAATCTGCGAGGGGATATTTGGATAGATTTCAGGATTTTGTTGGAAACGGGAATATCTTCATATAAAATCTCGACAGAAGCATTCTCAGAAACTTCTTTGTGATATGTGCATTCAAGTCACAGAGTTGAATATTCCCTTCCACAGAGTAGGTTTGAAACACTCTTTTTGTAGTATCTGGAAGTGGACATTTGGAGCGCCTTGACGCCTACGGTGAAAAGGGAAATATCTTCCCATAAAAACTAGACAGAAGCAATCTCAGAATCTTCTTTGGGATATATGCATGCAGCTAACAGAGTTGAACCTTTCTATTGACAGAGCAGTTTTGAAACAGTCTTTCTGTGGAATCTGCAAGTGGATATTTGGATAGCTTGGAGGATTTCGTTGGAAACGGGTTTACGTATAAAAAGTAGACAGCAGCATCCTCAGAAACTTCCTTGTGATGTGTGCATTCAAGTCACAGAGTTGCACATTCCCTTTCGTACAGCAGTTTTGAAACACTCTTTCTGTAGTATCTGGAAGTGAACATTAGGACAGCTTTCAGGTCTATGGTGAGAAAGGAAATATCTTCAAATAAAAACTAGACAGAAGCATTCTCATAAACTTGTTTGTGATGTGTGAACTCAGCTAACAGAGGCGGATCTTTCTGTTGATAGAGCAGTTCGGAAAAACACTTTTTGTTGAATCTGCAAGTGGACATTTGGATAGATTTGAAGATTTCGTTGGAAACGGGAATATCTTCACATCAAATCTAGACAGAAGCATTCTCAGAAACGTCTTTGTGATGTTTGCATTCAACTCATAGAGTTGAACATTCCGTTTCAGAGAGCAGCTTTGAAGCACTCTTTTTGTAGTATGTGCAAGTGGATATTTGGAGCGCTCTGAGGTCTACGGTGAAAAAGCAAATATCTTCCCATAACCACTAGACAGAAACATTCTCAGAAACTCCTTTATGACGTATGTACTCAACTAACAGAGAAGAACCTTCCTTTTGACAGAGCAGTTTTGATACACTCTTTTTGTAGAATCTGCAAGTGGATATTGGGATAGCTGTGAAGATTTCGTTGGAAACGGTAATATCTTCCTATAAAATCTAGACAGAAGCATTCTCAGAAACTGCTCTGTGATGTCTGCATTCAAGTCACAGAGTTGAACATTGCCTTTCATGGAGCAGGTTTGAAACGCTCTTTTTGTAGTATATGGAAATGGACGTTTCGGACGGTTTGAGGCCCATGGTGATAAAGGGAATATCTTCCCCTACAAGCTAGAAAGAAGCATTCTGTGAAACTTGTTTGTGATGTGTGTACTCAACTAACAGAGTTGAACCTTTCTTTTTACAGAGCAGTTTTGAAACACTCTTTTTGTAGAATCTGCGAGGGGATATTTGGATAGATTTCAGGATTTCGTTGGAAACGGGAATATCTTCACATAAAATCTCGACAGAAGCATTCTCAGAAACTTCTTTGTGATATGTGCATTCAAGTCACAGAGTTGAATATTCCCTTTCATAGAGTAGGTTTGAAACACTCTTTTTGTAGTATCTGGAAGTGGACATTTTGAGCGCCTTGACGCCTACGGTGAAAAGGGAAATATCTTCCCATAAAAACTAGACAGAAGCAATCTCAGCAATCTTCTTTGGGATATATGCACGCAGCTAACAGAGTTGAACCTTTCTATTGACAGAGCAGTTTTGAAACAGTCTTTCTGTGGAATCTGCAAGTGGATATTTGGATAGCTTGGAGGATTTCGTTGGAAACGGGATTACGTATAAAAAGTAGACAGCAGCATCCTCAGAAACTTCTTTGTGATGTGTGCATTCAAGTCACAGAGTTGAACATTCCCTTTCGTACAGCAGTTTTGAAACACTCTTTCTGTAGTATCTGCAAGTGAACATTAGGACAGTTTTCAGGTCTATGGTGAGAAAGGAAATATCTTCAAATAAAAACTAGACAGAAGCATTCTCATAAACTTGTTTGTGATGTGTGAACTCAGCTAACAGAGGTGGATCTTTCTTTTGATAGAGCAGTTCTGAAAAACACGTTTTGTTGAATCTGCAAGTGGACATTTGGATAGATTTGAAGATGTCGTTGGAAACGGGAATATCTTCATATCAAATCTAGACAGAAGCATTCTCAGAAACGTCTTTGTGATGTTTGCATTCAACTCATAGAGTTGAACATTCCGTTTCAGAGAGCAGCTTTGAAGCACTCTTTTTGTAGTATGTGCAAGTGGATATTTGGAGCGCTCTGAGGCCTACGGTGAAAAAGCAAATATCTTGCCCATAACCACTAGACAGAAACATTCTCAAAAACTCCTTTATGACGTATGCACTCACCTAACAGAAAAGAACCTTCCTTTTGACAGAGCAGTTTTGATACACTCTTTTTGTAGAATCTGCAAGTGGATATTTGGATAGCTGTGAAGATTTCGTTGGAAACGGGAATATCTTCCTATAAAATCTAGACAGAAGCATTCTCAGAAACTGCTCTGTGATGTCTGCATTCAAGTCACAGAGTTGAACATTGCCTTTCATGGAGCAGATTTGAAACGCTCTTTTTGTAGTATATGGAAGTAGACGTTTCGGACGGTTTCAGGCCCATGGTGATAAAGGGAATATCTTCCCCTACAAGCTAGAAAGAAGCATTACTGTGAAACTTGTTTGTGATGTGTGTACTCAACTAACAGAGTTGAACCTTTCTTTTTACAGAGCAGTTTTGAAACACTCTTTTTGTAGAATCTGCGAGGGGATATTTGGATACATTTCAGCATTTCGTTGGAAACGGGAATATCTTCATATAAAATCTCGACAGAAGCATTCTCAGAAACTTCCTTGTGATATGTGCATTCAGGTCACAGAGTTGAATATTCCCTTTCACAGAGTAGGTTTGAAACACTCTTTTTGTAGTATCTGGAAGTGGACATTTGGAGCGCCTTGACACCTACGGTGAAAAGGGAAATATCTTCCAATAAAAACTAGACAGAAAGGAATCTCAGAATCTTCTTTGGGATATATGCACGCAGCTAACAGATTTGAACCTTTCTATTGACAGAGCAGTTTTGAAACAGTCTTTCTGTGGAATCTGCAAGTGGATATTTGGATAGCTTGGAGGATTTCGTTGGAAACGGGATTACGTATAAAAAGTAGACAGCAGCATCCTCAGAAACATCCTTGTGATGTGTGCATTCAAGTCACAGAGTTGAACATTCCCTTTCGTACAGCAGTTTTGAAACACTCTTTCTTTGTATCTGGAAGTGAACTTTAGGACAGCTTTCAGGTCTATAGTGAGAAAGGATATATCTTCAAATAAAAACTAGACAGAAACATTTTCATAAACTTGTTTGTGATGTGTGAACTCAGCTAACAGAGGTGGATCTTTCTTTTGATAGAGCACTTCTGAAAAACACTTTTTGTTGAATCTGCAAGTGGACATTTGGATAGATTTGAAGATTTCGTTGGAAACGGGAATATCTTCATATCAAATCTAGACAGAAGCATTCTCAGAAACGTCTTTGCGATGTTTGCATTCAACTCATAGAGTTGAACATTCCGTTTCAGAGAGCAGCTTTGAAGCACTCTTTTTGTAGCATGTGCAAGTGGACATTTGGAGCGCCCTGAGGCCTACGGGGAAAAAGCAAATATCTTCCCATAACCACTAGACAGAAACATTCTCAGAAAGTTCTTTATGACGTATGTACTCAACTAGCAGAGAAGAACTTTCCTTTTGACAGAGCATTTCTGATACACTCTTTTTGTACTATCTGCAAGTGGATATTTGGATAGCTGTGAAGATTTCGTTGGAAACGGGAATATCTTCCTATAAAGTCTGGACAGAAGCATTCTCAGAAACTGCTCTGTGATGTCTGCATTCAAGTCACAGAGTTGAACATTGCCTTTCATAGAGCAGGTTTGAAACGCTCTTTTTGTAGTATATGGAAGTGGATGTTTCGGACGGTTGGAGGCCCATGGTGATAAAGGGAATATCTTCCCTACAAGCTAGAAAGAAGCATTCTGTGAAACTTGTTTGTGATGTGTGTAGTCAAGTAACAGAGTTGAACCTTTCTTTTTACAGAGCAGTTTTGAAACACTCTTTTTGTAGAATCTGCGAGGGGATATTTGGATAGATTTCAGGATTTCGTTGGAAACGGGAATATCTTCATATAAAATCTCGACAGAAGCATTCTCAGAAACTTCTTTGTGATATGTGCATTCAAGTCACAGAGTTGAATATTCCCTTTCACAGAGTAGGTTGGAAACACTCTTTTTGTAGTATCTGGAAGTGGACATTTGGAGCGCCTTGACACCTACGGTGAAAAGGGAAATATCTTCCCATTAAAAACTAGACAGAAGCAATCTCAGAATCTTCTTTGGGATATATGCACGCAGCTAACAGAGTTGTACCTTTCTATTGACAGAGCACTTTTGAAACAGTCTTTCTGTGGAATCTGCAAGTGGATATTTGGATAGCTTGGAGGATTTCGTTGGAAACGGGATTACATATAAAAAGTAGACAGCAGCATCCTCAGGTAACTTCTTTGTGATGTGTGCATTCAAGTCACAGTGTTGAACATTCCCTTCCGTACAGCAGTTTTGAAACACTCTTTCTGTAGTATCTGGAAGTGAACATTAGGACAGCTTTCAGGTTTATGGTGAGAAAGGAAATATCTTCAAATAAAAACTAGACAGAAGCATTCTCATAAACTTGTTTGTGATGTGTGAACTCAGCTAACACACGTGGATCTTTCTTTTGATAGAGCAGTTCTGAAAAACACTTTTGTTGAATCTGCAAGTGGACATTTGGATAGATTTGAAGATTTCGTTGGAAACGGGAATATCTTCATATCAAATCTAGACAGAAAGCATTCTCGGAAACGTCTTTGTCATGTTTGCATTCAACTCATAGAGTTGAACATTCCGTTTCAGAGAGCAGCTTTGAAGCACTCTTTTTGTAGTATGTGCAAGGGGATATTTGGAGCGCTCTGAGGCCTAAGGTGAAAAAGCAAATATCTTCCCATAACCACTAAACAGGAAACATTCTCCGAAACTTCTTTATGACGTATGTACTCAACTAGCAGAGAAGAACTTTCCTTTTGACAGAGCATTTTCGATACACTCTTTTTGTACTATCTGCAAGTGGATATTTGGATAGCTGTGAAGATTTCGTTGGAAACGGGAATATCTTCCTATAAAGTCTGGACAGAAGCATACTCAGAAACTGCTCTGCGATGTCTGCATTCAAGTCACAGAGTTGAACATTGCCTTTCCTAGAGCAGGTTTGAAATGCTCTTTTTGTAGTATATGGAAGTGGACGTTTCGGACGGTTTGAGGCCCATGGTGATAAAGGGAATATCTTCCCCTACAAGCCAGAAAGAAGGATTCTGTGAAACTTGTTTGTGATGTGTGTACTCAACTAACAGAGTTGAACCTTTCTTTTTACAGAGCAGTTTTGAAACACTCTTTTTGTAGAATCTGCGAGGGGATATTTGGATAGATTTCAGGATTTCGTTGGAAACGGGAATATCTTCATATAAAATCTCGACAGAAGCATTCTCAGAAACTACTTTGTGATATGTGCATTCAAGTCACAGAGTTGAATATTCCCTTTCACAGAGTAGGTTTGAAACACTCTTTTTGTAGTATCTGGAAGTGGACATTTGGAGCGCCTCGACGCCTACGGTGAAAAGGGAAATATCTTCCCATAAAAACTAGACAGAAGCAATCTCAGAATCTTCTTTGGCATATATGCACGCAGCTAACAGAGTTGAACCTTTCTATTGACAGAGCAGTTTTGAAACAGTCTTTCTGTGGAATCTGCAAGTGGATATTTGGATAGCTTGGAGGATTTCGTTGGAAACGGGATTACGTATAAAAAGTAGACAGCAGCATCCTCAGAAACATCCTTGTGATGTGTGCATTCAAGTCACAGAGTTGAACATTCCCTTTCGTACAGCAGTTTTGAAACACTCTTTCTGTAGTATCTGGAAGTGAACTTTAGGAAAGCTTTCAGGTCTATAGTGAGAAAGGATATATCTTCAAATAAAAACTAGACAGAAGAATACTGATAAACTTGTTTGTGAAGTGTGAACTCAGCTAACAGTGGTGGATCTTTCTTTTGATAGAGCAGTTTTGAAAAACACTTTGTTGAATCTGCAAGTGGACATTTGGATAGATTTGAAGATTTCGTTGGAAACGGGAATATCTTCATATCAAATCTAGACAGAAGCATTCTCAGAAACGTCTTTGTGATGGTTGCATTCAACTCATAGAGTTGAACATTCCGTTTCAGAGAGCAGCTTTGAAGCACTCTTTTTGTAGTATGTTCAAGTGGATATTTGGAGCGCTCTGAGGCCTACGGTGAAAAAGCAAATATCTTCCCATAACCACTAGACAGAAACATTCTCAGAAACTCCTTTATGACGTATGCACTCACCTAACAGAGAAGAACCTTCCTTTTGACAGAGCAGTTTTGATACACTCTTTTTGTAGAATCTGCAAGTGGATATTTGGATAGCTGTGAAGATTTCGTTGGAAACGGGAATATCTTCCTATAAAAACTAGACAGAAGCATTCTCAGAAACTGCTCTGTGATGTCTGCATTCAAGTCACAGAGCTGAACATTGCCTTTCATAGAGCAGGTTTGAAACGCTCTTTTTGTAGTATATGGAAGTGGACGTTTCGGACGGTTTGAGGCCCATGGTGATAAAGGGAATATCTTCCCCTACAAGCTAGAAAGAAGCATTCTGTGAAACTTGTTTGTGATGTGTGTACTCAAGTAACAGAGTTGAACCTTTCTTTTTACAGAGCAGTTTTGAAACACTCTTTTTGTAGAATCTGCGAGGGGATATTTGGATAGATTTCAGGATTTCGTTGGAAACGGGAATATCTTCATATAAAATCTCAACAGAAGCATTCTCAGAAACTTCTTTGTGATATCTGCATTCAAGTCACAGAGTTGAATATTCCCTTTCACAGAGTAGGTTTGAAACACTCTTTTTATAGTATCTGGAATTGGACATTTGGAGCGCCTTGACGCCTACGGTGAAAAGGGAAATATCTTCCCATAAAAACTAGACAGAAGCAATCTCAGAATCTTCTTTGGGATATATGCACGCAGCTAACAGAGTTTAACCTTTCTATTGACAGAGCAGTTTTGAAACAGTCTTTCTGTGGAATCTGCAAGTGGATATTTGGATAGCTTGGAGGATTTCGTTGGAAACGGGATTACGTATAAAAAGTAGACAGCAGCATCCTCAGAAACTTCTTTGTGATGTGTGCATTCAAGTCACAGAGTTGAACATTCCCTTTCGTGCAGCAGTTTTGAAACACTCTTTCTGTAGTATCTGGAAGTGAACATTAGGACAGCTTTCAGGTCTATGGTGAGAAAGGAAATATCTTCAAATAAAAACTAGACAGGAGCATTCTCATAAACTTGTTTGTGATGTGTGAACTCAGCTAACAGAGGTGGATCTTTCTTTTGATAGAGCAGTTCGGAAAAACACTTTTTGTTGAATCTGCAAGTGGACATTTGGATAGATTTGAAGATTTCGTTGGAAACGGGAATATCTTCATATCAAATCTAGACAGAAACATTCTCAGAAACGTCTTTGTGATGTTTGCCTTCAACTCATAGAGTTGAACATTCCCTTTCAGAGAGCAGCTTTGAAGCACTCTTTTTGTAGCATGTGCAAGTGGACATTTGGAGCGCCCTGAGGCCTACGGGGAAAAAGCAAATATCTTCCCATAACCACTAGACAGAAACATTCTCAGAAACTGCTTTATGACGTATGCACTCACCTAACAGAGAAGAACCTTCCTTTTGACAGAACAGTTTTGATACACGCTTTTTGTAGAATCTGCAAGTGGATATTTGGATAGCTGCGAAGATTTCGTTGGAATCGGGAATATCTTCCTATAAAATCTAGACAGAAAGCATTCTCAGAAACTGCTCTGTGATGTCTGCATTCAAGTCACAGAGTTGAACATTGCCTTTCATAGAGCAGGTTTGAAACGCTCTTTTTGTAGTATATGGAAGTAGACGTTTCGGACGGTTTCAGGCCCATGGTGATAAAGGGAATATCTTCCCCTACAAGCTAGAAAGAAGCATTCTGTGAAACTTGTTTGTGATGTGTGTACTCAACTAACAGAGTTGAACCTTTCCTTTTACAGAGCAGTTTTGAAACACTCTTTTTGTAGAATCTGCGAGGGGATATTTGGATAGATTTCAGGATTTCGTTGGAAACGGGAATAACTTCATATAAAATCTCGACAGAAGCATTCTCAGAAACTTCTTTGTGATATGTGCATTCAAGTCACAGAGTTGAATATTCCCTTTCACAGAGTAGGTTTGAAACACTCTTTTTGTAGTATCTGGAAGTGGACATTTGGAGCGCCTTGATGCCTACGGTGAAAAGGAAAATATCTTCTCATAAAAAGTAGACAGAAGCAATCTCAGAATCTTCTTTCGGATATATGCACGCAGCTAACAGAGTTGAACCTTTCTATTGACAGAGCAGTTTTGAAACAGTCTTTCTGTGGAATCTGCAAGTGGATATTTGGATAGCTTGGAGGATTTCGTTGGAAACGGGATTACGTATAAAAATTAGACAGCAGCATCCTCAGAAACATCCTTGTGATGTGTGCATTCAAGTCACAGAGTTGAACATTACCTTTCGTACAGCAGTTTTGAAACACTCTTTCTGTAGTATCTGGAAGTGAACTTTAGGAGAGCTTTCAGGTCTATAGTGAGAAAGGATATATCTTCAAATAAAAACTAGACAGAAGCATTCTCATAAACTTGTTTGTGATGTGTGAACTCAGCTAACAGAGGTGGATCTTTCTTTTGATAGAGCAGTTCTGAAAAACACTTTTTGTTGAATCTGCAAGTGGACATTTGGATAGATTTGAAGATTTCGTTGGAAACGGGAATATCTTCATATCAAATCAAGACAGAAGCATTCTCAGAAACGTCTTTGTGATGTTTGCATTCAACTCATAGAGTTGAACATTCCCTTTCAGAGAGCAGCTTTGAAGCACTCTTTTTGTAGTATGTGCAAGTTGACATTTGGAGCGCTTTGAGGCCTAAGGGGAAAAAGCAAATATCTTCCCATAACCACTAGACAGAAACATTCTCAGAAACTCCTTTATGACGTATGCACTCACCTAACAGAGAAGAACCTTCCTTTTGACAGAGCAGTTTTGATACACTCTTTTTGTAGAATCTGCAAGTGGATATTTGGATAGATGTGAAGGTTTCGTTGGAAACGGAAATATCTTCCTATAAAATCTAGACAGAAGCATTCTCAGAAACTGCTCTGTGATGTCTGCATTCAAGTCACAGAGTTGAACATTGCCTTTCATAGAGCAGGTTTGAAACGCTCTTTTTGTAGTATATGGAAGTAAACGTTTCGGACGGTTTGAGGCCCATGGTGATAAAGGGAATATCTTCCCCTACAAGCTAGAAAGAAGCATTCTGTGAAACTTGTTTGTGATGTGTGTACTCAATTAACAGAGTTGAACCTTTCTTTTTACAGAGCAGTTTTGAAACACTCTTTTTGTAGAATCTGCGAGGGGATATTTGGATAGATTTCAGGATTTTGTTGGAAACGGGAATATCTTCATATAAAATCTCGACAGAAGCATTCTCAGAAACTTCTTTGTGATATCTGCATTCAAGTCACAGAGGTGAATATTCCCTTTCACAGAGTAGGTTTGAAACACTCTTTTTGTAGTATCTGGAAGTGGACATTTGGAGCGCCTTGACGCCTATGGTTAAAAGGGAAATATCTTCCCATAAAAACTAGACAGAAGCAATCTCAGAATTTTCTTTGGGATATATGCACACAGCTAACAGAGTTGAACTTTTCTATTGACATAGCAGTTTTGAAACAGTCTTTCTGTGGAATCTGCAAGTGGATATTTGGATAGCTTGGAGGATTTCGTTGGAAACGGGATTACGTATAAAAAGTAGACAGCAGCATCCTCAGAAGCTTCTTTGTGATGTGTGCATTCAAGTCACAGAGTTGAATATTCCCTTTCGTACAGCAGTTTTGAAACACTCTTTCTGTAGTATCTGGAAGTGAACATTAGGACAGCTTTCAGGTCTATGGTGAGAAAGGAAATATCTTCAAATAAAAACTAGACAGAAGCATTCTCATAAACTTGTTTGTGATGTCTGAACTCAGCTAACAGAGGTGCATCTTTCTTTTGATAGAGCAGTTCTGAAAAACACTTTTTGTTGAATCTGCAAGTGGACATTTGGATAGATTTGAAGATTTCGTTGGAAACGGGAATATCTTCATATCAAATCTAGACAGAGGCATTCTCAGAAACGTCTTTGTGATGTTTGCATTCAACTCATAGAGTTGAACATTCCCTTTCAGAGAGCAGCTTTGAAGCACTCTTTTTGTAGTATGTGCAAGGGGATATTTGGAGCGCTCCTGAGGCCTAAGGTGAAAAAGCAAATATCTTCCCATAACCACTAGACAGAAACATTCTCAGAAACTCCTTTATGACGTATGCACTCACCTAACAGAGAAGAACCTTCCTTTTGACAGAGCAGTTTTGATACACTCTTTTTGTAGAATCTGCAAGTGGATATTTGGATACCTGTGAAGATTTCGCTGGAAACGGGAATATCTTCCTATAAAATCTAGACAGAAGCATTCTCAGAAACTGCTCTGTGATGTCTGCATTCAAGTCACAGAGTTGAACATTGCCTTTCATAGAGCAGGTTTGAAACGCTCTTTTTGTAGTATATGGAAGTGGACGTTTCGGACGGTTTGAGGCCCGTGGTGATAAAGGGAATATCTTCCCCTACAAGCTAGAAAGAAGCATTCTGTGAAACTTGTTTGTGATGTGTGTACTCAACTAACAGAGTTGAACCTTTCTTTTTACAGAGCAGTTTTGAAACCCTCTTTTTCTAGAATCTGCGAGGGGATATTTGGATAGATTTCAGGATTTCGTTGGAAACGGGAATATCTTCATATAAAATCTCGACAGAAGCATTCTCAGAAACTTCTTTGTGATATGTGCATTCAAGTCACAGAGTTGAATATTCCCTTTCACAGAGTAGGTTTGAAACATTCTTTTTGTAGTATCTGGAAGTGGACATTTGGAGCGCCTTGACGCCTACGGTGAAAAGGGAAATATCTTCCCATAAAAACTAGACAGAAGTAATCTCAGAAACTTCTTTGGGATATATGCACGCAGCTAACAGAGTTGAACCTTTCTATTGACAGAGCAGTTTTGAAACAGTCTTTCTGTGGAATCTGCAAGTGGATATTTGGATAGCTTGGAGGATTTCGTTGGAAACGGGATTACGTATAAAAAGTAGACAGCAGCATCCTCAGAAACTTCTTTGTGATGTGTGCATTCAAGTCACAGAGTTGAACATTCCCTTTCGTACAGCAATTTTGAAACACTCTTTCTGTAGTATCTGGAAGTGAACATTAGGACAGCTTTCAGGTCTATGGTGAGAAAGGAAATATCTTCAAATAAAAACTAGACAGAAGCATTCTCATAAACTTGTTTGTGATGTGTGAACTCAGCTAACAGAGGTGGATCTTTCTTTTGATACAGCAGTTTTGAAAAACACTTTTTGTTGAATCTGCAAGTGGACATTTGGATAGATTTGAAGATTTCGTTGGAAACGGGAATATCTTCATATCAAATCTAGACAGAAGCATTCTCGGAAACGTCTTTGTGATGTTTGCATTCAACTCATAGAGTTGAACATTCCGTTTCAGAGAGCAGCTTTGAGGCACTCATTTTGCAGTATGTGCAAGTGGATATTTGGAGCTCTCTGAGGCCTTCGGTGAAAAAGCAAATATCTTCCCATAACCACTAGACAGAAACTTTCTCAGAAACTCCTTTATGACGTATGCACTCACCTAACAGAGAAGAACCTTCCTTTTGACAGAGCAGTTTTGATACACTCTTTTTGTAGAATCTGCAAGTGGATATTTGGATAGCTGTGAAGATTTTGTTGGAAACGGGAATATCTTCCTATAAAATCTAGACAGAATCATTCTCAGAAACTGCTCTGTGATGTCTGCATTCAAGTCACAGAGTTGAACATTGCCTTTCATAGAGCAGGTTTGAAACGCTCTTTTTGTAGTATATGGAAGTGGACGTTTCGGACGGTTTGAGGCCCATGGTGATAAAGGGAATATCTTCCCCTACAAGCTAGAAAGAAGCATTCTGTGAAACTTGTTTGTGATGTGTGTACTCAACTAACAGAGTTGAACCTTTCTTTTTACACAGCAGTTTTGAAACACTCTTTTTGTAGAATCTGCGAGGGGATATTTGGATAGATTTCAGGATTTCGTTGGAAACGGGAATATCTTCATATAAAATCTCGACAGAAGCATTCTCAGAAACTTCCTTGTGATATGTGCATTCAAGTCACAGAGTTGAATATTCCCTTTCACAGAGTAGGTTTGAAACACTCTTTTTGTAGTATCTGGAAGTGGACATTTGGAGCGCCTTGATGCCCACGGTGAAAAGGGAAATATCTTCCCATCAAAACTAGACAGAAGCAATCTCAGAATCTTCTT
Organism: Homo sapiens; assembly: GCF_000001405.40. Lineage (NCBI taxonomy): Eukaryota > Metazoa > Chordata > Mammalia > Primates > Hominidae > Homo > Homo sapiens. Next base: position 17,086,002 of record NC_000013.11, read on the forward strand.
TGGGATATATGCACGCAGCTAACAGAGTTGAACCTTTCTATTGACAGAGCAGTTTTGAAACAGTCTTTCTGTGGAATCTGCAAGTGGATATTTGGATAGCTTGGAGGATTTCGTTGGAAACGGGATTACGTATAAAAAGTAGAACAGCAGCATCCTCAGAAACTTCTTTGTAATGTGTGCATTCAAGTCACAGAGTTGAACATTCCCTTTCGTACAGCAGTTTTGAAACACTCTTTCTGTAGTAACTGGAAGTGAACATTAGGACAGCTTTCAGGTCTATGGTGAGAAAGGAAATATCTTCCAATAAAAACTAGACAGAAGCATTCTCATAAACTTGTTTGTGATGTGTGAACTCAGCTAACAGAGGTGGATCTTTCTTTTGATAGAGCAGTTCTGAAAAACACTTTTTGTTGAATCTGCAAGTGGACATTTGGATAGATTTGAAGATGTCGTTGGAAACGGGAATATCTTCATATCAAATCTAGACAGAAGCATTCTCAGAAACTGGTTTGTGATGTTTGCATTCAACTCTTAGTGTTGAACACTCCCTTTCATAGAGCAGTTTTGAAACACTCTTTTTGTTGTATGTGGAAGTGGACATTTGGAGCGCTTTGAGAACTCTGGTGAAAAAGCAAATATCTTCCCATAAACACTAGACAGAAACATTCTCAGAAACTTCTTTATGAGGTATGTACTCAACTAGCAGAGAAGAACTTTCCTTTTGACAGAGCACTTTGGATACACACTTTTTGTAGTATCTGCAAGTGGATATTTGGATAGCTGTGAAGATTTCGTTGGAAACGGGAATATCTTCCTATAAAGTCTGGACAGAAGCATTCTCAGAAACTGCTCTGTGATGTCTGCATTCAAGTCACAGAGTTGAACATTGCCTTTCATAGAGCAGGTTTCAAACACTCTTTTTTTAGTATATGGCAGTGGACGATTCGGATGGTTTGAGGATGATGGTGATAAAGGAAATATCTTCCCCTACAAGCTAGAAAGAAGCATTCTGTGAAACTTGTTTGTGATGTGTGTACTCAACTAACAGAGTTGAACCTTTCTTTTTACAGAGCAGTTTTGAAACACTCTTTTTGTAGAATCTGAGAGGGGATATTTGGATACATTTCAGGATTTCGTTGGAAACGGGAATATCTTCATATAAAATCTCGACAGAAGCATTCTCAGAAACTTCTTTGTGATATCTGCATTCAAGTCACAGAGTTGAATATTCCCTTCCACAGAGTAGGTTTGAAACACTCTTTTTGTAGTATCTGGAAGTGGACATTTGGAGCTCCTTGACACCTACGGTGAAAAGGGAAATATCTTCCCATAAAAACTAGACAGAAGCAATCTCAGAATCTTCTTTGGGATATATGCACGCAGCTAACACAGTTGAACCTTTCTATTGAAAGAGCAGTTTAGAAACAGTCTTTCTGTGGAATCTGCAAGTGGATATTTGGATAGCTGTGAAGATTTCGTTGGAAACAGGAATATCTTCCTATAAAGGCTGGACAGAAGCATCCTCAGAAACTTCTTTGTGATGTGTGCATTCAAGTCACAGAGTTGAACATTCCCTTTCGTACAGCAGTTTTGAAACACTCTTTCTGTAGTATCTGGAAGTGAACATTAGGACAGCTTTCAGCTGTATGGTGAGAAAGGAAATATCTTCAAATAAAAACTAGACAGAAGCATTCTCATAAACTTGTTTGTGATGTGTGAACTCAGCTAACAGAGGTGGATCTATCTTTTGATAGAGCAGTTCTGAAAAACACTTTTTGTTGAATCTGCAAGTGGACATTTGGATAGTTTTGAAGATTTCGTTGGAAACGGGAATATCTTCATATCAAATCTAGACAGAAGCATTCTCAGAAACGTCTTTGTGATGTTTGCATTCAACTCATAGAGTTGAACATTCCGTTTCAGAGACCAGCTTTGAAGCACTCTTTTTGTAGTATGTGCAAGTGGATATTTGGTGCGCTCTGAGGCCTACGGTGAAAAAGCAAATATCTTCCCATAACCACTAGACAGAAACATTCTCAGAAACTCCTTTATGACGTATGCACTCACCTAACAGAGAAGAACCTTCCTTTTGACAGAGCAGTTTTGATACACGCTTTTTGTAGAATCTGCAAGTGGATATTTGGATAGCTGTGAAGATTTCGTTGGAAACGGGAATATCTTCCTATAAAATCTAGACAGAAGCATTCTCAGAAACTGCTCTGTGATATCTGCATTCAAGTCACAGAGTTGAACATTGCCTTTCATAGAGCAGGTTTGAAACACTCTTTTTTTAGTATATGGAAGTGGACGTTTCGGACGGTTTGAGGACCATGGTGATAAAGGAAATATCTTCCCCTACAAGCTAGAAAGAAGCATTGTGTGAAACTTGTTTGTGATGTGTGTACTCAACTAACAGAGCTGAACCTTTCTTTTTACAGAGCAGTTTTGAAACACTCTTTTTGTAGAATCTGCGAGGGGATATTTGGATAGATTTCAGGATTTCGTTGGAAACGGGAATATCTTCATATAAAATCTCGACAGAAGCATTCTCAGAAACATCTTTGTGATATGTGCATTCAAGTCACAGAGTTGAGTATTCCCTTTCACAGAGTAGGTTTGAAACACTCCTTTTGTAGTATCTGGAAGTGGACATTTGGAGCGCCTTGACACCTACTGTGAAAAGTGAAATATCTTCCCATAAAAACTAGACAGAAGCAATCTCAGAATTTTCTTTGGGATATATGCACACAGCTAACAGAGTTGAACCTTTCTATTGACATAGCAGTTTTGAAACAGTCTTTCTGTGGAATCTGCAAGTGGATATTTGGATAGCTTGGAGGATTTCGGTGGAAACGGGATTACGTATAAGAAGTAGACAGCAGCATCCTCAGAAACTTCTTTGTGATGTGTGCATTCATGTCACAGAGTTGAACATTCCCTTTCGTACAGCAGTTTTGAAACACTCTTTCTGTAGTATGTGGAAGTGAACATTAGGACAGCTTTCAGGTCTATGGTGAGAAAGGAAATATCTTCAAATAAAAACTAGACAGAAGCATTCTCATAAACTTGTTCGTGATGTGTGAACTCAGCTAACACACGTGGATCTTTCTTTTGATAGAGCAGTTCTGAAAAACACTTTTTGTTGAATCTGCAAGAGGACATTTGGATAGATTTGAAGATTTCGTTGGAAACGGGAATATCTTCATATCAAATCTAGACAGAAAGCATTCTCAGAAACGTCTTTGTGATGTTTGCATTCAACTCATAGAGTTGAACATTCCCTTTCAGAGAGCAGCTTTGAAGCACTCTTTTTGTAGCATTTGCAAGTGGACATTTGGAGCGCCCTGAGGCCTACGGGGAAAAAGCAAATATCTTCCCATAACCACTAGACAGAAACATTCTCAGAAACTCCTTTATGACGTATGCACTCACCTAACAGAAAAGAACCTTCCTTTTGACAGAGCAGGTTTGATACACTCTTTTTGTAGAATCTGCAAGTGGTTATTTGGATAGCTGTGAAGATTTCGTTGGAAACGGGAATATCTTCCTATAAAATCTAGACAGAAGCATTCTCAGAAACTGCTCTGTGATGTCTGCATTCAAGTCACAGAGTTGAACATTGCCTTTCATACAGCAGGTTTGAAACGCTCTTTTTGTAGTATATGGAAGTGGACATTTCGGACGGTTTGAGGACCATGGTGATAAAGGGGAATCTTCCCCTACAAGCTAGAAAGAAGCATTCTGTGAAACTTGTTTGTGATGTGTGTACTCAACTAACAGAGTTGAACCTTTCTTTTTACAGAGCAGTTTTGATACACTCTTTTTGTAGAATCTGCGAGGGGATATTTGGATACATTTCAGGATTTCGTTGGAAATGGGAATATCTTCATATAAAATATCGACAGAAGCATTCTCAGAAACTTCCTTGTGATATGTGCATTCAAGTCACAGAGTGGAATATTCCCTTTCACAGAGTAGGTTTGAAACACTCTTTTTGTAGTATCTGGAAGTGGACATTTGGAGCGCCTTGACGCCCACGGTGAAAAGGGAAATATCTTCCCATAAAAACTAGACAGAAGCAATCTCAGAAAATTCTTTGGGATATATGCACGCAGCTAACGGAGTTGAACATTTCTATTGACAGAGCAGTTTTGAAACAGTCGTTCTGTGGAATCTGCAAGTGGATATTTGGATAGCTTGGAGGATTTCGTTGGAAACGGGATTACGTATAAAAAGTAGACAGCAGCATCCTCAGAAACTTCTTTGTGATGTGTGCATTCAAGTCACAGAGTTGAACATTCCCTTTCGTACAGCAGTTTTGAAACACTCTTTCTGTAGTATCTGGAAGTGAACATTAGGACAGCTTTAAGCTCTATGGTGAGAAAGGAAATATCTTCAAATAAAAACTAGACAGAAGCATTCTCATAAACTTGTTTGTGATGTGTGAACTCAGCTAAGAGACGTGGATCTTTCTTTTGATAGAGCAGTTCTGAAAAACACTTTTTGTTGAATCTGCAAGTGGACATTTGGATAGATTTGAAGATTTCTTTGGAAACGGGAATATCTTCATATCAAATCTAGAGAGAAGCATTCTCAGAAACGTCTTTGTGATGTTTGCATTCAACTCATAGAGTTGAACATTCTCTTTCAGAGAGGAGCTTTGAAGCACACTTTTTTTAGTATGTGCAAGTGGACATTTGGAGCGCTTTGAGGCCTACGGGGAAAAAGCAAATATCTTCCCATAACCACTAGACAGGAACATTCTCAGAAACTCCTTTATGACGTATGCACTCACCTAACACAGAAGAACCTTCCTTTTGACAGAGCATTTTTGATACACTCTTTTTGTAGCATCTGCAAGTGGATATTTGGATATCTGTGAAGATTTCGTTGGAAACGGGAATATCTTCCTATAAAATCTAGACAGAAGCATTCTCAGAAACTGCTCTGTGATGTCTGCATTGAAGTCACAGAGTTGAACATTGCCTTTCATAGAGCAGGTTTGAAACGCTCTTTTTGTAGTATATGGAAGTAGACGTTTCGGACGGTTTGAGGCCCATGGTGATAAAGGGAATATCTTCCCCTACAAGCTAGAAAGAAGCATTCTGTGAAACTTGTTTGTGATGTGTGTACTCAACTAACAGAGTTGAACCTTTCTTTTTACAGAGCAGTTTTGAAACACTCTTTTTGTAGAATCTGCGAGGGGAAATTTGGATAGATTTCAGGATTTCTTTGGAAACGGGAATATCTTCATACAAAATCTCGACAGAAGCATTCTCAGAAACTTCTTTGTGATATCTGCATTCCAGTCACAGAGTTGAATATTCCCTTTCACAGAGTAGGTTTGAAACACTCTTTTTATAGTATCTGCAATTGGACATTTGGAGTGCCTTGACGCCTACGGTGAAAAGGGAAATATCTTCCGATAAAAACTAGACAGAAGCAATCTCAGAATCTTCTTTGGGATATATGCACGCAGCTAACAGAGTTGAACCTTTCTATTGACAGAGCAGGTTTGAAACAGTCTTTCTGTGGAATCTGCAAGTGGATATTTGGATAGCTTGGAGGATTTCGTTGGAAACGGGATTACGTATAAAAAGTAGACAGCAGCATCCTCAGAAACTTCTTTGTGATGTGTGCATTCAAGTCACAGAGTTGAACATTCCCTTTCGTACAGCAGTTTTGAAACACTCTTTCTGTGAGTATCTGGTAGTGAACATTAGGACAGCTTTCAGCTCTATGGTGAGAAAGGAAATATCTTCAAATAAAAACTAGACAGAAGCATTCTCATAAACTTGTTTGTGATGTGTGAACTCAGCAAACAGCGGTGGATCTTTCTTTTGATAGAGCAGTTCTGAAAAACACTTTTTGTTGAATCTGCAAGTGGACATTTGGATAGTTTTGAAGATTTCCCTTGGAAAAAGGAATATCTTCATATCAAATCTAGACAGAAGCATTTTCAGAAACGTCTTTGTGATGTTTGCATTCAACTCATAGAGTTGAACATTCCGTTTCAGAGAGCAGCTTTGAGGCACACTTTTTGTAGTATGTGCAAGTGGATATTTGGAGCGCTGCTGAGGCCTACGGTGAAAAAGCAAATATCTTCCCATAACCACTAGACAGAAACATTCTGAGAAACTCCTTTATGACGTATGCACTCACCTAACAGAGAAGAACCTTCCTTTTGACAGAGCATTTTTGATACACTCTTTTTGTAGAATCTGCAAGTGGATATTTGGATAGCTGTGAAGATTTCGTTGGAAACGGGAATATCTTCCTATAAAATCTAGACAGAAGCATTCTCAGAAACTGCTCTGTGATGTCTACATTCAAGTCACAGAGTTGAACATTGCCTTTCATAGAGCAGGTTTGAAACGCTCTTTTTGTAGTATATGGAAGTGGACGTTTCGGACGGTTTGAGGCCCATGGTGATAAAGGGAATATCTTCCCCTACAAGCTAGAAAGAAGCATTCTGTGAAACTTGTTTGTGATGTGTGTACTCAACTAACAGAGTTGAACCTTTCTTTTTACAGAGCAGTTTTGAAACACTCTTTTTGTAGAATCTGTGAGGGGATATTTGGATAGATTTCAGGATTTCCTTGGAAACGGGAATATCTTCATATAAAATCTCGACAGAAGCATTCTCAGAAACTTCTTTGTGATATCTGCATTCAAGTCACAGAGTTGAATATTCCCTTTCACAGAGTAGGTTTGAAACACTCTTTTTGTAGTATCTGGAAGTGGACATTTGGAGCGCCTTAACACCTACGGTGAAAAGGGAAATATCTTCCCATAAAAACTAGACAGAAGCAATCTCAGAATCTTCTTTGGGATATATGCACGCAGCTAACAGAGTTGAACCTTACTATTGACAGAGCAGTTTTGAAACAGTCTTTCTGTGGAATCTGCAAGTGGATATTTGGATAGCTTGGAGTATTTCGTTGGAAACGGGATTAAGTATAAAAAGTAGACAGCAGCATCCTCAGAAACTTCTTTGTGATGTGTGCATTCAAGTCACAGAGTTGAACATTCCCTTTCGTACAGCAGTTTTGAAACACTCTTTCTGTAGTATCTGGAAGTGAACATTAGTACAGCTTTCAGCTCTATGGTGAGAAAGGAAATATCTTCAAATAAAAACTAGACAGAAGCATTCTCATAAACTTGTTTGTGATGTGTGAACTCAGCTAACAGAGGTGGATCTTTCTTTTGATAGAGCAGTTCTGAAAAACACTTTTTGTTGAATCTGCAAGTGGACATTTGGATAGATTTGAAGATTTCGTTGGAAACGGGAATACCTTCATATCAAATCTAGACAGAAGCATTCTCAGAAACGTCTTTGTGATGTTTGCATTCAACTCATAGAGTTGAACATTCCCTTTCACAGAGCAGCTCTGAAGAACTCTTTTGATAGTATGTGCAAGGGGATATTTGTAGCGCTCTCAGGCCTACGGTGAAAAAGCAAATATCTTCCCATAACGACTAGACAGAAACATTTTCAGAAACTCCTTTATGACGTATGCACTCACCTAACAGAGAAGAACCTTCCTTTTGACAGAGCACTTTTGATACACTCTTTTTGTAGAATCTGAAAGTGGATATTTGGATAGCTGTGAAGATTTCGTTGGAAACGAGAATATCTTCCTATAAAATCTAGACAGAAGCATTCTCAGAAACTGCTCTGTGATGTCTGCATTCAAGTCACAGAGTTGAACATTGCCTTTCATAGAGCAGGTTTGAAACGCTCTTTTTGAAGTATATGGAAGTGGACGTTTCGGACGGTTTGAGGCCCATGGTGATAAAGGGAATATCTTCCCCTACAAGCTAGAAAGAAGCATTCTGTGAAACTTGTTTGTGATGTGTGTACTCAACTAACAGAGTTGAACCTTTCTTTTTACAGAGCAGTTTTGAGACACTCTTTTTGTAGAATCTGCGAGGGGATATTTGGATAGATTTCAGGATTTCTTTGGAAACGGGAATATCTTCATATAAAATCTCGACAGAAGCATTCTCAGAAACTTCTTTGTGATATCTGCCTTCAAGTCACAGAGTTGAATATACCCTTTCACAGAGTAGGTTTGAAACACTCTTTTTGTAGTATCTGGAAGTGGACATTTGGAGCGCCTTGACGCCTACGGTGAAAAGGGAAATATCTTCCCATAAAAACTAGACAGAAGCAATCTCAGAATCTTCTTTGGGATATATGCACGCAGCTAACAGAGTTGAACCTTTCTATTGACAGAGCAGTTTTGAAACAGTCTTTCTGTGGAATCTGCAAGTGGATATTTGGATAGATTGGAGGATTTCGTTGGAAACGGGATTACATATAAAAAGTAGACAGCAGCATCCTCAGAAACTTCTTTGTGATGTGTGCATTCAAGTCACAGAGTTGAACATTCCCTTTCGTACAGCAGTTTTGAAACACTCTTTCTGTAGTATCTGGAAGTGAGCATTAGGACAGCTTTCAGGTCTATGGTGAGAAAGGATATATCTTCAAATAAAAACTAGACAGAAGCATTCTCATAAACTTGTTTGTGATGTGTGAACTCAGCTAACAGACGTGGATCTTTCTTTTGATACAGCAGTTTTGAAAAACACTTTTTGTTGAATCTGCAAGTGGACATTTGGATAGATTTGAAGATTTCGTTGGAAACGGGAATATCTTGATATCAAATCTAGACAGAAGCATTCTCAGAAACGTCTTTGTGATGTTTGCATTCAACTCATAGAGTTGAACATTCCGTTTCAGAGAGCAGCTTTGAAGCACTCTTTTTGTAGTATCTGCAAGTGGATATTTGGAGCGCTCTGAGGCCTACGGTGAAAAAGCAAATATCTTCCCATAACCACTAGACAGAAACATTCTCAGAAACTCCTTTATGACGTATGCACTCACCTAACAGAGAAGAACCTTCCTTTTGACAGAGCAGTTTTGATACACTCTTTTTGTAGAATCTGAAAGTGGATATTTGGATAGCTGTGAAGATTTCGTTGGAAACGGGAATATCTTCCTATAAAATCTAGACAGAAGCATTCTCAGAAACTGCTACTGTGATGTCTGCATTCAAGTCACAGAGTTGAACATTGCCTTTCATAGAGCAGGTTTGAAACGCTCTTTTTGTAGTATATGGAAGTTGACGTTTCGGACGGTTTGAGGCCCATGGTGATAAAGGGAATATCTTCCCCTACAAGCTAGAAAGAAGCATTCTGTGAAACTTGTTTGTGATGTGTGTACTCAACTAACAGAGTTGAACCTTTCTTTTTACAGAGCAGTTTTGAAACACTCTTTTTGTAGAATCTGTGAAGGGATATTTGGATAGATTTCAGGATTTCTTTGGAAACGGGAATATCTTCATATAAAATCTCGACAGAAGCATTCTCAGAAACTTCTTTGTGATATGTGCATTAAAGTCACAGAGTTGAATATTCCTTTTCACAGAGTAGGTTTGAAACACTCTTTTTGTAGTATCTGGAAGTGGACATTTGGAGCGCCTTGACACCTACGGTGAAAAGGGAAATATCTTCCCATAAAAACTAGACAGAAGCAATCTCAGAATTTTCTTTGGGATATATGCACACAGCTAACAGAGTTGAACTTTTCTATTGACATAGCAGTTTTGAAACAGTCTTTCTGTGGAATCTGCAAGTGGATATTTGGATAGCTTGGAGGATTTCGTTGGAAACCGGATTACGTATAAAAAGTAGACAGCAGCATCCTCAGAAACTTCTTTGTGATGTGTGCATTCAAGTCACAGAGTTGAATATTCCCTTTCGTACAGCAGTTTTGAAACACTCTTTCTGTAGTATCTGGAAGTGAAAATTAAGACAGCTTTCAGCTCTATGGTGAGAAAGGAAATATCTTCAAATAAAAACTAGACAGAAGCATTCTCATAAACTTGTTTGTGATGTGTGAACTCAGCTAACACACGTGGATCTTTCTTTTGATAGAGCAGTTCTGAAAATCACTTTTGTTGAATCTGCAAGTGGACATTTGGATATATTTGAAGATTTCGTTGGAAACGGGAATATCTTCATATCAAATCTAGACAGAAGCATTCTCAGAAACGTCTTTGTGATGTTTGCATTCAACTCATAGAGTTGAACATTCCCTTTCAGAGAGCAGCTTTGAAGCACTCTTTTTGTAGTATGTGCAAGAGAAAATTTGGAGCGCCCTGAGGCCTACGGTGAAAAAGCAAATATCTTCCCATAACCACTAGACAGAAACATTCTCAGAAACTCCTTTATGACGTATGCACTCACCTAACAGAGAAGAACCTTCCATTTGACAGAGCAGTTTTGATACACTCTTTTTGTAGAATCTGCAAGTGGATATTTGGATAGCTGTGAAGATTTCGCTGGAAACGGGAATATCTTCCTATAAAATCTAGACAGAAGCATTCTCAGAAACTGCGCTGTGATGTCTGCATTCAAGTCACAGAATTGAACATTGCCTTTCATAGAGCAGGTTTGAAACGCTCTTTTTGTACTATATGGAAGAGGACGTTTCGGACGGTTTGAGGACCATGGTGATAAAGGGAATATCTTCCCCTACAAGCTAGAAAGAAGCATTCTGTGAAACTTGTTTGTGATGTGTGTACTCAACTCACAGAGTTGAACCTTTCTTTTTACAGAGCAGTTTTGAAACACTCTTTTTGTAGAATCTGCGAGGGCATATTTGGATAGATTTCAGGATTTCGTTGGAAAGGGGAATATCTTCATATAAAATCTCGACAGAAGCATTCTCAGAAACTTCTTTGTGATATGTGCATTCAAGTCACAGAGTTGAATATTCCCTTTCACAGAGTAGGTTTGAAACACTCTTTTTGTAGTATCTGGAAGTGGACATTTGGAGCGCCTTGACGCCTACAGTGAAAACGGAAATATCTTCCCATAAAAACTAGACAGAAGCAATCTCAGAATCTTCTTTGGGATATATGCACGCAGCTAACAGAGTTGAACCTTTCTATTGACAGAGCAGTTTTGAAACAGTCTTTCTGTGGAATCTGCAAGTGGATATTTGTATAGCTTGGAGGATTTTCGTTGGAAACGGGATTACGTATAAAAAGTAGACAGCAGCATCCTCAGAAACTTCTTTGTGATGTGTGCATTCAAGTCACAGAGTTGAACATTCCCTTTTGTACATCAGTTTTGAAACACTCTTTCTGTAGTATCTGGAAGTGAACATTAGGACAGCTTTCAGGTCTATGGTGAGAAAGGAAATATCTTCAAATAAAAACTAGACAGAAGCATTCTCATAAACTTCTTTGTGATGTGTGAACTCAGCTAACCGAGGTGGATCTTTCTTTTGATAGAGCAGTTCTGAAAAACACTTTTTGTTGAATCTGCAATTGGACATTTGGATAGATTTGAAGATTTCGTTGGAAACGGGAATAACTTCATTTCAAATCTAGACAGAAGCATTCTCAGAAACGTCTTTCCGATGTTTGCATTCAACTCATAGAGTTGAACATTCCCTTTCAGAGAGCAGCTTTGAAGCACTCTTTTTGTAGCATGTGCAAGTGGACATTTGGAGGGCCCTGAGGCCTACGGGGAAAAAGCAAATATCTTCCCATAACCACTAGACAGAAACATTCTCAGAAACTCCTTTATGACGTATGCACTCACCTAACAGAGAAGAACCTTCCTTTTGACAGAGCAGTTTTGATACACTCTTTTTGTAGAATCTGCAAGTGGATATTTGGATAGCTGCGAAGATTTCGTTGGAAACGGGAATATCTTCCTATAAAATCTAGACAGAAGCATTCTCAGAAACTGCTCTGTGATGTCTGCATTCAAGTCACAGAGCTGAACATTGCCTTTCATAGAGCAGGTTTGAAACGCTCTTTTTGTAGTATATGGAAGTGGACGTTTCGGATGGTTTGAGGCCCATGGTGATAAAGGGAATATCTTCCCCTACAAGCTAGAAAGAAAGCATTCTGTGAAACTTGTTTGTGATGTGTGTACTCAACTAACAGAGTTGAACCTTTCTTTTCACAGAGCAGTTTTGAAACACTCTTTTTGTAGAATCTGCGAGGGGATATTTGGATAGATTTCAGGATTTCGTTGGAAACGGGAATATCTTCATATAAAATCTCGACAGAAGCATTCTCAGAAACTTCTTTGTGATACGTGCATTCTAGTCACACCGTTGAATATTCCCTTTCACAGAGTAGGTTTGAAACACTCTTTTTGTAGTATCTGGAAGTGGACATTTGGAGCGCCTTGACGCCTACGGTGAAAAGGGAAATATCTTCCCATAAAAACTAGACAGAAGCAATCTCAGAATCTTCTTTGGGATATATGTACGCAGCTAATAGAGTTGAACCTTTCTATTGACAGAGCAGTTTTGAAACAGTCTTTCTGTGGAATCTGGAAGTGGATATTTGGATAGCTTGGAGGATTTCGTTGGAAACGGGATTACGTATAAAAAGTAGACAGCAGCATCCTCAGAAACATCTTTGTGATGTGTGCATTCAAGTCACAGAGTTGAACATTCCCTTTCGTACAGCAGTTTTGAAACACTCTTTCTGTAGTATCTGGAAGTGAACATTAGGACAGCTTTCCGGTCTATGGTGAGAAAGGAAATATCTTCAAATAAAAACTAGACAGAAGCATTCTCATAAACTTGTTTGTGATGTGTGAACTCAGCTAAGAGACGTGGATCTTTCTTTTGATAGAGCAGTTCTGAAAAACACTTTTTGTTGAATCTGCAAGTGGACATTTGGATAGATTTGAAGATTTCTTTGGAAACGGGAATATCTTCATATGAAATCTAGAGAGAAGCATTCTCAGAAACGTCTTTGTCATGTTTGCATTCAACTCATAGAGTTGAACATTCCGTTTCAGAGAGCAGCTTTGAAGCACTCTTTTTGTAGTATGTGCAAGCGGATATTTGGAGCACTCTGAGGCCTACGGTGAAAAAGCAAATATCTTCCCATAACCACTAGACAGAAACATTCTCAGAAACTCCTCTATGACGTATGCACTCACCTAACAGAGAAGAACCTTCGTTTTGACAGAGCAGTTTTGATACACTCTTTTTGTAGAATCTGCAAGTGGATATTTGGATAGCTGTGAAGATTTCGTTGGAAACGGGAATATCTTCCTATAAAATCTAGACAGAAGCATTTTCAGAAACTGCTCTGTGATATCTGTATTCAAGTCACAGAGTTGAACATTGCCTTTCATAGAGCAGGTTTGAAACGCTCTTTTTGTAGTATATGTAAGTGGATGTTTCGGACGGTTGGAGGCCCATGGTGATAAAGGGAATATCTTCCCCTACAAGCTAGAAAGAAGCATTGTGTGAAACTTGTTTGTGATGTGTGTAGTCAACTAACAGAGTTGAACCTTTCTTTTTACAGAGCAGTTTTGAAACACTCTTTTTGTAGAATCTGCGAGGGGATATTTGGATAGATTTCAGGATTTCGATGGAAACGGGAATATCTTCATATAAAATCTCGACAGAAGCATTCTCAGAAACTTCTTTGTGATATGTGCATTCGAGTCACAGAGTTGAATATTCCCTTTCACAGAGTAGGTTAGAAACACTCTTTTTGTAGTATCTGGAAGTGGACATTTGGAGCGCCTTGACACCTACGGTGAAAAGGGAAATATCTTCCCATAAAAACTAGACAGAAGCAATCTGAGAATCTTCTTTGGGATATATGCACGCAGCTAACAGAGTTGAACCTTTCTATTGACAGAGCAGTTTTGAAACAGTCTTTCTGTGGAATCTGCAAGTGGATATTTGGATAGCTTGGAGGATTTCGTTGGAAACGGGATTACGTATAAAAAGTAGACAGCAGCATCCTCTGAAACTTCTTTGTGATGTGTGCATTCAAGTCACAGAGTTGAACATTCCCTTTCGTACAGCAGTTTTGAAACACTCTTTCTGTAGTATCTGGAAGTGAACATTAGGACAGCTTTCAGCTCTATGGTGAGAAAGGAAATATCTTCAAATAAAAACTAGACAGAAGCATTTTCATAAACTTGTTTGTGATGTGTGAACTCAGCTAACAGAGGTGGATCTTTCTTTTGATAGAGCAGTTCTGAAAAACACTTTTTTTTGAATCTGCAAGTGGACATTTGGATAGATTTGAAGATTTCGTTGGAAACGGGAATATCTTCATATCAAATCTAGACAGAAGCATTCTCAGGAAACGTCTTTGTGATGTTTGCATTCAACTCATAGAGTTGAACATTCCGTTTCAAAGAGCAGCTTTGAGGCACTCTTTTTGTAGTATGTGCAAGTGGATATTTGGAGCGCTCTGAGGCCTACGGTGAAAAAGCAAATATCTTCCCATAACCACTAGACAGAAACATTCTCAGAAACTCGTTTATGACGTATGCACTCACCTAACAGAGAAGAACCTTCCATTTGACAGATCAGTTTTGATACACTCTTTTTGTAGAATCTGCAAGTGGATATTTGGATAGCTGTGAAGATTTTGCTGGAAACGGGAATATCTTCCTATAAAATCTAGACAGAAAGCATTCTCAGAAACTGCTATGTGATGTCTGCATTCAAGTCACAGAGTTGAACATTGCCTTTCCTAGAGCAGGTTTGAAACGCTCTTTTTGTAGTATATGGAAGTGGACGTTTCGGACGGTTTGAGGCCCATGGTGATAAAGGGAATATCTTCCCCTACAAGCTAGAAAGAGCATTGTTTGAAACTTGTTTGTGATGTGTGTACTCAACTAACAGAGTTGAACCTTTCTTTTTACAGAGCAGTTTTGAAACACTCTTTTTGTAGAATCTGCGAGGGGATATTTGGATACATTTCAGCATTTCGTTGGAAACGGGAATATCTTCATATAAAATCTCGACAGAAGCATTCTCAGAAACTTCTTTGTCATATCTGCCTTCAAGTCACAGAGTTGAATATTCCCTTTCACAGAGTAGGTTTGAAACACTCTTTTTGTAGTATCTGGAAGTGGACATTTGGAGTGCCTTGACGCCTACGGTGAAAATGGAAATATCTTCCCATAAAAACTAGACAGAAGCAATCTCAGAATTTTCTTTGGGATATATGCACACAGCTAACTGAGTTGAACTTTTCTATTGACATAGCAGTTTTGAAACAGTCTTTCTGTGGAATCTGCAAGTGGATATTTGGATAGCTTGGAGGATTTCGTTGGAAATGGGATTACGTATAAAAAGTAGACAGCAGCATCCTCAGAAACTTCTTTGTGATGTATGCATTCAACTCCCAGAGTTGAACATTCCCTTTCGTACAGCAGTTTTGAAACACTCTTTCTGTAGTATCTGGAAGTGAACATTAGGACAGCTTTCAGGTCTATGGTGAGAAAGGAAATATCTTCAAATAAAAACTAGACAGAAGCATTCTCATAAACTTGTTTGTGATGTGTGAACTCAGCTAACAGAGGTGGACCTTTCTTTTGATAGAGCAGTTCTGAAAAACACTTTTTGTTGAATCTGCAAGTGGACATTTGGATAGATTTG
This sequence comes from Homo sapiens, assembly GCF_000001405.40. Lineage (NCBI taxonomy): Eukaryota > Metazoa > Chordata > Mammalia > Primates > Hominidae > Homo > Homo sapiens. Next base: position 17,101,459 of record NC_000013.11, read on the forward strand.
TAGATTTCGTTGGAAACGGGAATATCTTCATATCAAATCTAGACAGAAGCATTCTCAGAAACGTCTTTGTGATGTTTGCATTCAACTCATAGAGTTGAACATTCCGTTTCAGAGAGCAGCTTTGAAGCACTCTTTTTGTAGTATGTGCAAGTGGATATTTGGAGCGCTCTGAGGCCTACAGTGAAAAAGCAAATATCTTCCCATAACCACTAGACAGAAACATTCTCAGAAACTCCTTTATGACGTATGCACTCACCTAACAGAGAAGAACCTTCCTTTTGACAGAGCAGTTCTGATACACTCTTTTTGTAGAATCTGCAAGTGGATATTTGGATAGCTGTGAAGATTTCGTTGGAAACGGGAATATCTTCCTATAAAATCTAGACAGAAGCATTCTCAGAAACTGCTCTGTGATGTCTGTATTCAAGTCACAGAGTTGAACATTGCCTTTCATAGAGCAGGTTTGAAATGCTCTTTTTGTAGTATATGGAAGTGGACTTTTCGGACGGTTTGAGGCCCATGGTGATAAAGGGAATATCTTCCCCTACAAGCTAGAAAGAAGCATTCTGTGAAACTTGTTTGTGATGTGTGTACTCAATTAACAGAGTTGAACCTTTCTTTTTACAGAGCAGTTTTGAAACACTCTTTTTGTAGAATCTGCGAGGGGATATTTGGATAGATTTCAGGATTTCATTGGAAACGGGAATATCTTCATATAAAATCTCGACAGAAGCAATCTCAGAATCTTCTTTGGGATATATGCACGCAGCTAACAGAGTTGAACCTTTCTATTGACAGAGCAGTTTTGAAACAGTCTTTCTGTGGAATCTGCAAGTGGATATTTGGATAGCTTGGAGGATTTCGTTGGAAACGGGATTACGTATAAAAACTAGACAGCCGCATCCTCAGAAACTTCTTTGTGATGTGTGCATTCAAGTCACAGAATTGAACATTCCCTTTCGTACAGCAGTTTTGAAACACTTTTTCTGTAGCATCTGGAAGAGAACATTAGGACAGCTTTCAGGTCTATGGTGAGAAAGGAAATATCTTCAAATAAAAACTAGACAGAAAGCATTCTCATAAACTTGTTTGTGATGTGTGAACTCAGCTAACAGAGGTGGATCTTTCTTTTGATAGAGCAGTTCTGAAAAACACTTTTTGTTGAATCTGCAAGTGGACATTTGGATAGATTTGAAGATTTCGTTGGAAACGGGAATATCTTCATATCAAATCTAGACAGAGCATTCTCAGAAACGTCTTTGTGATGTTTGCATTCAACTCATAGAGTTGAACATTCCCTTTCAGAGAGCAGCTTTGAAGCACTCTTTTTGTAGCATGTGCAAGTGGACATTTGGAGCGCCCTGAGGCCTACGGGGAAAAAGCAAATATCTTCCCATAACCACTACACAGAAACATTCTCAGAAACTCCTTTATGACGTATGCACTCACCTAACAGAGAAGAACCTTCCTTTTGACAGAGCAGTTTTGATACACTCTTTTTGTAGAATCTGCAAGTGGATATTTTGATAGCTGTGAAGATTTCGTTGGAAACGGGAATATCTTCCTATAATATCTAGACAGAAGCATTCTCAGAAACTGCTCTGTGATGTCTGCATTCAAGTCACAGAGTTGAACATTGCCTTTCCTAGAGCAGGTTTGAAACGCTCTTTTTGTAGTATATGGAAGTGGAAGTTTCGGACGGTTTGAGGCCCATGGTGATAAAGGGAATATCTTCCCCTACAAGCTAGAAGGAAGCATTCTGTGAAACTTGTTTGTGATGTGTGTACTCAACTAACAGAGTTGAACCTTTCTTTTTACAGAGCAGTTTTGAAACACTCTTTTTGTAGAATCTGCGAGGGGATATTTGGATAGATTTCAGGATTTCGTTGCAAACGGGAATATCTTCATAGAAAATCTCGACAGAAGCATTCTCAGAAACTTCTTTGTGATATCTGCCTTCAAGTCACAGAGTTGAATATTCCCTTTCGCAGAGTAGGTTTGAAACACTCTTTTTGTAGTATCTGGAAGTGGACATTTGGAGCTCCTTGACACCTACAGTGAAAAGGGAAATATCTTCCCATAAATACTAGACAGAAGCAATCTCAGAATTTTCTTTGGGATATATGCACACAGCTAACAGAGTTGAACCTTTCTATTGACATAGCAGTTTTGAAACAGTCTTTCTGTGGAATCTGCAAGTGGATATTTGGATAGCTTGGAGGATTTCGTTGGAAACGGGATTACGTATAAGAAGTAGACAGCAGCATCCTCAGAAACTTCTTTGTGATGTGTGCATTCAAGTCACAGAGTTGAACATCACCTTTCGTACAGCAGTTTTGAAACACTCTTTCTGTAGTATCTGGAAGTGAACATTAGGTCAGCTTTCAGGTCTATGGTGAGAAAGGAAATATCTTCAAATAAAAACTAGACAGAAGCATTCTCATAAACTTGTTTGTGATGTGTGAACTCAGCTAAGAGACGTGGATCTTTCTTTTGATAGAGCAGTTCTGAAAAACACTTTTTGTTGAATCTGCAAGTGGACATTTGGATAGGTTTGAAGATTTGCTTTGGAAACGGGAATATCTTCATATCAAATCTAGACAGAAGCATTCTCAGAAACGTCTTTGTGATGTTTGCATTCAACTCATAGAGTTGAACATTCCCTTTCAGAGACCAGCTTTGAAGCACTCTTTTTGTAGCATGTGCAAGTGGACATTTGGAGCGCCCTGAGGCCTACGGGGAAAAAGCAAATATCTTCCCATAACCACTAGACAGAAACATTCTAAGAAACTCCTTTATGACGTATGCACTCACCTAACAGAGAAGAACCTTCCTTTTGACAGAGCAGTTTTGATACACTCTTTTTGTAGAATCTGCAAGTGGATATTTGGATAGCTGTGAAGATTTCGTTGGAAACGGGAATATCTTCCTATAAAATCTAGACAGAAGCATTCTCAGAAACTGCTCTGTGATGTCTGCATTCAAGTCACAGAGTTGAACATTGCCTTTCATAGAGCAGGTTTGAAATGCTCTTTTTGTAGTATATGGAAGTGGACGTTTCAGACGGTTTGAGGCCGATGGTGATAAAGGGAATATCTTCCCCTACAAGCTAGAAAGAAGCATTCTGTGAAACTTGTTTGTGAGGTGTGTACTCAACTAACAGAGTTGAACCTTTCTTTTTACAGAGCAGTTTTGAAACACTCTTTTCGTAGAATCTGCGAGGGGATATTTGGATAGATTTCAGGATTTCGTTGGAAACGGGAATATCTTCATATAAAATCTCGACAGAAGCATTCTCAGAAACTTCTTTGTGATATCTGCATTCAAGTCACAGAGTTGAATATTCCCTTTCACAGAGTAGGTTTGAAACACTCTTTTTGTAGTATCTGGAAGTGGACATTTGGAGCGCCTTGACGCCTACGGTGAAAAGGGAAATATCTTCCCATAAAAACTAGACAGCAAGCAATCTCAGAATCTTCTTTGGGATATATGCACGCAGCTAACAGAGTTGAACCTTTCTATTGACAGAGCAGTTTTGAAACATTCTTTCTGTGGAATCTGCAAGTGGATATTTGGATAGCTTGGAGGATTTCGTTGGAAACGGGATTACGTATAAAAAGTAGACAGAGAATCCTCAGAAACTTCTTTGTGATGTGTGCATTCAAGTCACAGAGTTGAACATTCCCTTTCGTACAGCAGTTTTGAAACACTCTTTCTGTAGTATCTGGAAGTGAACATTAGGACAGCTTTCAGGTCTATGGTGAGAAAGGAAATATCTTCAAATAAAAACTAGACAGAAGCATTCTCATAAACTTGTTTGTGATGTGTAAACTCAGCTAACAGAGGTGGATCTTTCTTTTGATAGAGCAGTTCTGAAAAACACTTTTTGTTGAATCTGCAAGTGGATATTTGGATAGATTTGAAGATTTCGTTGGAAACGGGAATATCTTCATATCAAATCTAGACAGAAGCATTCTCAGAAACGTCTTTGTGATGTTTGCATTCAACTCATAGAGTTGAACATTCCGTTTCAGAGAGCAGCTTTGAAGCACTCTTTTTGTAGTATGTGCAAGTGGATATTTGGAGCGCTCTGAGGCCTACGGTGAAAAAGCAAATATCTTACCATAACCACTAGACAGAAACATTCTCAGAAACTCCTTTATGACGTATGCACTCACCTAACAGAGAAGAACCTTCCTTTTGACAGAGCAGTTTTGATACACTCTTTTTGTAGAATCTCCAAGTGGATATTTGGATAGCTGTGAAGGTTTCGTTGGAAACGGAAATATCTTCCTATAAAATCTAGACAGAAGCATTCTCAGAAACTGCTCTGTGATGTCTGCATTCAAGTCACAGAGTTGAACATTGCCTTTCATAGAGCAGGTTTGAAACCCTCTTTTTGAAGTATATGGAAGTGGACGTTTCGGACGGTCTGAGGCCCATGGTGATAAAGGGAATATCTTCCCCTACAAGCTAGAAAGAAGCATTCTGTGAAACTTGTTTGTGATGTGTGTACTCAACTAACAGAGTTGAACCTTTCTTTTTACAGAGCAGTTTTGAAACACTCTTTTTGTAGAATCTGCGAGGAGATATTTGGATAGATTTCAGGATTTTGTTGGAAACGGGAATATCTTCATATAAAATCGCGACAGAAGCATTCTCAGAAACTTCTTTGTGATATCTGCCTTCAAGTCACAGAGTTGAATATTCCCTTTCTCAGAGTAGGTTTGAAACACTCTTTTTGTAGTATCTGGAAGTGGACATTTGGAGCGCCTTGACACCTACGGTGAAAAGGGAAATATCTTCCCATAAAAACTAGACAGAAGCAATCTCAGAATCTTCTTTGGGATATATGCACGCAGCTAACAGAGTTGAACCTTTCTATTGACAGAGCAGTTTTCAAACAGTCTTTCTGTGGAATCTGCAAGTGGATATTTGGATAGCTTGGAGGATTTCGTTGGAAACGGGATTACGTATAAAAAGTAGACAGCAGCATCCTCAGAAACTTCTTTGTGATGTGTGCATTCAAGTCACACAGTTGAACATTCCCTTTCGTACAGCAGTTTTGAAACACTCTTTCTGTAGTATCTGGAAGTGAACATTAGGACAGCTTTCAGCTCTATGGTGAGAAAGGAAATATCTTCAGATAAAAACTAGACAGAAGCATTCTCATAAACTTGTTTGTGATGTGTGAACTCAGCTAACAGAGGTGGATCTTTCTTTTGATAGAGCAGTTCTGAAAAACACTTTTTGTGGAATCTGCAAGTGGACATTTGAATAGATTTGAAGATTTCGTTGGAAACGGGAATATCTTCATATCAAATCTAGACAGAAGCATTCTCAGAAACGTCGTTGTGATGTTTGCATTCAACTCATAGAGTTGAACATTCCGTTTCAGAGAGCAGCTTTGAGGCACTCTTTTTGTAGTATGTGCAAGTGGATATTTGGAGCGCTCTGAGGCCTACGGTGAAAAAGCAAATATCTTCCCATAACCACTAGACAGAAACATTCTCAGAAACTCCTTTATGACGTATGTACTCAACTAACAGAGAAGAACCTTCCTTTTGACAGAGCAGTTTTGATGCACTCTTTTTGTAGAATCTGCAAGTGGATATTTGGATAGCTGTGAAGATTTCGTTGGAAACGGGAATATCTTCCTATAAAATCTAGACAGAAGCATTCTCAGAAACAGCTCTGTGATGTCTGCATTCAAGTCACAGAGTTGAACATTGCCTTTCATAGAGCCGGTTTGAAACGCTCTTTTTGTAGTATATAAAAGTGGACGTTTCGGACGGTTTGAGGCCCATGGTGATAAAGGGAATATCTTCCCCTACAAGCTAGAAAGAAGCATTCTGTGAAACTTGTTTGTGATGTGTGTACTCAACTAACAGAGTTGAACCTTTCTTTTTACAGAGCAGTTTTGAAACACTCTTTTTGTAGAATCTGCGAGGGGATATATGGATAGATTTCAGGATTTCGTTGGAAACGGGAATATCTTCATATAAAATCTCGACAGAAGCATTCTCAGAAACTTCTTTGTGATATCTGCATTCAAGTCACAGAGTTGAATATTCCCTTTCACAGTGTAGGTTTGAAACACTCTTTTGTAGTATCTGGAAGTGTACATTTGGAGCGCCTTGACGCCTACGGTGAAAAGGGAAATATCTTCCCATAAAAACTAGACAGAAGCAATCTCAGAATCTTCTTTGGGATATATGCACGCAGCTAACAGAGTTGAACCTTTCTATTGACAGAGCAGTTTTGAAACAGTCTTTCTCTGGAATCTGCATGTGGATATTTGGATAGCTTGGAGGATTTCGTTGGAAACGGGATTACGTATAAAAAGTAGACAGCAGCATCCTCAGAAACTTCTTTGTGATGTGTGCATTCAAGTCACAGAGTTGAACATTCCCTTTCGTACAGCAGTTTTGAAACACTCTTTCTGTAGCATATGGAAGTGAACATTAGAACAGCTTTCAGATCTATGGTGAGAAAGGAAATATCTTCAAATAAAAACTAGACAGAAGCATTCTCATAAACTTGTTTGTGATGTGAGAACTCAGCTAACAGAGGTGGATGTTTCTTTTGATAGAGCAGTTCTGAAAAACACTTTTTGTTGAATCTGCAAGTGGACATTTGGATAGATTTGAAGATTTCGTTGGAAACGGGAATATCTTCATATCAAATCTAGACAGAAGCATTCTCAGAAACGTCGTTGTGATGTTTGCATTCAACTCATAGAGTTGAACATTCCGTTTCAGAGAGCAGCTTTGAGGCACTCTTTTTGTAGTATGTGCAAGTGGATATTTGGAGCGCTCTGAGGCCTTCGGTGAAAAAGCAAATATCTTCCCATAACCACTAGACAGAAACATTCTCAGAAACTCCTGTATGACGTATGCACTCACCTAACAGAGAAGAACCTTCCTTTTGACAGAGCAGTTTTGATACACTCTTTTTGTAGGATCTGCAAGTGGATATTTGGATAGCTGTGAAGATTTCGTTGGAAACGGGAATATCTTCCTATAAAATCTAGACAGAAGCATTCTCAGAAACTGCTCTGTGATGTCTGCATTCAAGTCACAGAGTTGAACATTGCCTTTCATAGAGCAGGTTTGAAACGCTCTTTTTGTAGTATATGGAAGTGGATGTTTCGGACGGTTGGAGGCCCGTGGTGATAAAGGGAATATCTTCCCCTACAAGCTAGAAAGAAACATTCTGTGAAACTTGTTTGTGATGTGTGTACTCAACTAACAGAGTTGAACCTTTCTTTTTACAGAGCAGTTTTGAAACACTCTTTTTGTAGAATCTGCGAGGGGATATTTGGATAGATTTCAGGATTTCGTTGGAAACGGGAGTATCTTCACATAAAATCTCGACAGAAGCATTCTCAGAAACTTCTTTGTGATATGTGCATTCAAGTCACAGAGTTGAATATTCCCTTTCACAGAGTAGGTTTGAAACACTCTTTTTGTAGTATCTGGAAGTGGACATTTGGAGCGCCTTGACACCTACGGTGAAAAGGGAAATATCTTCCCATAAAAATTAGACAGAAGCAATCTCAGAATCTTCTTTGGGATATATGCACGCAGCTAACAGAGTTGAACCTTTCTATTGACAGAGCAGTTTTGAAACAGTCTTTCTGTGGAATCTGCAAGTGGATATTTGGATAGCTTGGAGGATTTCGTTGGAAACGGGATTACGTATACAAAGTAGCCAGCAGCATCCTCAGAAACTTCTTTGTGATGTGTGCATTCAAGTCACAGAGTTGAACATTCCTTTTCGTACAGCAGTTTTGAAACACTCTTTCTGTAGTAACTGGAAGTGAACATTAGGACAGCTTTCAGCTCTATGGTGAAAAAGGAAATATCTTCAAATAAAAACTAGACAGAAGCATTCTCATAAACTTGTTTGTGATGTCTGAACTCAGCTAACAGAGGTGGATCTTTCTTCTGATAGAGCAGTACTAAAAACGCTTTTTGTTGAATCTGCAAGTGGACATTTGGATAGATTTGAAGATTTCGTTGGAAACGGGAATATCTTCATATCAAATCTAGACAGAAGCATTCTCAGAAACGTCTTTGTGATGTTTGCATTCAACTCATAGAGTTGAACATTCCGTTTCAAAGAGCAGCTTTGAGGCACTCTTTTTGTAGTATGTGCAAGTGGATATTTGGAGCGCTCTGAGGCCTAAGGTGAAAAAGCAAATATCTTCCCATAACCACTAGACAGAAACATTCTCAGAAACTTCTTTATGACGTATGTACTCAAGTAGCAGAGAAGAACTTTCCTTTTGACAGAGCATTTTTGATACATTCTTTTTCTAGTATCTGCAAGTGGATATTTGGATAGCTGTGAAGATTTCGTTGGAAACGGGAATATCTTCCTATAAAGTCTGGACAGAAGCATTCTCAGTAAACTGCTCTGTGATGTCTGCATTCAAGTCACAGAGTTGAACATTGCCTTTCATAGAGCAGGTTTGAAACGCTCTTTTTGTAGTATATGGAAGTGGACGTTTCGGACGGTTTGAGGCCCATGGTGATAAAGGGAATATCTTCCCCTACAAGCTAGAAAGAAGCATTCTGTGAAACTTGTTTGTGATGTGTGTACTCAACTAACAGAGTTGAACCTTTCTTTTTACAGAGCAGTTTTGAAACACTCTTTTTGTAGAATCTGCGAGGGGATATTTGGATAGATTTCAGGATTTCTTTGGAAAGGGGAATATCTTCATATAAAATCTCGACAGAAGCATTCTCAGAAACTTCTTTGTGATATGTGCATTCAAGTCACAGAGTTGAATATTCCCTTTCACAGAGTAGGTTTGAAACACTCCTTTTGTAGTATCTGGAAGTGGACATTTGGAGCGCCTTGACGCCTACGGTGAAAAGGGAAATATCTTCTCATAAAAAGTAGACAGAAGCAATCTCAGAATCTTCTTTGGGATATATGCACGCAGGCTAACAGAGTTGAACCTTTCTATTGACAGAGCAGTTTTGAAACAGTCTTTCTGTGGAATCTGCAAGTGGATATTTGGATAGCTTGGAGGATTTCGTTGGAAACGGGATTACGTATAAAAAGTAGACAGCAGCATCCTCAGAAACTTCTTTGTGATGTGTGCATTCAAGTCACAGAGTTGAACATTCCCTTTCGTACAGCAGTTTTCAAACACTCTTTCTGTAGTATCTGGAAGTGAACATTAGGACAGCTTTCAGCTCTATGGTGAGAAAGGAAATATCTTCAAATAAAAACAAGACAGAAGCATTCTCATTAACTTGTTTGTGATGTGTGAACTCAGCTAACACAGGTGGATCTTTCTTTTGATAGAGCAGTTCTGAAAAACATTTTTTGTTGAATCTGCAAGTGGACATTTGGATAGATTTGAAGATTTCGTTGGAAACGGGAATATCTTCATATCAAATCTAGACAGAAGCATTCTCAGAAACGTCTTTGTGATGTTTGCATTCAACCCATAGAGTTGAACATTCCCTTTCAGAGAGCAGCTTTGAAGCACTCTTTTTGTAGTATGTGCAAGGGGATATTTGGAGCGCTCTGTGGCCTAAGGTGAAAAATCAAATATCTTCCCATAACCACTAGACAGAAACATTCTCAGAAACTCCTTTATGACGTATGCACTCACCTAACAGAGAAGAACCTTCCTTTTGACAGAGCAGTTTTGATACACTCTTTTTGTAGAATCTGCAAGTGGATATTTGGATAGCTGTGAAGATTTCGTTGGAAACGGGAATATCTTCTTATAAAATCTAGACAGAAGCATTCTCAGAAACTGCTCTGTGATGTCTGCATTCAAGTCACAGAGTTGAACATTGCTTTTCCTAGAGCAGGTTTGAAACGCTCTTTTTGTAGTATATGGAAGTGGACGTTTCGGACGGTTTGAGGCCCATGGTGTTAAAGGGAATATCTTTCCCTACAAGCTGGAAAGAAGCATTCTGTGAAACTTGTTTGTGATGTGTGCACTCAACTAACAGAGCCTTTCTTTTTACAGAGCAGTTTTGAAACACTCTTTTTGTAGAATCTGCGAGGGGATATTTGGATAGATTTCAGGATTTCGTTGGAAACGGGAATATCTTCATATAAAATCTCGACAGAAAGCATTCTCAGAAACTTCTTTGTGATATGTGCATTCAAGTCACAGAGTTGAATATTCCCTTTCACAGAGTAGGTTTGAAACACTCTTTTTGTAGTATCTGGAAGTGGACATTTGGAGCGCCTTGACGCCTACGGTGAAAAGGGAAATATCTTCCCATAAAAACTAGACAGAAGCAATCTCAGAATCTTCTTTGGGATATATGCACGCAGCTAACAGAGTTGAACCTTTCTATTGACAGAGCAGTTTTGAAACACTCTTTCTGTGGAATCTGCAAGTGGATATTTGGAGAGCTTGGAGGATTTCGTTGGAAACGGGATTACGTATAAAAAGTAGACAGCAGCATCCTCAGAAACTTCTTTGTGATGTGCGCATTCAAGTCACAGAGTTGAACATTCCCTTTCGTACAGCAGTTTTGAAACACTCTTTCTGTAGTAACTGGAAGTGAACATTAGGACAGCTTTCAGGTCTATGGTGAGAAAGGAAATATCTTCAAATAAAAACTAGACAGAAGCATTCTCATAAACTTGTTTGTGATGTGTGAACTCAGCTAACAGAGGTGGATCTTTCTTTTGATAGAGCAGTTCTGAAAAACACTTTTTGTTGAATCTGCAAGTGGACATTTGGATAGATTTGAAGATTTCGTTGGAACCGGGAATATCTTCATATCAAATCTAGACAGAAGCATTCTCAGAAACGTCTTTGTGATGTTTGCATTCAACTCATAGAGTTGAACATTCCGTTTCAGAGAGCAGCTTTGAGGCACTCTTTTTGTAGTATGTGCAAGTGGATATTTGGAGCGCTCTGAGGCCTACGGGGAAAAAGCAAATATCTTCCCATAACCACTAGACAGAAACATTCTCAGAAACTCCTTTATGATGTATGCACTCACCTAACAGAGAAGAACCTTCCTTTTGACAGAGCAGTTTTGATGCACTCTTTTTGTAGAATCTGCAAGTGGATATTTGGATAGCTGTGAAGATTTCGTTGGAAACAGGGAATATCTTCCTATAAAATCTAGACAGAAGCATTCTCAGAAACTGCTCTGTGATGTCTGCATTCAAGTCACAGAGTTGAACATTGCCTTTCGTAGAGCAGGTTTGAAACGCTCTTTTTGTAGTATATGGAAGTGGATGTTTCGGACGGTTGGAGGCCCATGGTGATAAAGGGAATATCTTCCCCTACAAGCTAGAAAGAAGCATTCTGTGAAACTTGTTTGTGATGTGTATACTCAACTAACAGAGTTGAACCTTTCTTTTTACAGAGCAGTTTAGAAACACTCTTTTTGTAGAATCTGCGAGGGGATATTTGGATAGATTTCAGGATTTCGTTGGAAACGGGAATATCTTCATTTAAAATCTCGACAGAAGCATTCTCAGAAACTTCTTTGTGATATCTGCATTCAAGTCACAGAGTTGAATATTCCCTTTCACAGAGTAGGTTTGAAACACTCTTTTTGTAGTATCTGGAAGTGGACATTTGGAGCACCTTGACACCTACGGTGAAAAGGGAAATATCTTCCGATAAAAACTAGACAGAAGCAATCTCAGAATCTTCTTTGGGATATATGCACGCAGCTAACAGAGTTGAACCTTTCTATTGACAGAGCAGTTTTGAAACAGTCTTTCTGTGGAATCTGCAAGTGGATATTTGGATAGCTTGGAGGATTTCGTTGGAAACGGGATTAAGTATAAAAGGTAGACAGCAGCATCCTCAGAAACTTCTTTGTGATGTGTGCATTCAAGTCACAGAGTTGAACATTCCCTTTCGTACAGCAGTTTTGAAACACTCTTTCTGTAGTATCTGGAAGTGAACATTAGGACAGCTTTGAGGTCTATGGTGAGAAAGGAAATATCTTCAAATAAAAACTAGACAGAAGCATTCTCATAAACTTGTTTGTGATGTGTGAACTCAGCTAACAGAGGTGGATCTTTCTTTTGATAGAGCAGTTCGGAAAAACACTTTTTGTTGAATCTGCAAGTGGACATTTGGATAGATTTGAAGATTTCGTTGGAAACGGGAATAACTTTATATCAAATCTAGACAGTAGCATTCTCAGAAACGTCTTTGTGATGTTTGCATTCAACTCATAGAGTTGAACATTCCCTTCCAGAGAGCAGCTTTGAAGCACTCTTTTTCTAGCATCTGCAAGTGGACATTTGGAGCGCCCTTAGTCCTAAGGGGAAAAAGCAAATATCTTCCCATAACCACTAGACAGAAACATTCTCAGAAACTCCTTTATGACGTATGCACTCACCTAACAGAAAAGAACCTTCCTTTTGACAGAGCAGTTTTGATACACTCTTTTTGTAGAATCTGCAAGTGGATATTTGGATAGCTGTGAAGACTTCGTTGGAAACGGGAATATCTTCCTATAAAATCTAGACAGAAAGCATTCTCAGAAACTGCTCTGTGATGTCTGCATTCAAGTCACAGAGTTGAACATTGCCTTTCCTAGAGCAGGTTTGAAACGCTCTTTTTGTAGTATATGGAAGTGGACGTTTCGGACGGTTTGAGGCCCATGGTGATAAAGGGAATATCTTCCCCTACAAGCTAGAAAGAAGCATTCTGTGAAACTTGTTTGTGATGTGTGTACTCAACTAACAGAGTTGAACCTTTCTTTTTACAGAGCAGTTTTGAAACACTCTTTTTGTAGAATCTGCGAGGGGATATTTGGAGAGATTTCAGGATTTCGTTGGAAACGGGAATATCTTCATATAAAATCTAGACAGAAGCATTATCAGAAACTTCTTTGTGATATCTGCCTTTAAGTCACAGAGTTGAATATTCCCTTTCACAGAGTAGGTTTGAAACACTCTTTTTGTAGTATCTGGAAGTGGACATTTGGAGCGCCTTGACACCTACGGTGAAAAGGGAAATATCTTCCCATAAAAACTAGACAGAAGCAATCTCAGAATCTTCTTTGGGATATATGCACGCAGCTAACAGAGTTGAACCTTTCTATTGACAGAGCAGTTTTGAAACAGTCTTTCTGTGGAATCTGCAAGTGGATATTTGGATAGCTTGGAGGATTTCGTTGGAAATGGGATTACGTATAAAAAGTAGACAGCAGCATCCTCAGAAACTTCTTTGTGATGTGTGCATTCAAGTCACAGAGTTGAACATTCCCTTTCGTACAGCAGTTTTGAAACACTCTTTCTGTAGTATCTGGAAGTGAACATTAGGACAGCTTTCAGGTCTATGGTGAGAATGGAAATATATTCAAATAAAAACTAGACAGAAGCATTCTGATAAACTTGTTTGTGAAGTGTGAACTCAGCTAACGGAGGTGGATCTTTCTTTTGATAGAGCAGTTCTGAAAAACACTTTTTGTTGAATCTGCAAGTGGACATTTGGATAGATTTGAAGATTTCGTTGGAAACGGGAATATCTTCATATCAAATCTAGACAGAAGCATTCTCAGAAACGTCTTTGTGATGTTGGCATTCAACTCATAGAGTTGAAGATTCCCTTTCAGAGAGCAGCTTTGAAGCACTCTTTTTGTAGTATGTGCAAGGGGATATTTGGAGCGCTCTGAGGCCTAAGGTGAAAAAGCAAATATCTTCCCATAACCACTAGACAGAAACATTCTCAGAAACTCCTTTATGACGTATGCACTCACCTAACAGAGAAGAACCTTCCTTTTGACAGAGCAGTTTTGATACACTCTTTTTGTAGAATCTGCGAGGGGATATTTGGATAGCTGTGAAGATTTCGTTGGAAACGGGAATATCTTCCTATAAAATCTAGACAGAAGCATTCTCAGAAACTGCTCTGTGATGTCTGCATTCAAGTCACAGAGTTGAACATTGCCTTTCCTAGAGCAGGTTTGAAACGCTCTTTTTGTAGTATATGGAAGTGGACGTTTCGGACGGTTGGAGGCCCATGGTGATAAAGGGAATATCTTCCCCTACAAGCTAGAAAGAAGCATTCTGTGAAACTTGTTTGTGATGTGTGTACTCAAGTAACAGAGTTGAACCTTTCTTTTTACAGAGCAGTTTTGAAACACTCTTTCTGTAGAATCTGCGAGGGGATATTTGGATAGATTTCAGGATTTCGTTGGAAACGGGAATATCTTCAGATAAAATCTCGACAGAAGCATTCTCAGAAACTTCTTTGTGATATGTGCATTCAAGTCACAGAGTTGAATATTCCCTTTCACAGAGAAGGTTTGAAGCACTCTTTTTGTAATATCTGGAAGTGGACATTTGGAGCGCCTTGACGCCTACGGTGAAAAGGGAAATATCTTCCCATAAAAACTAGACAGAAGCAATCTCAGAATCTTCTTTGGGATATATGCACGCAGCTAACAGAGTTGAACCTTTCCATTGACAGAGCAGTTTTGAAACAGTCTTTCTGTGGAATCTGCAAGTGGATATTTGGATAGCTTGGAGGATTTCGTTGGAAACGGGATTACGTATAAAAAGTAGACAGCAGCATCCTCAGAAACTTCTTTGTGATGTGTGCATTCAAGTCACAGAGTTGAATATTCCCTTTCGTACAGCAGTTTTGAAACACTCTTTCTGTGAAACACTCATCTGGAAGTGAACATTAGGACAGCTTTCAGGTCTATGGTGAGAAAGGAAATATCTTCAAATAAAAACTAGACAGAAGCATTCTCATAAACTTGTTTGTGATGTGTGAACTCAGATAACAGAGGTGGATCTTTCTTTTGATAGAGCAGTTCTGAAAAACACTTTTTGTTGAATCTGCAAGTGGACATTTGGATAGATTTGAAGATTTCGTTGGAAACGGGAATATCTTCATATCAAATCTAGACAGAAGCATTCTCGGAAACGTCTTTGTGATGTTTGCATTCAACTCATAGAGTTGAACATTCCGTTTCAGAGAGCAGCTTTGAAGCACTCTTTTTGTAGTATGTGCAAGTGGATATTTGGAGCGCTCTGAGGCCTACGGTGGAAAAGCAAATATCTTCCCATAACCACTAGACAGAAACATTCTCAGAAACTCCTTTATGACGTATGTACTCAACTAACGGAGAAGAACCTTCCTTTTGACAGAGCATTTTTGATACACTCTTTTTGTAGAATCTGCAAGTGGATATTTGGATAGCTGTGAAGATTTCATTGGAAACGGGAATATCTTCCTATAAAATCTAGACAGAAGCATTCTCAGAAACTGCTCTGTGATGTCTGCATTCAAGTCACAGAGTTGAACATTGCCTTTCTTAGAGCAGGTTTGAAACGCTCTTTTTGTAGTATATGGAAGTGGATGTTTCGGACGGTTGGAGGCCCATGGTGATAAAGGGAATATCTTCCCCTACAAGCTAGAAAGAAGCATTCTGTGAAACTTGTTTGTGATGTGTGTACTCAACTAACAGAGTTGAACCTTTCTTTTCACAGAGCAGTTTTGAAACACTCTTTTTGTAGAATCTGCAAGGGGATATTTGGATAGATTTCAGGATTTCGTTGGAAACGGGAATATCTTCATATAAAATCTCGACAGAATCATTCTCAGAAACTTCTTTGTGATATCTGCATTCAAGTCACAGAGTTGAATATTGCCTTTCACAGAGTAGGTTTGAAACACTCTTTTTGTAGTATCTGGAAGTGGACATTTGGAGCGCCTTGACACCTACGGTGAAAAGGGAAATATCTTCCCATAAAAACTAGACAGAAGCAATCTCAGAATCTTCTTTGGGATATATGCACGCAGCTCACAGAGTTGAACCTTTCTATTGACAGAGCAGTTTTGAAACAGTCTTTCTGTGGAATCTGCAAGTGGATATTTGGATAGCTTGGAGGATTTCGTTGGAAACGGGATTACGTATAAAAAGTAGACAGCAGCATCCTCAGAAACTTCTTTGTGATGTGTGCATTCAAGTCACAGAGTTGAACATTCCCTTTCGTACAGCAGTTTTGAAACACTCTTTCTGTAGTATCTGGAAGTGAACATTAGGACAGGTTTCAGGTCTATGGTGAGAAAGGAAATATCTTCAAATAAAAACTAGACAGAAGCATTCTCATAAACTTGTTCGTGATGTGTGAACTCAGCTAACACACGTGGATCTTTCTTTTGATAGAGCAGTTCTGAAAAACACTTTTTGTTGAATCTGCAAGAGGACATTTGGATAGATTTGAAGATTTCTTTGGAAACGGGAATATCTTCATATCAAATCTAGACAGAAGCATTCTCAGAAACGTCTTTGTGATGTTTGCATTCAACTCATAGAGTTGAACATTCCGTTTCAGAGAGCAGCTTTGAAGCACTCTTTTTGTAGTATGTGCAAGTGGATATTTGGAGCGCTCTGAGTCCTACGGGGAAAAAACAAATATCTTCCCATAACCACTAGACTGAAACATTCTCAGAAACTCCTTTATGACGTATGCACTCACCTAACAGAGAAGAACCTTCCTTTTGGCAGAGCAGTTTTGATACACTCTTTTTGTAGAATCTGCAAGTGGATATTTGGATAGCTGTGAAGGTTTCGTTGGAAACGGGAATATCTTCCTATAAAATCTAGACAGAAGCATTCTCAGAAACTGCTCTGTGATGTCTGCATTCAAGTCACAGAGTTGAACATTCCCTTTCCTAGAGCAGGTTTGAAACGCTCTTTTTGTAGTATATTGAAGTGGACCTTTCGGATGGTTTGAGGCCCATGGTGATAAAGGGAATATCTTCCCCTACAAGCTAGAAAGAAGCATTCTGTGAAACTTGTTTGTGATGTGTGTACTCAACTAACAGAGTTGAACCTTTCTTTTTACAGAGCAGTTTTGAAACACTCTTTTTGTAGAATCTGTGAGGGGATATTTGGATAGATTTGAGGATTTCGTTGGGAACGGGAATATCTTCATATAAAATCTCGACAGAAGCATTCTCAGAAACTTCTTTGTGATATCTGCCTTTAAGTCACAGAGTTGAATATTCCCTTTCATAGAGTAGGTTTGAAACACTCTTTTTGTAGTATCTGGAAGTGGACATTTGGAGCGCCTTGACACCTACGGTGAAAAGGGAAATATCTTCCCATAAAAACTAGACAGAAGCAATCTCAGAATCTTCTTTGGGATATATGCACGCAGTTAACAGAGTTGAACCTTTCTATTGACAGAGCAGTTTTGAAACAGTCTTTCTGTGGAATCTGCAAGTGGATATTTGGATAGCTTGGAGGATTTCGTTGGAAACGGGATTACGTATAAAACGTAGACAGCAGCATCCTCAGAAACTTCTTTCTGATGTGTGCATTCAAGTCACAGAGTTGAACATTCCCTTTCGTACAGCAGTTTTGAAACACTCTTTCTGTAGTATCTGGAAGTGAACATTAGGACAGCTTTCAGGTCTATGGTGAGAAAGGAAATATCTTCAAATAAAAACTAGACAGAAGCATTCTCATAAAGTTGTTTGTGAGGTGTGAACTCAGCTAACAGAGGTGGATCTTTCTTTTGATAGAGCAGTTCTGAAAAACACTTTTTGTTGAATCTGCAAGTGGACATTTGGATAGATTTGAAGATTTCGTTGGAAACGGGAATATCTTCATATCAAATCTAGACAGAAGCATTCTCAGAAACGTCTTTGTGTTGTTTGCATTCAACTCATAGAGTTGAACATTCCCTTTCAGAGAGCAGCTTTGAAGCACTCTTTTTGTAGCATGTGCAAGTGGACATTTGGAGCGCTCTGAGGCCTACGGGGAAAAAGCAAATATCTTCCCATAACCACTAGACAGAAACATTCTCAGAAACTTCTTTATAACGTATGTACTCAACTAGCAGAGAAGAACTTTCCTTTTGACAGAGCATTTTTGATACACTCTTTTGTAGTATCTGCAAGTGGATATTTGGATAGCTGTGAAGATTTCGTTGGAAACGGGAATATCTTCCTATAAAGTCTGGACAGAAGCATTCTCAGAAACTGCTCTGTGATGTCTGCATTCAAGTCACAGAGTTGAACATTGCCTTTCCTAGAGCAGGTTTGAAACGCTCTTTTTGTAGTATATGGAAGGTGGACGTTTCGGACGGTTTGAGGCCCATGGTGATAAAGGGAATATCTTCCCCTACAAGCTAGAAAGAAGCATTCTCTGAAACTTGTTTGTGATGTGTGTACTCAACTAACAGAGTTGAACCTTTCTTTTTACAGAGCAGTTTTGAAACACTCTTTTTGTAGAATCTGCGAGGGGATATTTGGATAGATTTCAGGATTTCGTTGGAAACGGGAATATCTTCATATAAAATCTCGACAGAAGCATTCTCAGAAACTTCTTTGTGATATCTGCATTCCAGTCACAGAGTTGAATATTCTCTTTCACAGAGTAGTTTTGAAACACTCTTTTTATAGTATCTGGAATTGGACATTTGGAGCGCCTTGACGCCTACGGTGAAAAGGGAAATATCTTCCCATAAAAACTAGACAGAAGCAATCTCAGAATCTTCTTTGGGATATATGTACGCAGCTAACAGTAGTTGAACCTTTCTATTGACAGACCCGTTTTGAAACAGTCTTTCTGTGGAATCTGCAAGTGGATATTTGGATAGCTTGGAGGATTTCTTTGGAAACGGGATTACGTATAAAAAGTAGACAGCAGCATCCTCAGAAACTTCTTTGTGATGTGTGCATTCAAGTCACAGAGTTGAACATTCCCTTTCGTACAGCAGTTTTGAAACACTCTTTCTGTAGTATCTGGAAGTGAACATTAGGACAGCTTTCAGGTCTATGGTGAGAAAGGAAAGATCTTCAAATAAAAACTAGACAGAAGCTTTCTCATAAACTTGTTTGTGATGTGTGAACTCAGCTAACAGAGGTGGATCTTTCTTTTGATACAGCAGTTTTGAAAAACACTTTTTGTTGAATCTGCAAGTGGACATTTGGATAGATTTGAAGATTTCGTTGGAAACGGGAATATCTTCATATCAAATCTAGACAGAAGCATTCTCAGAAACGTCTTTGTGATGTTTGCATTCAACCCATAGAGTTGAACATTCCGTTTCAGAGAGCAGCTTTGAGGCACTCTTTTTGTAGTATGTGCAAGTGGATATTTGGTGCGCTGTGAGGCCTACGGTGAAAAAGCAAATATCTTCCCATAACCACTAGACAGAAACATTCTCAGAAACTCCTTTATGACGTATGCACTCACCTAACAGAGAAGAACCTTCCTTTTGACAGAGCAGTTTTGATACACTCTTTTTGTAGAATCTGCAAGTGGATATTTGGATAGCTGTGAAGATTTCGTAGGAAACGGGAATATCTTCCTATAAAATCTAGACAGAAGCATTCTCAGAAACTACTCTGTGATGTCTGCATTCAAGTCACAGAGTTGAACATTGCCTTTCCTAGAGCAGGTTTGAAACGCTCTTTTTGTAGTATATGGAAGTGGACGTTTCGGACGCTTTGAGGCCCATGGTGATAAAGGGAATATCTTCCCCTACAAGCTAGAAAGAAGCATTCTGTGAAACTTGTTTGTGATGTGTGTACTCAACTAACAGAGTTGAACCTTCCTTTTTAGAGAGCAGTTTTGAAACACTCTTTTTGTAGAATCTGCGAGGGGATATTTGGATAGATTTCAGGATTTCGTTGGAAACGGGAATATCTTCATATAAAATCTCGACAGAAGCATTCTCAGAAACTTCCTTGTGATATGTGCATTCAAGTCACAGAGTTGAATATTCCCTTTCACAGAGTAGGTTTGAAACACTCTTTTTGTAGTATCTGGAAGTGGACATTTGGAGCGCCTTGACGCCCACGGTGAAAAGGGAAATATCTTCCCATCAAAACTAGACAGAAGCAATCTCAGAATCTTCTTTGGGATATATGCACGCAGCTAACAGAGTTGAACCTTTCTATTGACAGAGCAGTTTTGAAACAGTCTTTCTGTGGAATCTGCAAGTGGATATTTGGATAGCTTGGAGGATTTCGTTGGAAACGGGATTACGCATAAAAAGTAGACAGCAGCGTCCTCAGGAACTTCTTTGTGATGTGTGCATTCAAGTCACAGAGTTGAACATTCCCTTCCGTACAGCAGTTTTGAAACACTCTTTCTGTAGTATCTGGAAGTGAACATTAGGACAGCTTTCAGGTCTATGGTGAGAAAGGAAATATCTTCAAATAAAAACTAGACAGAAGCATTCTCATAAACTTGTTTGTGATGTGTGAACTCATCTAACAGAGGTGGATCTTTCTTTTGATAGAGCAGTTCTGAAAAACACTTTTTGTTGAATCTGCAAGTGGACATTTGGATAGATTTGAAGATTTCGTTGGAAACGGGAATATCTTCATATCAAATCTAGACAGAAGCATTCTCGGAAACGTCTTTGTGATGTTTGCATTCAACTCATAGAGTTGAACATTACGTTTCAGAGAGCAGCTTTGAAGCACTCTTTTTGTAGTATGTGCAAGTGGATATTTGGAGCGCTCTGAGGCCTACGGTGAAAAAGCAAATATCTTCCCATAACCACTAGACAGAAACATTCTCAGAAACTCCTTTATGACGTATGCACTCACCTAACGGAGAAGAACCTTCCTTTTGACAGAGCACTTTTGATACACTCTTTTTGTAGAATCTGCAAGTGGATATTTGGATAGCTGTGAAGATTTCGTTGGAAACGGGAATATCTTCTTATAAATTCTAGACAGAAGCATTCTCAGAAACTGCTCTGTGATGTCTGCATTCAAGTCACAGAGTTGAACATTGCCTTTCATAGAGCAGGTTTGAAATGCTCTTTTTGTAGTATATGGAACTGGATGTTTCGGAAGGTTGGAGGCCCATGGTGATAAAGGGAATATCTTCCCCTACAAGCTAAAAAGAAGCATTCTGTGAAACTTGTTTGTGATGTGTGTACTCAACTAACAGAGTTGAACCTTTCTTTTTACAGAGCAGTTTTGAAACACTCTTTTTGTAGAATCTGCGAGGGGATAATTGGATAGATTTCAGGATTTCGTTGGAAACGGGAATATCTTCATATAAAATCTCGACAGAAGCATTCTCAGAAACTTCTTTGTGATATGTGCATTCAAGTCACAGAGTTGAATATTCCCTTTCACAGAGTAGGTTTGAAACACTCTTTTTGTAGTATCTGGAAGTTGACATTTGGAGCGCCTTGACACCTACGGTGAAAAGGGAAATATCTTCCCATAAAAACTAGACAGAAGCAATCTCAGAATCTTCTTTGGGATATATGCACGCAGCTAATAGAGTTGAACTTTTCTATTGACAGAGCAGATTTGAAACAGTCTTTCTGTGGAATCTGCAAGTGGATATTTGGATAGCCTGGAGGATTACGTTGGAAACGGGATTACGTATAAAAAGTAGACAGCAGCATCCTCAGAAACTTCTTTGTGATGTGTGCATTCAAGTCACAGAGTTGAACATTCCCTTTCGTACAGCAGTTTCGAAACACTCTTTCTGTAGTATCTGGAAGTGAACATTAGGACAGCTTTCAGGTCTATGGTGAGAAAGGAAATATCTTCAAATAAAAACTAGACAGAAGAATTCTGATAAACTTGTTTGTGAAGTGTGAACTCAGATAACACAAGTGGATCTTTCTTTTGATACAGCAGTTTTGAAAAACACTTTGTTGAATCTGCAAGTGGACATTTGGATAGATTTGAAGATTTCGTTGGAAACGGGTATATCTTCATAACAAATCTAGACAGAAGCATTCTCAGAAACGTCTTTGTCATGTTTGCATTCAACTCATAGAGTTGAACATTCCGTTTCAGAGAGCAGCTTTGAAACACTCTTTTTGTAGTATGTGCAAGTGGATATTTGGAGCGCTCTGAGGCCTACGGTGAAAAAGCAAATATCTTCCCATAACCACTAGACAGAAACATTCTCAGAAACTCCTTTATGACGTATGCACTCACCTAACAGAGAAGAACCTTCCTTTTGACAGAGCAGTTTTGATACACTCTTTTTGTAGAATCTGCAAGTGGATATTTGGATAGCTGTGAAGATTTCGTTGCAAACGGGAATATCTTCCTATAAAATCTAGACAGAAGCATTCTCAGAAACTGCTCTGTGATGTCTGCATTCAAGTCACAGAGTTGAACATTGCCTTTCATAGAGCAGGTTTGAAACGCTCTTTTTGTAGTATATGGAAGTGGACGTTTCGGACGGTTTGAGGCCCATGGTGTTAAAGGGAATATCTCCCCTACAAGCTAGAAAGAAGCATTCTGTGAAACTTGTTTGTGATGTGTGTACTCAACTAATAGAGTTGAACCTTTCTTTTTACAGAGCAGTTTTGAAACACTCTTTTTGTAGAATCTGCGAGGGGATATTTGGATAGATTTCAGGATTTCGTTGGAAACGGGAATATCTTCATAGAAAATCTCGATAGAAGCATTCTCAGAAACTTCTTTGTGATATCTGCATTCAAATCACAGAGTTGAATATTCCCTTTCACAGAGTAGGTTTGAAACACTCTTTTTGTAGTATCTGGAAGTGGACATTTGGAGCGCTTTGACGCCTACGGTGAAAAGGGAAATATCTTCCCATAAAAACTAGACAGAAGCAATCTCAGAATCTTCTTTGGGATATATGCACGCAGCTAACAGAGTTGAACCTTTCTATTGACAGAGCAGTTTTGAAACAGTCTTTCTGTGGAATCTGCAAGTGGATATTGGATAGCTTGGAGGATTTCGTTGGAAACGGGATTACGTATAAAAAGTAGAACAGCAGCATCCTCAGAAACTTCTTTGTGATGTGTGCATTCAAGTCACAGAGTTGAACATTCCCTTTCGTACAGCAGTTTTGAAACACTCTTTCTGTAGTATCTGGAAGTGAACATTAGGACAGCTTTCAGGTCTATGGTGAGAAAAGAAATATCTTCAAATAAAAACCAGACAGAAACATTCTCATAAACTTGTTTGTGATGTGTGAACTCAGCTAACACAGGTGGATCTTTCTTTTGATAGAGCAGTTCTGAAAAACACTTTTTGTTGAATCTGCAAGTGGACATTTGGATAGATTTGAAGATTTCGTTGGAAACTGGAATATCGTCATATCAAATCTAGACAGAAGCATTCTCGGAAACGTCTTTGTCATGTTTGCATTCAACTCATAGAGTTGAACATTCCGTTTCAGAGAGCAGCTTTGAAGCACTCTTTTTATAGTATCTGCAAGGGGATATTTGGAGTGCTCTGAGGCCTAAGGTGAAAAAGCAAATATCTTCCCATAACCACTAGACAGAAACATTCTCAGAAACTCCTTTATGACGTATGTACTCAACTAACAGAGAAGAACCTTCCTTTTGACAGAGCAGTTTGAATACACTCTTTTTGTAGAATCTGCAAGTGGATATTTGGATAGCTGTGAAGATTTCGTTGGAAACGGGAATATCTTCCTATAAAATCTATACAGAAGCATTCTCAGCAAACTGCTCTGTGATGTCTGCATTCAAGTCACAGAGTTGAACATTGCTTTTCATAGAGCAGGTTTGAAACGCTCTTTTTGTAGTATATGGAAGTAGACGTTTCGGACGGTTTGAGGCCCATGGTGATAAACGGAATATCTTCCCCTACAAGCTAGAAAGAAGCATTGTGTGAAACTTGTTTGTGATGTGTGTACTCAATTAACAGAGCTGAACCTTTCTTTTTACAGAGCAGTTTTGAAACACTCTTTTTGTAGAATCTGCGAGGGGATATTTGGATACATTTCAGAATTTCGTTGGAAACGGGAATATCTTCATATAAAATCTCGACAGAAGCATTCTCAGAAACTTCTTTGTGATATGTGCATTCAAGTCACAGAGTTGAATATTCCCTTTCACAGAGTAGGTTTGAAACACTCTTTTTGTAGTATCTGGAAGTGGATATTTGGAGCGCCTTGACACCTACGGTGAAAAGGGAAATATCTTCCCATAAAAACTAGACAGAAAGCAATCTCAGAATCTTCTTTGGGATATATGCACGCAGCTAACAGAGTTGAACCTTTCTATTGACAGAGCAGGTTTGAAACAGTCTTTCTGTGGAATCTGCAAGTGGATATTTGGATAGCTTGGAGGATTTCGTTGGAAACGGGATTACGTATAAAAAGTAGACAGCAGCATCCTCAGAAACTTCTTTGTGATGTGTGCATTCAAGTCACAGAGTTGAACATTCCCTTTCGTACAGCAGTTTTGAAACACTCTTTCTGTAGTATCTGGAATTGAACATTAGGACAGCTTTCAGGTCTATGGTGAGAAAGGAAATATCTTCAAATAAAAACTAGACAGAAGCATTCTGATAAACTTGTTTGTGAAGTGTGAACTCAGCTAACAGAGGTGGATGTTTCTTTTGATACAGCAGTTTTGAAAAACACTTTGTTGAATCTGCAAGTGGACATTTGGATAGATTTGAAGATTTCGTTGGAAACGGGAATATCTTCATATCAAATCTAGACAGAAGCATTCTCAGAAACGTCTTTGTGATGTTTGCATTCAACTCATAGGGTTGAACATTCCCTTTCAGAGAGCAGCTTTGAAGCACTCTTTTTGTAGCATGTGCAAGTGGACATTTGGAGCGCCCTGAGGCCTACGGGGAAAAAGCAAATATCTTCCCATAACCACTAGACAGAAACATTCTCAGAAATTTCTTTATGACGAATGTACTCAACTAGCAGAGAAGAGCTTTCCTTTTGACAGAGCATTTTTGATACACTTTTTTAGTATCTGCAAGTGGATATTTGAATAGCTGTGAAGATTTCGTTGGAAACGGGAATATCTTCCTATAAACTCTGGACAGAAGCATTCTCAGAAACTGCTCTGTGATGTCTGCATTCAAGTCACAGAGTTGAACATTGCCGTTCATAGAGCAGGTTTGAAACACTCTTTTTGTAGTATATGGAAGTGGACGTTTCGGACGGTTTGAGGCCCATGGTGATAAAGGGAATATCTTCCCCTACAAGCTAGAAAGAAGCATTCTGTGAAACTTGTTTGTGATGTGTGTACTCAACTAACAGAGTTGAACCTTTCTTTTTACAGAGCAGTTTTGAAACACTCTTTTTGTAGAATCTGCGAGGGCATATTTGGATAGATTTCAGAATTTCGTTGGAAAGGGGATTATCTTCATATAAAATCTCGACAGAAGCATTCTCAGAAACTTCTTTGTGATATCTCCATTCAAGTCACAGAGTTGAATATTCCCTTTCACAGAGTAGGTTTGAAACACTCTTTTTGTAGTATCTGGAAGTGGACATTTGGAGCGCCTTGACGCCTACGGTGAAAAGGGAAATATCTTCCCATAAAAACTAGACAGAAGCAATCTCAGAATCTTCTTTGGGATATATGCACGCAGCTAACAGAGTTGAACCTTTCTATTGACAGAGCAGTTTTGAAACAGTCTTTCTGTGGAATCTGCAAGTGGATATTTGGATAGATTGGAGGATTTCGTTGGAAACGGGATTATGTATAAAAAGTAGACAGCAGCATCCTCAGAAACTTATTTGTGATGTGTGCATTCAAGTCACAGAGTTGAACATTCCCTTTCATACAGCAGTTTTGAAACACTCTTTCTGTAGTATCTGGAAGTGAACATTAGGACAGCTTTCAGGTCTATGGTGAGAAAGGAAATATCTTCAAATAAAAACTAGACAGAAGCATTCTCATAAACTTGTTCGTGATGTGTGAACTCAGCTAACACACGTGGATCTTTCTTTTGATAGAGCAGTTCTGAAAAACACTTTTTGTTGAATCTGCAAGAGGACAGTTGGATAGATTTGAAGGTTTCGTTGGAAACGGGAATATCTTCATATCAAATCTAGACAGAAGCATTCTCAGAAACGTCTTTGCGATGTTTGCATTCAACTCATAGAGTTGCACATTCCGTTTCAGAGAGCAGCTTTGAGGCACTCTTTTTGTAGTATGTGCAAGTGGATATTTGGAGCGCTCTGAGGCCTACGGTGAAAAAGCAAATATCTTCCCATAACCACTAGACAGAAACATTCTCAGAAACTCCTTTATGACGTATGTACTCAACTAACAGAGAAGAACCTTCCTTTTGACAGAGCATTTTTGATACACTCTTTTTGTAGAATCTGCAAGTGGATATTTGGATAGCTGTGAAGATTTCGTTGGAAACGGGAATATCTTCCTATAAAATCTAGACAGAAGCATTCTCAGAAACTGCTCTGTGATGTCTGCATTCAAGTCACGGAGTTGAACATTGCCTTTCATAGAGCAGGTTTGAAACGCTCTTTTTGTAGTATATGGAAGTGGACTTATCGGACGGTTTGAGGCCCATGGTGATAAAGGGAATATCTTCCCCTACAAGCTAGAAAGAAGCATTCTGTGAAACTTGTTTGTGATGTGTGTACTCAACTAACAGAGTTGAACCTTTCTTTTCACAGAGCAGTTTTGAAACACTCTTTTTGTAGAATCTGCGAGCGGATATTTGGATAGATTTCAGGATTTCGTTGGAAACGGGAATATCTTCATATAAAATCTCGACGGAAGCATTCTCAGAAACTTCCTTCTGATATGTGCATTCAAGTCACAGAGTTGAATATTCCCTTTCACAGAGTAGGTTTGAAACACTCGTTTTGTAGTATCTGGAAGTGGACATTTGGAGCGCCTTGACGCCTACGGTGAAAAGGGAAATATCTTCCCATAAAAACTAGACAGAAGCAATCTCAGAATCTTCTTTGGGATATATGCACGCAGCTAACAGAGTTGAACCTTTCTATTGACAGAGCAGTTTTGAAACAGTCTTTCTGTGGAATCTGGAAGTGGATATTTGGATAGCTTGGAGGATTTCGTTGGAAACGGGATTACGTATAAAAAGTAGACAGCAGCATCCTCAGAAACTTCTTTGTGATGTGTGCATTCAAGTCACAGAGTTGAACATTCCCTTTCGTACAGCAGTTTTTAAACACTCTTTCTGTAGTATCTGGAAGTGAACATTAGGACAGCTTTCAGGTCTATGGTGAGAAAGGAAATATCTTCAAATAAAAACTAGACAGAAGCATTCTCATAAACATGTTTGCGATGTCTGAACTCAGCTAACAGAGGTGGATCTTTCTTTTGATAGAGCAGTTCTGAAAAACACTTTTTGTTGAATCTGCAAGTGGACATTTGGATAGATTTGAAGATTTCGTTGGAAACGGGAATATCTTCATATCAAATCTAGACAGAAGCATTCTCAGAAACGTCTTTGCGATGTTTGCATTCAACTCATAGAGTTGAACATTCCGTTTCAGAGAGCAGCTTTGAGGCACTCTTTTTGTAGTATGTGCAAGTGGATATTTGGAGCGCTCTGAGGCCTTCGGTGAAAAAGCAAATATCTTCCCATAACCACTAGATGGAAACATTCTCAGAAACTCCTTTATGACGGTATGTACTCACCTAACAGAGAAGAACCTTCCTTTTGACAGAGCAGTTTTGATACACTCTTTTTGTAGAATCTGCAAGTGGATATTTGGATAGCTGTGAAGATTTCGTTGGAAACGGGAATATCTTCCTATAAAATCTAGACAGAAGCATTCTCAGAAACTGCTCTGTGATGTCTGCATTCAAGTCACAGAGTTGAACATTGCCTTTCATAGAGCAGGTTTGAAACGCTCTTTTTGTAGTATATGGAAGTGGACTTATCGGACGGTTTGAGGCCCATTGTGATAAAGGGAATATCTTCCCCTACAAGCTAGAAAGAAGCATTCTGTGAAACTTGTTTGTGATGTGTGTACTCAACTAACAGAGTTGAACCTTTCTTTTTACAGAGCAGTTTTGAAACACTCTTTTTGTAGAATCTGCGAGGGGATATTTGGAGAGATTTCAGGATTTCGTTGGAAACGGGAATATCTTCATATAAATTCTCGACAGAAGCATTCTCAGAAACTTCCTTGTGATATGTGCATTCAAGTCACAGAGTTGAATATTCCCTTTCACAGAGTAGGTTTGAAACACTCTTTTTGTAGTATCTGGAAGTGGACATTTGGAGCGCCTTGACGCCTACGGTGAAAAAGGAAATATCTTCCCATAAAAACTAGACAGAAGCCATCTCAGAATCTTCTTGGGATATATGCACGCAGCTAACAGAGTTGAACCTTTCTATTGACAGAGCAGTTTTGAAACAGTCTTTCTGTGGAATCTGCAAGTGGATATTTGGATAGCTTGGAGGATTTCGTTGGAAACGGGATTACGTATAAAAAGTAGACAGCAGCATCCTCAGAAACTTCTTTGTGATGTGTGCATTCAAGTCACAGAGTTGAACATTCCGTTTCGTACATTAGTTTTGAAACACTCTTTCTGTAGTATCTGGAAGTAAACATTACGACAGCTTTCAGGTCTATGGTGAGAAAAGAAATATCTTCAAATAAAAACTAGACAGAAGCATTCTCATAAACTTGTTTGTGATGTGTGAACTCAGCTAACAGAGGTGGATCTTTCTTTTGATAGAGCAGTTCTGAAAAACTCTTTTTGTTGAATCTGCAAGTGGACATTTGGATAGATTTGAAGATTTCGTTGGAAACGGGAATATCTTCATATCAAATCTAGACAGAGGCATTCTCAGAAACGTCTTTGTGATGTTTGCATTCAACTCATAGAGTTGAACATTCCGTTTCAGAGAGCAGCTTTGAGGCACTCTTTTTGTAGTATGTGCAAGTGGATATTTGGAGCGCTCTGAGGCCTACGGTGAAAAAGCAAATATCTTCCCATAACCACTAGACAGAAACATTCTCAGAAACTCCTTTATGACGTATGCACTCACCTAACAGAAAGGAACCTTCCTTTTGACAGAGCAGTTTTGATACACTCTTTTTGTAGAATCTGCAAGTGGATATTTGGATAGCTGTGAAGATTTCGTTGGAAACGGGAATATCTTCCTATAAAATCTAGACAGAAGCATTCTCAGAAACTGCTCTGTGATGTCTGCATTCAAGTCACAGAGTTGAACATTGCCTTTCATAGAGCAGGTTTGAAACGCTCTTTTTGTAGTATATGGAAGTGGACTTTTCGGACGGTTTGAGGCCCATGGTGATAAAGGGTATATCTTCCCCTACAAGCTAGAAAGAAGCATTCTGTGAAACTTGTTTGTGATGTGTGTACTCAACTAACAGAGTTGAACCTTTCTTTTTACAGAGCAGTTTTGAAACACGCTTTTTGTAGAATCTGCGAGGGGATATTTGGATAGATTTCAGGATTTCGTTGGAAAGGGGAATATCTTCATATAAAATCTCGACAGAAGCATTCTCAGAAACTTCTTTGTGATATGTGCATTCAAGTCACAGAGTTGAATGTTCCCTTTCACAGAGTAGGTTTGAAACACTCTTTTTGTAGTATCTGGAAGTGGACATTTGGAGCGCCTTGACACCTACGGTGAAAAGGGAAATATCTTCCCATAAAAACTAGACAGAAGCAATCTCAGAATCTTCTTTGGGATATATGCACGCAGCTAACAGAGTTGAACCTTTCTATTGACAGAGCAGTTTTGAAACAGTCTTTCTGTGGAATCTGCAAGTGGATATTTGGATAGCTTGGAGGATTTCGTTGGAAACGGGATTAGGTATAAAAGTAGACAGCAAGCATTCTCATAAACTTGTTTGTGATGTGTGAACTCAACTAACACACGTGGATCTTTCTTTTGATAGAGCAGTTCTGAAAAACACTTTTTGTTGAATCTGCAAGTGGACATTTGGATAGATTTGAAGATTTCGTTGGAAACGGGAATATCTTCATATCAAATCTAGACAGAAGCATTCTCATAAACTTGTTTGTGATGTGTGAACTCAGCTAACACACGTGGATCTTTCTTTTGATAGAGCAGTTCTGAAAAACACTTTTTGTTGAATCTGCAAGTGGACATTTGGATAGATTTGAAGATTTCTTTGGAAACGGGAATATCTTCATATCAAATCTAGACAGAAGCATTCTCAGAAACGTCTTTGTGATGTTTGCATTCAACTCTTAGAGTTGAACATTCCCTTTCAGAGAGCAGCTTTGAAGCACTCTTTTTGTAGTATGTGCAAGGGGATATTTGGAGCGCTCTGAGGCCTACGGTGAAAAAGCAAATATCTTCCCATAACCACTAGACAGAAACATTCTCAGAAACTTCTTTATGACGTATGTACTCAACTAGCAGAGAAGAACTTTCCTTTTGATAGAGCATTTTTGATACACTCTTTTTGTACTATCTGCAAGTGGATATTTGGATAGCTGTGAAGATTTCGTTGGAAACGGGAATATCTTCCTATAAAGTCTGGACAGAAGCATTCTCAGAAACTGCTCTGTGATGTCTGCATTCAAGTCACAGAGTTGAACATTGCCTTTCATAGAGCAGGTTTGAAATGCTCTTTTTGTAGTATATGGAAGTGGACTTTTCGGACGGTTTGAGGCCCATGGTGATAAAGGGAATATCTTCCCCTACAAGCTAGAAAGAAGCATTCTGTGAAACTTGTTTGTGATGTGTGTACTCAACTAACAGAGTTGAACCTTTCTTTTTACAGAGCAGTTTTGAAACACTCTTTTTGTAGAATCTGCGAGGGGATATTTGGATAGATTTCAGGATTTCGTTGGAAAGGGGAATATCTTCATATAAAATCGCGACAGAAGCATTCTCAGAAACTTCCTTGTGATATGTGCATTCAAGTCACAGAGTTGAATATTCCCTTTCACAGAGTAGGTTTGAAACACTCTTTTTGTAGTATCTGGAAGTGGACATTTGGAGCGCCTTGACGCCTACGGTGAAAAGGGAAATATCTTCCCATCAAAACTAGACAGAAGAAATCTCAGAATCATCTTTGGGATATATGCACGCAGCTAACAGAGTTGAACCTTTCTATTGACAGAGCAGATTTGAAACAGTCTTTCTGTGGAATCTGCAAGTGGATATTTGGATAGCTTGGAGGATTTCGTTGGAAACGGGATTACGTATAAAAAGTAGACAGCAGCATCCTCAGAAACTTCTTTGTGATGTGTGCATTCAAGTCAAAGAGTTGAACATTCCCTTTCGTACAGCAGTTTTGAAACACTCTTTCTGTAGTATCTGGAAGTGAACATTAGGACAGCTTTCAGGTCTATGGTGAGAAAGGAAATATCTTCAAATAAAAACTAGACAGAAGCATTCTCATAAACTTGTTTGTGTTGTGTGAACTCAGCTAACAGAGGTGGATCTTTCTTTTGATAGAGCAGTTCTGAAAAACACTTTTTGTTGAATCTGCAAGTGGACATTTGGATAGATTTGAAGATTTCGTTGGAAACGGGAATATCTTCATATCAAATCTAGACAGAAGCATTCTCAGAAACGTCTTTGTGATGTTTGCATTCAACTCATAGAGTTGAACATTCCCTTTCAGAGAGGCAGCTTTGAAGCACTCTTTTTGTAGCATGTGCAAGTGGACATTTGGAGCGCCCTGAGGCCTACGGGGAAAAAGCAAATATCTTCCCATAACCACTAGACAGAAACATTCTCAGAAACTCCTTTATGACGTTTGTACTCAACTAACAGAGAAGAACCTTCCTTTTGACAGAGCAGTTTTGATACACTCTTTTTGTAGAATCTGCAAGTGGATATTTGGATAGCTGTGAAGATTTCGTTGGAATCGGGAATATCTTCCTATAAAATCTAGACAGAAGCATTCTCAGAAACTGCTCTGTGATGTCTGCATTCAAGTCACAGAGTTGAACATTGCCTTTCATAGAGCAGGTTTGAAACGCTTTTTTGTAGTATATGGAAGTGGATGTTTCGGACGGTTGGAGGCCCATGGTGATAAAGGGAATATCTTCCCCTACAAGCTAGAAAGAAGCATTCTGTGAAACTTGTTTGTGATGTGTGTACTCAACTAACAGAGTTGAACCTTTCTTTTTACAGAGCAGTTTTGAAACACTCTTTTTGTAGAATCTGCGAGGGGATATTTGGATAGATTTCAGGATTTTGTTGGAAACCGGAATATCTTCATATAAAATCTCGACAGAAGCATTCTCAGAAGCTTCTTTGTGATATGTGCATTCAAGTCACAGAGTTGAATATTCCCTTTCACAGAGTAGGTTTGAAACACTCTTTTTCTAGTATCTGGAAGTGGACATTTAGAGCGCCTTGACGCCTACGGTGAAAAGGGAAATATCTTCTCATAAAAAGTAGACAGAAGCAATCTCAGAATCTTCTTTGGGATATATGTACGCAGCTAACAGAGTTGAACCTTTCTATTGACAGAGCAGTTTTGAAACAGTCTTTCTGTGGAATCTGCAAGTGGATATTTGGATAGCTTGGAGGATTTCGTTGGAAACGGGATTACGTATAAAAAGTAGACAGCAGCATTCTCAGAAACTGCTCTGTGATGTCTGCATTCAAGTCACAGAGTTGAACATTCCCTTTCATACAGCAGTTTTGAAACACTCTTTCTGTAGTATCTGGAAGTGAACATTAGGACAGCTTTCAGGTCTATGGTGAGAAAGGAAATATCTTCAAATAAAAACTAGACAGAAGCATTCTCTTAAACTTGTTTGTGATGTGTGAACTCAGCTAACAGATGTGGATCTTTCTTTTGATATAACAGTTTTGAAAAACTCTTTTTGTTGAATCTGCAAATGGACATTTGGATAGATTTGAAGATTTCGTTGGAAACGGGAATATCTTCATATCAAATCTAGACAGAAAGCATTGTCAGAAACGTCTTTGTGATGTTTGCATTCAACTCACAGAGTTGAACATTCCCTTTCAGAGAGCAGCTTTGAAGCACTCTTTTTGTAGTATGTGCAAGTGGATATTTGGAGCTCTCTGAGGCCTAAGGTGAAAAAGCAAATATCTTCCCATAACCACTAGACAGAAACATTCTCAGAAACTCCTTTATGACGTATGCACTCACCTAACAGAGAAGAACCTTCCTTTTCACAGAGCAGTTTTGATACACTCTTTTTGTAGAATCTGCAAGTGGATATTTGGATAGCTGTGAAGATTTCGTTGGAAACGAGGAATATCTTCCTATAAAATCTAGACAGAAGCATTCTCAGAAACTGCTCTGTGATGTCTGCATTCAAGTCACAGAGTTGAACATTGCCTTTCCTAGAGCAGGTTTGAAATGCTGTTTTTGTAGTATATGGAAGTGGACGTTTCGGACGGTTTGAGGCCCTTGGTGATAAAGGGAATATCTTCCCCTACAAGCTAGAAAGAAGCATTCTGTGAAACTTGTTTGTGATGTGTGTACTCAACTAACAGAGTTGAACCTTTCTTTTTACAGAGCAGTTTTGAAACACTCTTTTTGTACAATCTGCGAGGGGATATTTGGATAGATTTCAGGATTTCGTTGGAAACGGGAATATCTTCATATAAAATCTCGACAGAAGCATTCTCAGAAACTTCTTTGTGATATGTGCATTCAAGTCACAGAGTTGAATATTCCCTTTTACAGAGTAGGTTTGAAACACTCTTTTTGTAGTATCTGGAAGTGAACATTTGGAGCGCCTTGACGCCTACGGTGAACAGGGAAATATCTTCTCATAAAAAGTAGACAGAAGCAATCTCAGAATCTTCTTTGGGATATATGTACGCAGCTAACAGAGTTGAACCTTTCTATTGACAGACCCGTTTTGAAACAGTCTTTCTGTGGAATCTGCAAGTGGATATTTGGATAGCTTGGAGGATTTCTTTGGAAACGGGATTACGTATAAAAAGTAGACAGCAGCATCCTCAGCAAACTTCTTTGTGATGTGTGCATTCAAGTCACAGAGTTGAACATTCCCTTTCGTACAGCAGTTTTGAAATACTCTTTCTGTAGTAACTGGAAGTGAACATTAGGACAGCTTTCAGGTCTATGGTGAGAAAGGAAATATCTTCAAATAAAAACTAGACAGAAGCATTCTCATAAACTTGTTTGTGATGTGTGAACTCAGCTAACACACGTGGATTTTTCTTTTGATAGAGCAGTTCTGAAAAACAATTTTTGTAGAATCTGCAAGTGGACATTTGGATAGATTTGAAGATTTCCTTGGAAACGGGAATATCTTCATATCAAATCTAGACAGAAGCATTCTCAGAAACGTCTTTGTCATGTTTGCATTCAACTCATAGAGTTGAACATTCCGTTTCAGAGAGCAGCTTTGAAGCACTCTTTTTGTAGTATGTGCAAGCGGATATTTGGAGCGCTCTGAGGCCTACGGTGAAAAAGCAAATATCTTCCCATAACCACTAGACAGAAACATTCTCAGAAACTCCTTTATGACGTATGCACTCACCTAACAGAGAAGAACCTTCCTTTTGACAGAGCAGTTTTGATACACTCTTTTTGTAGAATCTGCAAGTGGATATTTTGATACCTGTGAAGATTTCGTTGGAAACGGGAATATCTTCCTATAAAATCTAGACAGAAGCATTCTCAGAAACTGCTCTGCGATGTCTGCATTCAAGTCACAGAGTTGAACATTGCCTTTCCTAGAGCAGGTTTGAAATGCTCTTTTTGTAGTATATGGAAGTGGACGTTTCGGACGGTTTGAGGCCCATGGTGATAAAGGGAATATCTTCCCCTACAAGCTAGAAAGAAGCATTCTGTGAAACTTGTTTGTGAGGTGTGTACTCAACTAACAGAGTTGAACCTTTCTTTTTACAGAGCAGTTTTGAAACACTCTTTTTGTAGAATCTGCGAGGGGATATTTGGATAGATTACAGGATTTCGTTGGAAACGGGAATATCTTCATATAAAATCTCGACAGAAGCATTCTCAGAAACTTCTTTGTGATATCTGCCTTCAAGTCACAGGGTTGAATATTCCCTTTCACAGAGTAGGTTTGAAACACTCTTTTTGTAGTATCTGGAAGTGGACATTTGGAGCGCCTTGACGCCTACGGTGAAAAGGGAAATATCTTCCCATAAAAACTAGACAGAAGCAATCTCAGAATCTTCTTTGGGATATATGCACGCAGCTAACAGAGTTGAACCTTTCTATTGACAGAGCAGTTTTGAAACAGTCTTTCTGTGGAATCTGCAAGTGGATATTTGGTAGCTTGGAGGATTTCGTTGGAAACGGGATTACGTATCAAAAGTAGACAGCAGCATCCTCAGAAACTTCTTTGTGATGTGTGCATTCAAGTCACAGAGTTGAACATTCCCTTTCGTACAGCAGTTTTGAAACACTCTTTCTGTAGTATCTGGAAGTGAACATTAGGACAGCTTCAGGTCTATGGTGAGAAAGGAAATATCTTCAAATAAAAACTAGACAGAAAGCATTCTCATTAACTTGTTTGTGATGTGTGAACTCAGCTAACAGAGGTGGATCTTTCTTTTGATAGAGCAGTTCTGAAAAACATTTTTTGTTGAATCTGCAAGTGGACATTTGGATAGATTTGAAGATTTCGTTGGAAACGGGAATATCTTCATATCAAATCTAGACAGAAGCATTCTCAGAAACGTCTTTGTCATGTTTGCATTCAACTCATAGAGTTGAACATTCCCTTTCAGAGAGCAGGTTTGAAGCACTCTTTTTGTAGTATGTGCAAGTGGATATTTGGAGCGCTCTGAGGCCTACGGTGAAAAAGCAAATATCTTCCCATAACCACTAGACAGAAACATTCTCAGAAACTCCTTTATGACGTATGCACTCACCTAACAGAGAAGAACCTTCCTTTTGACAGAGCAGTTTTGATACACTCTTTTTGTAGAATCTGCAAGTGGATATTTGGATAGCTGTGAAGATTTCGTTGGAAACGGGAATATCCTCCTATAATACCTAGACAGAAGCATTCTCAGAAACTGCTCTGTGATGTCTGCATTCAAGTCACAGAGTTGAACATTGCCTTTCATAGAGCAGGTTTGAAATGCTCTTTTTGTAGTATATGGAAGTGGACGTTTCAGACTGTTTGAGGCCCATGGTGATAAAGGGAATATCTTCCCCTACAAGCTAGAAAGATAGCATTCTGTGAAACTTGTTTGTGATGTGTGTACTCAACTAACAGAGTTGAACCTTTCTTTTTACAGAGCAGTTTTGAAACACTCTTTTTGTAGAATCTGCGAGGGGATATTTGGATAGATTTCAGGATTTCATTGGAAACGGGAATATCTTCATATAAAATCTCGACAGAAGCATTCTCAGAAGCTTCTTTTTGATATGTGCATTCAAGTCACAGAGTTCAATATTCCCTTTCACAGAGTAGGTTTGAAACACTCTTTTTGTAGTATCTGGAAGTGGACATTTGGAGCGCCTTGACGCCTACGGTGAAAAGGGAAATATCTTCTCATAAAAACGTAGACAGAAGTAATCTCAGAATCTTCTTTGGGATATATGCACCCAGCTAACAGAGTTGAACCTTTCTATTGACAGAGCAGTTTTGAAACAGTCTTTCTGTGGAATCTGCAAGTGGATATTTGGATAGCTTGGAGGATTTCGTTGGAAACGGGATTACGTATAAAAAGTAGACAGCAGCATCCTCAGAAGCTTCTTTGTGATGTGTGCATTCAAGTCACAGAGTTGAACATTCCCTTTCGTACAGCAGTTTTGAAACACTCTTTCTGTAGTAACTGGAAGTGAACATTAGGACAGCTTTCAGGTCTATGGTGAGAAAGGAAATATCTTCAAATAAAAACTAGACAGAAGCATTCTCATAAACTTGTTTGTGATGTGTGAACTCAGCTAACAGAGGTGGATCTTTCTTTTGATAGAGCAGTTCTGAAAAACACTTTTGTTGAATCTGCAAGTGGACATTTGGATAGATTTGAAGATTTCGTTGGAAACGGGAATATCTTCATATCAAATCTAGACAGAAGCATTCCCAGAAACGTCTTTGTGATGTTTGCATTCAACTCATAGAGTTGAACATTCCGTTTCAGAGAGCAGCTTTGAAGCACTCTTTTTGTAGTATGTGCAAGGGGATATTTGGAGCGCTCTGAGGCCTACGGTGAAAAAGCAAGTATCTTCCCATAACCACTAGACAGAAACATTCTCAGAAACTCCTTTATGACGTATGCACTCACCTAACAGAGAAGAACCTTCCTTTTGACAGAGCACTTTTGATACACTCTTTTTGTAGAATCTGCAAGTGGATATTTGGATAGCTGTGAAGATTTCGTTGGAAACGGGAATATCTTCCTATAAAATCTAGACAGAAAGCATTCTCAGAAACTGCTCTGTGATGTCTGCATTCAAGTCACAGAGTTGAACATTGCCTTTCATAGAGCAGGTTTGAAACGCTCTTTTTGTAGTATATGTAAGTGGATGTTTCGGACGGTTGGAGGCCCATGGTGATAAAGGGAATATCTTCCCCTACAAGCTAGAAAGAGCATTCTGTGAAACTTGTTTGTGATGTGTGTACTCAACTAACAGAGTTGAACCTTTCTTTTTACAGAGCAGTTTTGAAACACTCTTTTTGTAGAATCTGCGAGCGGATATTTGGATAGATTTCAGCATTTCGTTGGAAACGGGAATATCTTCATATAAAATCTCGACAGATGCATTCTCAGAAACTTCTTTGTGATATGTGCATTCTAGTCACAG
Source organism: Homo sapiens (assembly GCF_000001405.40). Classification (NCBI taxonomy): domain Eukaryota; kingdom Metazoa; phylum Chordata; class Mammalia; order Primates; family Hominidae; genus Homo; species Homo sapiens. The sequence goes on from NC_000013.11 coordinate 17,138,895, forward strand.
AGTTGAATATTCCCTTTCACAGAGTAGGTTTGAAACACTCTTTTTGTAGTATCTGGAAGTGGACATTTGGAGCGCCTTGACGCCTACGGTGAAAAGGGAAATATCTTCCCATAAAAACTAGACAGAAGCAATCTCAGAATCTTCTTTGGGATATATGCACGCAGCTAACAGAGTTGAACCTTTCTATTGACAGAACAGTTTTGAAAGAGTCTTTCTGTGGAATCTGCAAGTGGATATTTGGATAGCTTGGAGGATTTCGTTGGAAACGGGATTACGTATAATAAGTAGACAGCAGCATCCTCAGAAACTACTTTGTGATGTGTGCATTCAAGTCACAGAGTTGAACATTCCCTTTCGTACATCAGTTTTGAAACACTCTTTCTGTAGTATCTGGAAGTGAACACTAGGACAGCTTTCAGGTCTATGGTGAGAAAGGAAATATCTTCAAATAAAAACTAGACAGAAGCATTCTCATAAACTTGTTTGTGATGTGTGAACTCAGCTAACAGAAGTGGATCTTTCTTTTGATAGAGCAGTTCTGAAAAACACTTTTTGTTGAATCTGCAAGTGGACATTTGGATAGATTTGAAGATTTCCCTTGGAAACGGGAATATCTTCATATCAAATCTAGACAGAAGCATTCTCAGAAAACGTCTTTGTGATGTTTGCATTCAACTCATAGAGTTGAACATTCCGTTTCAGAGACCAGCTTTGAAGCACTCTTTTTGTAGTATGTGCAAGTGGATATTTGGAGCGCTCTGAGGCCTACGGTGAAAAAGCAAATATCTTCCCATAACCACTAGACAGAAACATTCTCAGAAACACCTTTAAACGTATGCACTCACCTAACAGAGAAGAACCTTCCTTTTGACAGAGCAGTTTTGATACACTCTTTTTGTAGAATCTGCAAGTGGATATTTGGATAGCTGTGAAGATTTCGTTGGAAACGGGAATATCTTCCTATAAAATCTAGACAGAAGCATTCTCAGAAACTGCTGTGTGATGTCTGCATTCAAGTCACAGAGTTGAACATTGCCTTTCATAGAGCAGGTTTGAAACGCTCTTTTTGTAGTATATGGAAGTGGACGTTTCGGACGGTTTGAGGCCCATGGTGATAAAGGGAATATCTTCCCCTACAAGCTAGAAAGAAGCATTGTGTGAAACTTGTTTGTGATGTGTGTACTCAATAACAGAGTTGAACCTTTCTTTTTACAGAGCAGTTTTGAAACACTCTTTTTGTAGAATCTGCGAGGGGATATTTGGATAGATTTCAGGATTTCGTTGGAAACGGGAATATCTTCATATAAAATCTCGACAGAAGCATTCTCAGAAACTTCTTTGTGATACGTGCATTCTAGTCACACGAGTTGAATATTCCCTTTCACAGAGTAGGTTTGAAACACTCTTTTTGTAGTATCTGGAAGTGGACATTTGGAGCGCCTTGACGCCTACGGTGAAAAGGGAAATATCTTCCCATAAAAACTAGACAGAAGCAATCTCAGAATTTTCTTTGGGATATATGCACACAGCCAACAGAGTTGAACTTTTCTATTGACATAGCAGTTTTGAAACAGTCTTTCTGTGGAATCTGCAAGTGGATATTTGGATAGCTTGGAGGATTTCGTTGGAAACGGGATTACGTATAAAAAGTAGACAGCAGCATCCTGAGAAACTTCCTTGTGATGTGTGCATTCAAGTCACAGAGTTGAACATTCCCTTTCGTACAGCAGTTTTGAAACACTCTTTCTGTAGTATCTGGAAGTGAACATTAGGACAGCTTTCAGGTCTATGGTGAGAAAGGAAATATCTTCAAATAAAAAGTAGACAGAAGCATTCTCATAAACTTGTTTGTGATGTGTGAACTCAGCTAACAGAGGTGGATCTTTCTTTTGATAGAGCAGTTCTGAAAAACACGTTTTGTTAAATCTGCAAGTGGACATTTGGATAGATTTGAAGATTTCGTTGGAAACGGGAATATCGTCATATCAAATCTAGACAGAAGCATTCTCAGAAACGTCTTTGCGATGTTTGCATTCAACTCATAGAGTTGAACATTCCGTTTCAGAGAGCAGCTTTGAGGCACTCTTTTTGTAGTATGTGCAAGTGGATATTTGGAGCGCTCTGAGGCCTACAGTGAAAAAGCAAATATCTTCCCATAACCACTAACAGAAACATTCTCAGAAACTCCTTTATGACGTATGCACTCACCTAACAGAGAAGAACCTTCCTTTTGACAGAGCAGTTTTGGTACACTCTTTTTGTAGAATCTGCAAGTGGATATTTGGATAGCTGTGAAGATTTCGTTGGAAACGGGAATATCTTCCTATAAAATCTAGACAGAAGCATTCTCAGAAAACTGCTCTGTGATGTCTGCATTCAAGTCACAGAGTTGAACATTGCCTTTCCTAGAGCAGGTTTGAAACGCTCTTTTTGTAGTATATGGAAGTGGACGTTTCGGACGGTTTGAGGCCCATGGTGATAAAGGGAATATCTTCCCCTACAAGCTAGAAAGAAGCATTCTGTGAAACTTGTTTGTGAGGTGTGTACTCAACTAACAGAGTTGAACCTTTCTTTTTACAGAGCAGTTTTGAAACACTCTTTTTGTAGAATCTGCGAGGGGATATTTGGATAGATTACAGGATTTCGTTGGAAACGGGAATATCTTCATATAAAATACTCGACAGAAGCATTCTCAGAAACTTCTTTGTGATATCTGCATTCAAGTCACAGAGTTGAATATTGCCTTTCACAGAGTAGGTTTGAAACACTCTTCTTGTAGTATCTGGAAGTGGACATTTTGAGCACCTTGACACCTACGGTGAAAAGGGAAATATCTTCCCATAAAAACTAGACAGAAGCAATCTCAGAATCTTCTTTGGGATATATGCACGCAGCTAACAGAGTTGAACCTTTCTATTGACAGAGCAGTTTTGAAACAGCCTTTCTGTGGAATCTGCAAGTGGATATTTGGATAGCTTGGAGGATTTCGTTGGAAACGGGATTACGTATAATAAGTAGACAGCAGCATCCTCAGTAAACTTCTTTGTGATGTGTGCATTCAAGTCACAGTGTTGAACATTCCCTTTCGTACAGCAGTTTTGAAACACTCTTTCTGTAGTATCTGGAAGTGAACATTAGGACAGCTTTCAGGTCTATGGTGAGAAAGGAAATATCTTCAAATAAAAACTAGACAGAAGCATTCTCATAAACTTGTTTGTGATGTGTGAACTCAGCTAACAGAGGTGGATCTTTCTTTTGATAGAGAAGTTCTGAAAAACACTTTTTGTTGAATCTGCAAGTGGACATTTGGATAGATTTGAAGATTTCGTAGGAAACGGGAATATCTTCATATCAAGTCTAGACAGAAGCATTCTCAGAAACGTCTTTGTGATGTTTGCATTCAACTCATAGAGTTGAACATTCCGTTACAGAGAACAGCTTTGAAGCACTCTTTTTGTAGTATGTGCAAGTGGATATTTGGAGCGCTCTGAGGCCTACGGTGAAAAAGCAAATATCTTCCCATAACCACTAGACAGAAACATTCTCAGAAACTCCTTTATGACGTATGCACTCACGTAACACAGAAGAACCTTCCTTTTGACAGAGCAGTTTTGATACACTCTTTTTGTAGAATCTGCAAGTGGATATTTGGATACCTGTGAAGATTTCGTTGGAAACGGGAATATCTTCCTATAAAATCTAGACAGAAGCATTCTCAGGAACTGCTCTGCGACGTCTGTATTCAAGTCACAGAGTTGAACATTGCCTTTCATAGAGCAGGTTTGAAACGCTCTTTTTGTAGTATATGGAAGTGGACGTTTCGGACGGTTTGAGGCCCATGGTGATAAAGGGAATATCTTCCCCTACAAGCTAGAAAGAAGCATTCTGTGAAACTTGTTTGTGATGTGTGCACTCAACTAACAGAGTTGAACCTTTCTTTTTACAGAGCAGTTTTGAAACACTCTTTTTGTAGAATCTGCGAGGGGATATTTGGATACATTCCTGGATTTCGTTGGAAACGGGAATATCTTCATATAAAATCTCGACAGAAGCATTCTCAGAAACTTCTTTGTGATATGTGCATTCAAGTCACAGAGTTGAATATTCCCTTTCACAGAGTAGGTTTGAAACACTCTTTTTGTAGTATCTGGAAGTGGACATTTGGAGGGCCTTGACACCTACGGTGAAAAGGGAAATATCTTCCCATAAAAACTAGACAGAAGCAATCTCAGAATCTACTTTGGGATATATGCACGCAGCTAACAGAGTTGAACCTTTCTATTGACAGAGCAGTTTTGAAACAGTCTTTCTGTGGAATCTGCAAGTGGATATTTGGATAGCTTGGAGGATTTCGTTGGAAACGGGATTACGTATAAAAAGTAGACAGCAGCATCCTCAGAAACTTCTTTGTGATGTGTGCATTCAAGTCACAGAGTTGAACATTCCCTTTCGTACAGTAGTTTTGAAACACTCTTTCTGTAGTATCTGGAAGTGAACATTAGGACAGCTTTCAGGTCTATGGTGAGAAAGGAAATATCTTCAAATAAAAACTAGACAGAAGCATTCTCATAAACTTGTTTGTGATGTGTGAACTCAGCTAACAGAGGTGGATCTTTCTTTTGATAGAGCAGTTCTGAAAAACACTTTTTGTTGAATCTGCAAGTGGACATTTGGATAGATTTGAAGATTTCGTTGGAAACGGGAATATCTTCATATTAAATCTAGACAGAAGCATTCTCAGAAACGTCTTTGTGATGTTAGCATTCAACTCATAGAGTTGAACATTCCCTTTCAGAGAGCAGCTTTGAAGCACTCTTTTTGTAGTATGTGCAAGTGGACATTTGGAGCGCTTTGAGGCCTACAGGGAAAAAGCAAATATCTTCCCATAACCACTAGACAGGAACATTCTCAGAAACTCCTTTATGACGTATGCACTCACCTAACAGAGAAGAACCTTCCTTTTGACTGAGCAGTTTTGATACACTCTTTTTGCAGAATCTGCAAGTGGATATTTGGATAGCTGTGAAGATTTCGTTGGAAACGGGAATATCTTCCTATAAAATCTAGACAGAAGCATTCTCAGAAACTGCTCTGTGATGTCTGCATTCAAGTCACAGAGTTGAACACTGCCTTTCCTAGAGCAGGTTTGAAACGCTCTTTTTGTAGTATATGGAAGTGGACGTTTCGGATGGTTTGAGGCCCATAGTGATAAAGGGAATATCTTCCCCTACAAGCTAGAAAGAAGCATTCTCTGAAACTTGTTTGTGATGTGTGTACTCAACTAACAGAGTTGAACCTTTCTTTTTACAGAGCAGTTTTGAAACACTCTTTTTGTAGAATCTGCGAGGGGATATTTGGATAGATTTCAGGATTTCGTTGGAAAGGGGAATATCTTCATATAAAATCTCGACAGAAGCATTCTCAGAAACTTCTTTGTGATATCTGCCTTCAAGTCACAGAGTTGAATATTCCCTTTCACAGAGTAGGTTTGAAACACTCTTTCTGTAGTATCTGGAAGTGGACATTTGGAGCGCCTTGACACCTACGGTGAAAAGGGAAATATCTTCCCATAAAAACAAGACAGAAGCAATCTCAGAATCTTACCTTGGGATATATGCACGCAACTAACAGAGTTGAACCTTTCTATTGACAGAGCAGTTTTGAAACAGTCTTTCTGTGGAATCTGCAAGTGGATATTTGGATAGCTTGGAGGATTTCCTTGGAAACGGGATTACGTATAAAAAGTAGACAGCAGCATCCTCAGAAACTTCTTTGTGATGTGTGCATTCAAGTCACAGAGTTGAACATTTCCCTTTCGTACAGCAGTTTTGAAACACTCTTTCTGTAGTATCTGGAAGTGAACATTAGGACAGCTTTCAGCTCTATGGTGAGAAAGGAAATATCTTCAAATAAAAACTAGACAGAAGCATTCTCATAAACTTGTTTGGATGTGTGAACTCAGCTAACAGAGGTGGATCTTTCTTTTGATAGAGCAGTTCTGAAAAACACTTTTTGTTGAATCTGCAAGTGGACATTTGGATAGATTTGAAGATTTCGTTGGAAACGGGAATATCTTCATATCAAATCTAGACAGAAGCATTCTCAGAAACGTCTTTGCGATGTTTGCATTCAACTCATAGAGTTGAACATTCCGTTTCAGAGAGCAGCTTTGAAGCACTCTTTTTGTAGTATGTGCAAGTGGATATTTGGAGCGCTCTGAGGCCTACGGTGAAAAAGCAAATATCTTCCCATAACCACTAACAGAAACATTCTCAGAAACTCCTTTATGACGTATGCACTCACCTAACAGAAAAGAACCTTCCTTTTGACAGAGCAGTTTTGATACACTCTTTTTGTAGAATCTACAAGTGGATATTTGGATAGCTGTGAAGATTTCGTTGGAAACGGGAATATCTTCCTATAAAATCTAGACAGAAGCATTCTCAGAAACTGCTCTGTGATGTCTGCATTCAAGTCACAGAGTTGAACATTGCCTTTCATAGAGCAGGTTTGAAACGCTCTTTTTGTAGTATATGGAAGTGGACTTTTCGGACGGTTGGAGGCCCATGGTGATAAAGGGAATATCTTCCCCTACAAGCTAGAAAGAAGCATTGTGTGAAACTTGTTTGTGATGTGTGTACTCAACTAACAGAGTTGAACCTTTCTTTTTACAGAGCAGTTTTGAAACACTCTTTTTGTAGAATCTGCGAGGGGATATTTGGATACATTTCAGGATTTCGTTGGAAACCGGGAATATCTTCATATAAAATCTCGACAGAAGCATTCTCAGAAACTTCTTTGTGATATCTGCATTCAAGTCACAGAGTTGAATATTCCCTTCCACAGAGTAGGTTTGAAACACTCTTTTTGTGGTATCTGGAAGTGGACATTTGGAGCGCCTTGACGCCTACGGTGAAAAGGGAAATATCTTCCCATAAAAACTAGACAGAAGCAATCTCAGAATCTTCTTTGAGATATATGCACGCAGCTAACAGAGTTGAACCTTTCTATTGACAGAGCAGTTTTGAAACAGTCTTTCTGTGGAATCTGCAAGTGGATATTTGGATAGCTTGGAGGATTTCGTTGGAAACGGGATTACGTATAAAAAGTAGACAGCAGCATCCTCAGAAACTTCTTTGTGATGTGTGCATTCAAGTCACAGAGTTGAACATTCCCTTTCGTACAGCAGTTTTGAAACGCTCTTTCTGTAGTATCTGGAAGTGAACATTAGGACAGCTTTCAGGTCTATGTTGAGAAAGGAAATATCTTCAAATAAAAACTAGACAGAAGCATTCTCATAAACTTGTTTGTGATGTCTGAACTCAGCTAACAGAGGTGGATCTTTCTTTTGATAGAGCAGTTCTGAAAAACACTTTTTGTTGAATCTGCAAGTGGACATTTGGATAGATTTGAAGATTTCGTTGGAAACGGGAATATCTTCATAGCAAATCTAGACAGAAGCATTCTCAGGAAACGTCTTTGTGATGTTTGCATTCAACTCATAGAGTTGAACATTCCCTTTCAGAGAGCAGCTTTGAAGCACTCTTTTTGTAGTATGTGCAAGGGGATATTTGGAGCGCTCTGAGGCCTAAGGTGAAAAAGCAAATATCTTCCCATAACCACTAGACAGAAACATTCTCAGAAACTCCTTTATGACGTATGCACTCACCTAACAGAGAAGAACCTTCCTTTTGACAGAGCATTTTTGATACACTCTTTTTGTAGCATCTGCAAGTGGATATTTGGATATCTGTGAAGATTTCGTTGGAAACGGGAATATCTTCCTATAAAATCTAGACAGAAGCATTCTCAGAAACTGCTTTGTGATGTCTGCATTCAAGTCACAGAGTTGAACATTGCCTTTCATAGAGCAGGTTTGAAACGCTCTTTTTGTAGTATATGGAAGTGGATGTTTCGAACGGTTTGAGGCCCATGGTGATAAAGGAAATATCTTCCCCTAGAAGCGAGAAAGAAGCATTCTGTGAAACTTGTTTGTGATGTGTGTACTCAACTAACAGAGTTGAACCTTTCTTTTCACAGGGCAGTTTTGAAACACTCTTTTTGTAGAATCTGCGATGGGATATTTGGATAGATTTCAGGATTTCGTGGGAAACGGGAATATCTTCATATAAAATCTCGACAGAAGCATTCTCAGAAACTTCTTTGTGATATGTGCATTCAAGTCACAGAGTTCAATATTCCCTTTCACAGAGTAGGTTTGAAACACTCTTTTTGTAGTATCTGGAAGTGGACATTTGGAGCGCCTTGACGCCTACGGTGAAAAGGGAAATATCTTCTCATAAAAAGTAGACAGAAGCAATCTCAGAATCTTCTTTGGGATATATGCACGCAGCTAACAGAGTTGAACCTTTCTATGGACAGAGTAGTTTTGAAACAGTCTTTCTGTGGAATCTGCAAGTGGATATTTGGATAGCTTGGAGGATTTCGTTGGAAACGGGATTACGTATAAAAAGTAGACAGCAGCATCCTCAGAAACTTCTTTGTGATGTGTGCATTCAAGTCACAGAGTTGAACATTCCCTTTCGTACAGCAGTTTTGAAACACTCTTCCTGTAGTATCTGGAAGTGAACATTAGGACAGCTTTCAGGTCTATGGTGAGAAAGGAAATATCTTCAAATAAAAACTAGACAGAAGCATTCTCATAAACTTGTTTGTGATGTGTGAACTCAGCTAACAGAGGTGGATCTTTCTTTTGATAGAGCAGTTCTGAAAAACACTTTTTGTTGAATCTGCAAGTGGACATTTGGATAGATTTGAAGATTTCGTTGGAAACGGGAATATCTTCATATCAAATCTACACAGAAGCATTCTCAGAAACGTCTTTGTGATGTTTGCATTCAACTCATAGAGTTGAACATTCCCTTTCAGAGAGCAGCTTTGAAGCACTCTTTTTGTAGTATGTGCAAGTGGATATTTGGAGCGCTCTGAGGCCTACGGGGAAAAGCAAATATCTTCCCATAACCACTAGACAGAAACATTCTCAGAAACTTCTTTATGACGTATGTACTCAACTAGCAGAGAAGAACTTTCCTTTTGACAGAGCACTTTTGATACACTCTTTTTGTAGTATCTGCAAGTGGATATTTGGATAGCTGTGAAGATTTCGTTGGAATCGGGAATATCTTCCTATAAAGTCTGGACAGAAGCATTCTCAGAAACTGCTCTGTGATGTCTGCATTCAAGTCACAGAGTTGAACATTGCCTTTCATAGAGCAGGTTTGAAACTCTCTTTTTGTAGTATATGGAAGTGGACGTTTCGGACGGTTGGAGGCCCATGGTGATAAAGGGAATATCTTCCCCTACAAGCTAGAAAGAAGCATTCTGTGAAAGTTGTTTGTGATGTGTGTACTCAACTAACAGAGTTGAACCTTTCTTTTTACAGAGCAGTTTTGAAACACTCTTTTTGTAGAATCTGCGAGAGGATATTTGGATAGATTTCAGGATTTCGTTGGAAACGGGAATATCTTCATATAAAATCTCGACAGAAGCATTCTCAGAAACTTCTTTGTGATATGTGCATTCAAGTCACAGAGGTGAATATTCCCTTTCACAGAGTAGGTTTGAAACACTCTTTTTGTAGTATCTGGAAGTGGACATTTGGAGCGCCTTGACGCCTACGGTGAAAAGGGAAATATCTTCCCATAAAAACTAGACAGAAGCAATCTCAGAATCCTCTTTGGGATATATGCACGCAGCTAACAGAGTTGAACCTTTCTATTGACAGAGCAGTTTTGAAACAGTCTTTCTGTGGAATCTGCAAGTGGATATTTGGATAGCTTGGAGGATTTCGTTGGAAACGGGATTACGTATAAAAAGTAGACAGCAGAATTCTCAGAAAGATTTTGTGATATCTGCATTGAAGTCACAGAGTTCAATATTCCCTTTCACATAGAAAGTTTGAAACACTCTTTTTGTAGTACCTGGAAGTGAACATTTCGAGAGCTTTCAGGACTATGGTGAGAAAGGAAATATCTTCAAATAAAAACAAGACAGAAGCATTCTCACAAACTTGTTTGTGTTGTGTGAACTCAACAAACAAAGGTGGATCTTTCTTTTGATACAGCAATTTTGAAAAACACTTTTTGTAGAATCTCCAAGTGGATATTTGGATAGATTTGAAGATTTCTTTGGAAACGGGAATATCTTCATATAAAATCTAGACAGAAGCATTCTCAGAAACGTCTTTGTGATGTTTGCATTCAACTCATAGAGTTGAACATTCCCTTTCAGAGAGCAGCTGTGAAGCACTCTTTTTGTAGTATGTGCAAGTGGATATTTGGAGCGCTCTGAGGCCTACGGTGAAAAAGCAAATATCTTCCCATAACCACTAGACAGAACCATTCTCAGAAACTCCTTTATGACGTATGCACTCACCTAACAGAGAAGAACCTTCCTTTTGACAGAGCAGTTTTGATACACTCTTTTTGTAGAATCTGCAAGTGGATATTTGGATAGCTGTGAAGATTTCGTTGGAAACGGGAATATCTTCCTATAAAATCTAGACAGAAGCATTCTCAGAAACTGCTCTCTGATGTCCGCATTCAAGTCACAGAGTTGAACATTGCCTTTCCTAGAGCAGGTTTGAAACGCTCTTTTGGTAGTATATGGAAGTGGACGTTTCGGACGGTTTGAGGCCCATGGTGATAAAGGGAATATCTTCCCCTACAAGCTAGAAAGAAGCATTGTGTGAAACTTGTTTGTGATGTGTGTACTCAACTAACAGAGTTGAACCTTTCTTTTTACAGAGCAGTTTTGAAACACTCTTTTTGTAGAATCTGCAAGGGGATATTTGGATACATTTCAGGATTTCGTTGGAAACGGGAATATCTTCATATAAAATACTCGACAGAAGCATTCTCAGAAACTTCTTTGTGATATGTGCATTCAAGTCACAGAGTTGAATATTCCCTTTCATAGAGTAGGTTTGAAACACTCTTTTTGTAGTATCTGGAAGTGGACATTTGGAGCGCCTTGACGCCTACGGTGAAAAGGGAAATATCTTCCCATAAAAACTAGACAGAAGCAATCTCAGCATCTTCTTTGGGATATATGCATGCAGCTAACAGAGTTGAACCTTTCTATTGACAGAGCAGTTTTGAAACAGTCTTTCTGTGGAATCTGCAAGTGGATATTTGGATAGCTTGGAGGATTTCGTTGGAAACGGGATTACGTATAAAAAGTAGACAGCAGCATCCTCAGAAACTTCTTTGTGATGTGTGCATTCAAGTCACAGAGTTGAATATTCCCTTTCACAGAGTTGGTTTGAAACACTCTTTTTGTACTATCTGGAAGTGGACATTTGGAGCGCCTTGACACCTACGGTGAAAAGGGAAATATCTTCCCATAAAAACTAGACAGAAGCATTCTCATAAACTTGTTTGTGATGTGTGAACTCAGCTAACACAGGTGGATCTTTCTTTTGATTGAGCAGTTCTGAAAAACACGTTTTGTTGAATCTGCAAGTGGACATTTGGATAGATTTGAAGATTTCGTTGGAAACGGGAATATCTTCATATCAAATCTAGACAGAAGCATTCTCAGGAAACGTCTTTGTGATGTTTGCATTCAACTCATAGAGTTGAACATTCACTTTCAGAGAGCAGCTTTGAAGCACTCTTTTTGTAGTATGTGCAAGTGGATATTTTGATCGCTCTGTGGCCTACGGTGAAAAAGCAAATATCTTCCCATAACCACTAGACAGAAACATTCTCAGAAACTCCCTTATGACGTATGCACTCACCTAACAGAGAAGAACCTTCCTTTTGACAGAGCAGTTTTGATACACTCTTTTTGTAGAATCTGCAAGTGGATATTTGGATAGCTGTGAAGATTTCGTTGGAAACGGGAATATCTTCCTATAAAATCTATACAGAAGCATTCTCAGAAACTGCTCTGTGATGTCTGCATTCAAGTCACAGAGTTGAACATTGCCTTTCCTAGAGCAGGTTTGAAACGCTCTTTTTGTAGTATATGGAAGTGGACGTTTCGGACGGTTTGAGGCCCTTGGTGATAAAGGGAATATCTTCCCCTACAAGCTAGAAAGAAGCATTCTGTGAAACTTGTTTGTGATGTGTGTACTCAACTAACAGAGTTGAACCTTTGTTTTTACAGAGCAGTTTTGAAACACTCTTTTTGTAGAATCTGCGAGGGGATATTTGGATACATTTCAGCATTTCGTTGGAAACGGGAATATCTTCATATAAAATCTCGACAGAAGCATTCTCAGAAACTTCTTTGTGATATGTGCATTCAAGTCACAGAGTTGAATATTCCCTTTCACAGAGTAGGTTTGAAACACTCTTTTTCTAGTATCTGGAAGTGGACATTTGGAGCACCTTGACACCTACGGTGAAAAGGGAAATATCTTCTCATAAAAAGTAGACAGAAGCAATCTCAGAATCTTCTTTGGGATATATGTACGCAGCTAACAGAGTTGAACCTTTCTATTGACAGAGCAGTTTTGAAACAGTCTTTCTGTGGAATCTGCAAGTGGATATTTGGATAGCTTGGAGGATTTCGTTGGAAACGGGATTACGTATAAAAAGTAGACAGCAGCATCCTCAGAAACTTCTTTGTGATGTGTGCATTCAAGTCACAGAGTTGAACATTCCCTTTCGTACAGCAGTTTTGAAACACTCTTTCTGTAGTATCTGGAAGTGAACATTAGGACAGCATTCAGGTCTATGGTGAGAAAGGAAATATCTTCAAATAAAAACTAGACAGAAGCATTCTCATAAACTTGTTTGTGATGTGTGAACTCAGCTAACAGAGGTGGATCTTTCTTTTGATAGAGCAGTTCTGAAAAACACTTTTTGTTGAATCTGCAAGTGGACATTTGGATAGATTTGAAGATTTCGTTGGAAACGGGAATATCTTCATATCAAATCTAGATAGAAGCATTCTCAGAAACGTCTTTGTGATGTTTGCATTCAACTCATAGAGTTGAAAATTCCCTTTCAGAGAGCAGCTTTGAAGCACTCTTTTTGTAGTATGTGCAAGGGGATATTTGGAGCGCTCTGAGGCCTAAGGTGAAAAAGCAAATATCTTCCCATAACCACTAGACAGAAACATTCTCAGAAACTCCTTTATGACGTATGTACTCAACTAACAGAGAAGAACCTTCCTTTTGATAGAGCAGTTTTGATACACTCTTTTTGTAGAATCTGCAAGTGGATATTTGGATAGCTGTGAAGATTTCGTTGGAAACTGGAATATCTTCCTATAAAATCTAGACAGAAGCATTCTCAGAAACTGCTCTGTGATGTCTGCATTCAAGTCACTAGAGTTGAACATTGCCTTTCATAGAGCAGGTTTGAAACGCTCTTTTTGTAGTATATGGAAGTGGACGTTTCGGACGGTTTGAGGCCCATGGTGATAAAGGGAATATCTTCCCCTACAAGCTAGAAAGAAGCACTCTGTGAAACTTGTTTGTGATGTGTGTACTCAACTAACAGAGTTGAACCTTTCTTTTTACAGAGCAGTTTTGAAACACTCTTTTTGTAGAATCTGCGAGGGGATATTTGGATAGATTTCAGGATTTCGTTGGAAACGGGAATATCTTCATATAAAATCTCGACAGAAGCATTCTCAGAAACTTCTTTGTGATATGTGCATTCAAGTCACAGAGTTGAATATTCCCTTTCACAGAGTAGGTTTGAAACACTCTTTTTGTAGTATCTGGAAGTGGACATTTGGAGCGCCTTGACACCTACGGTGAAAAGGGAAATATCTTCCCATAAATACTAGACAGAAGCAATCTCAGAATCTCCTTTGGGATATATGCACGCAGCTAACAGAGTTGAACCTTTCTATTGACAGACCAGTTTTGAAACAGTCTTTCTGTGGAATCTGCAAGTGGATATTTGGATAGATTGGAGGATTTCGTTGGAAACGGGATTACGTATAAAAAGTAGACAGCAGCATCCTCAGAAACTTCTTTGTGATGTGTGCATTCAAGTCACAGAGTTGAACATTCTCTTTCGTACAGCAGTTTTGAAATGCTCTTTCTGTAGTATCTGGAAGTGAACATTAGGACAGCTTTCATGTCTATGGTGAGAAAGGAAATATCTTCAAATAAAAACTAGACAGAAGCATTCTCATAAGCTTGTTTGTGATGTGTGAACTCAGCTAACAGAGGTGGATCTTTCTTTTGATAGAGCAGTTCTGAAAAACACTTTTTGTTGAATCTGCAAGTGGACATTTGGATAGATTTGAAGATTTCTTTGGAAACGGGAATATCTTCATATCAAATCTAGACAGAAGCATTCTCAGAAACGTCTTTGCGATGTTTGCATTCAACTCATAGAGTTAAACATTCCGTTTCAGAGAGCAGCTTTGAGGCACTCTTTTTGTAGTATGTGCAAGTGGATATTTGGAGCGCTCTGAGGCCTACGGTGAAAAAGCAAATATCTTCCCATAACCACTAGACAGAAACATTCTCAGAAACTTCTTTATGACGTATGTACTCAACTAGCAGAGAAGAACTTTCCTTTTGACAGAGCATTTTTGATACACTCTTTTTGTACTATCTGCAAGTGGATATTTGGATAGCTGTGAAGATTTCGTTGGATACGGGAATATCTTCCTATAAAGTCTGGACAGAAGCATTCTCAGAAACTGCTCTGTGACGTCTGCATTCAAGTCACAGAGTTGAACATTGCCTTTCATAGAGCAGGTTTGAAACGCTCTTTTTGTAGTATATGGAAGTAGACGTTTCGGACGGTTTGAGGCCCATGGTGATAATGGGAATATCTTCCCCTACAAGCTAGAAAGAAGCATTCTGTGAAACTTGTTTGTGATGTGTGTACTCAACTAACAGAGTTGAACCTTTCTTTTTACAGAGCAGTTTTGAAACACTCTTTTTGTAGAATCTGCGAGGGGATATTTGGATAGATTTCAGGATTTCGTTGGAAACGGGAATATCTTCATATAAAATACTCGACAGAAGCATTCTCAGAAACTTCTTTGTGATATGTGCATTCAAGTCACAGAGTTGAATATTCCCTTTCACAGAGTAGGCTTGAAACACTCTTTTTGTAGTATCTGGAAGTGGACATTTGGAGCGCCTTGACACCTACGGTGAAAAGGGAAATATCTTCCCATAAAAACTAGACAGAAAGTAATCTCAGAAACTTCTTTGGGATATATGCACGCAGCTAACAGAGTTGAACCTTTCTATTGACAGAGCAGTTTTGAAACAGTCTTTCTGTGGAATCTGCAAGTGAATATTTGGATAGCTTGGAGGATTTCGTTGGAAACGGGATTACGTATAAAAAGTAGACAGCAGCATCCTCAGAAACTTCTTTGTGATGTGTGCATTCAAGTCACAGAGTTGAACATTCCCTTTCGTACAGTAGTTTTGAAACACTCTTTCTGTAGTATCTGGAATTGAACATTAGGACAGCTTTCAGGTACTATGGTGAGAAAGGAAATATCTTCAAATAAAAACTAGACAGAAGCATTCTCATAAACTTGTTTGTGATGTGTGAACTCAGCTAACAGAGGTGGATCTTTCTTTTGATAGAGCAGTTCTGAAAAACACTTTTTGTTGAATCTGCAAGTGGACATTTGGATAGATTTGAAGATTTCGTTGCAAACGGGAATACCTTCATATCAAATCTAGACAGAAGCATTGTCAGAAACGTCTTTGTGATGTTTGCATTCAACTCATAGAGTTGAACATTCCGTTTCAGAGAGCAGCTTTGAGGCACTCTTTTTGTAGTATGTGCAAGTGGATATTTGGAGCGCTCTGAGGCCTACGGTGAAAAAGCAAATATCTTCCCATAACCACTAGACAGAAACATTCTCAGAAACTCCTTTATGACGTATGCACTCACCTAACAGAAAAGAACCTTCCTTTTGACAGAGCAGTTTTGATACACACTTTTTGTAGAATCTGCAAGTGGATATTTGGATAGCTGTGAAGATTCCGTTGGAAACGGGAATATCTTCCTATAAAATCTAGACAGAAGCATTCTCAGAAACTGCTCTGTGATGTCTGCTTTCAAGTCACAGAGTTGAACATTGCCTTTCATAGAGCAGGTTTGAAACGCTCTTTTTGTAGTATATGGAAGTGGATGTTTCGGACGGTTGGAGGCCCATGGTGATAAAGAGAATATCTTCCCCTACAAGCTAGAAAGAAGCATTCTGTGAAACTTGTTTGTGATGTGTGTACTCAACTAACAGAGTTGAACCTTTCTTTTTACAGAACAGTTTTGAAACACTCTTTTTGTAGAATCTGCGAGGGGATATTTGGATACATTTCAGCATTTCGTTGGAAACGGGAATATCTTCATATAAAATCTCGACAGAAGCATTCTCAGAAACTTCTTTGTGATATCTGCATTCAAGTCACAGAGTTGAATATTCCCTTTCACAGAGTAGGTTTGAAACACTCTTTTTGTAGTATCTGGAAGTGGACATTTGGAGCGCCTTGACACCTACGGTGAAAAGGGAAATATCTTTCCATAAAAACTAGACAGAAGCAATCTCAGAATCTTCTTTGGGATATATGCACGCAGCTAACAGAGTTGAACCTTTCTATTGACAGAGTAGTTTTGAAACAGTCTTTCTGTGGAATCTCCAAGTGGATATTTGGATAGCTTGGAGTATTTCGTTGGAAACGGGATTACGTATAAAAAGTAGACAGCAGCATCCTCAGAAACTTCTTTGTGATGTGTGCATTCAAGTCACAGAGTTGAACATTCCCTTTCGTACAGCAGTTTTGAAACGCTCTTTCTGTAGTATCTGGAAGTGAACATTAGGACAGCTTTCAGGTCTATGTTGAGAAAGGGAATATCTTCAAATAAAAACTAGACAGAAGCATTCTCATAAACCTTTTTGTGATGTGTGAACTCAGCTAACAGAGGTGGATCTTTCTTTTGATAGAGCAGTTCTGAAAAACACTTTTTGTTGAATCTGCAAGTGGACATTTGGATAGATTTGAAGATTTCGTTGGAAACGGGAATATCTTCATATCAAATCTAGACAGAAGCATTCTCAGAAACGTCTTTGCGTTGTTTGCATTCAACTCATAGAGTTGAACATTCCGTTTCAGAAAGCAGCTTTGAGGCACTCTTTTTGTAGTATGTGCAAGTGGATATTTGGAGCGCTCTGAGGCCTACGGTGAAAAAGCAAATATCTTTCCATAACCACTAGACAGAAACATTCTCAGAAACTCCTTTATGACGTATGCACTCACCTAACAGAGAAGAACCTTCCTTTTGACAGAGCAGTTTTGATGCACTCTTTTTGTAGAATCTGCAAGTGGATATCTGGATAGCTGTGAATATTTCGTTGGAAACGGGAATATCTTCCTATAAAATCTAGACAGAAGCATTCTCAGAAACTGCTCTGTGATGTCTGCATTGAAGTCACAGAGTTGAACATTGCCTTTCCTAGAGCAGGTTTGAAACGCTCTTTTTGTAGTATATGGAAGTGGACGTTTCGGACGGTTGGAGGCCCAGGGTGATAAAGGGAATATCTTCCCCTACAAGCTAGAAAGAAGCATTCTGTGAAACTTGTTTGTGATGTGTGTACTCAACTAACAGAGTTGAACCTTTCTTTTCACAGAGCAGTTTTGAAACACTCTTTTTGTAGAATCTGCGAGGGGATATTTGGATAGATTTCAGGATTTCTTTGGAAACGGGAATATCTTCATATAAAATCTCGACAGAAGCATTCTCAGAAACTTCTTTGTGATATGTGCATTCAAGTCACAGAGTTGAATATTCCCTTTCACAGAGTAGGTTTGAAACACTCTTTTTGTAGTATCTGGAAGTGGACATTTGGAGCGCCTTGACGCCTACGGTGAAAAGGGAATATCTTCCCATAAAAACTAGACAGAAGCAATCTTAGAATCTTCTTTGGGATATATGCACGCAGCTAACAGAGTTGAACCTTTCTATTGACAGAGCAGTTTTGAAACAGTCTTTCTGTGGAATCTGCAAGTGGATATTTGGATAGATTGGAGGATTTCGTTGGAAACGGGATTACGTATAAAAAGTAGACTGCAGCATCCTCAGAAACTTCTTTGTGATGTGTGCATTCAAGTCACAGTGTTGAACATTCCCTTTCGTACAGCAGTTTTGAAACACTCTTTCTGTAGTATCTGGAAGTGAACATTAGGACAGCTTTCAGCTCTATGGTGAGAAAGGAAATATCTTCAAATAAAAACTAGACAGAAGCATTCTCATAAACTTGTTTGTGATGTGTGAACTCAGCTAACAGAGGTGGATCTTTCTTTTGATAGAGCAGTTCTGAAAAACACTTTTTGTTTAATCTGCAAGTGGACATTTGGATAGATTTGAAGATTTCGTTGGAAACGGGAATATCTTCATATCAAATCTAGACAGAAGCATTCTCGGAAACGTCTTTGTGATGTTTGCATTCAACACATAGAGTTGAACATTCCGTTTCAGAGAGCAGCTTTGAAGCACTCTTTTTGTAGTATGTGCAAGTGGATATTTGGAGCACTCTGAGGCCTAGGGTGAAAAAGCAAATATCTTCCCATAACCACTAGACAGAAACATTCTCAGAAACTCCTTTATAACGTATGCACTCACCTAACAGAGAAGAACCTTCCTTTTGACAGAGCAGTTTTGATACACTCTTTTTGTAGAATCTGCAAGTGGATATTTGGATAGCTGTGAAGATTTCGTTGGAAACGGGAATATCTTCCTATAAAATCTAGAGAGAAGCATTCTCAGAAACTGCTCTGTGATGTCTGCATTCAAGTCACAGAGTTGAACATTGCCTTTCATAGAGCAGGTTTGAAATGCTCTTTTTGTAGTATATGGAAGTGGACGTTTCGGACGGTTTGAGACCCATGGTGATAAAGGGAATATATTCCCCTACAAGCTAGAAAGAAGCATTCTGTGAAACTTGTTTGTGATGTGTGTACTCAACTAACAGAGTTGAAACTTTCTTTTTACAGAGCAGTTTTGAAACACTCTTTTTGTAGAATCTGCGAGGGGATATTTCGATAGATTTCAGGATTCCGTTGGAAACGGGAATATCTTCATATAAAATCTCGACAGAAGCATTCTCAGAAACTTCTTTGTGATATGTGCATTCAAGTTACAGAGTTGAATATTCCCTTTCACAGATTAGGTTTGAAACACTCTTTTTGAGGCATCTGGAAGTGGACATTTGGAGCGCCTTGACGCCTACGGTGAAAAGGGAAATATCTTCCCATAAAAACTAGACAGAAGCAATCTCAGAATCTTCTTTGGGATATATGCACGCAGCTAACAGAGTTGAACCTTTCTATTGACAGAGCAGTTTTGAAACAGTCTTTCTGTGGAATCCGCAAGTGGATATTTGGATAGATTAGAGGATTTCGTTGGAAACGGGATTACGTATAAAAAGTAGACAGCAGCATCCTCAGAAACTTCTTTGTGATGTGTGCATTCAAGTCACAGATTTGAACATTCCCTTTCGTACAGCAGCTTTGAAACACTCTTTCTGTAGTATCTGGAAGTGAACATTAGGACAGCTTTCAGGTCTATGGTGAGAAAGGAAATATCTTCAAATAAAAACTAGACAGAAGCATTCTCATAAACCTGTTTGTGATGTGTGAACTCAGCTAACAGAGGTGGATCTTTCTTTTGATAGAGCAGTTCTGAAAAACACTTTTTGTTGAATCTGCAAGTGGACATTTGGATAGATTTGAAGATTTCGTTGGAAACGGGAATATCTTCATATCAAATCTAGACAGAAGCATTCGCGGTAACGTCTTTGTGATGTTTGCATTCAACTCATAGAGTTGAACATTCCGTTTCAGAGAGCAGCTTTGAAGCACTCTTTTTGTAGTATGTGCAAGTGGATATTTGGAGCGCTCTGAGGCCTACGGTGAAAAAGCAAATATCTTCCCATAACCACTAGACAGAAACATTCTCAGAAACTTCTTTATGACGTATGTACTCAACTAGCAGAGAAGAACTTTCCTTTTGACAGAGCATTTTTGATACACTCTTTTTGTAGTATCTGCAAGTGGATATTTGGATAGCTGTGAAGATTTCGTTGGAAACGGGAATATCTTCCTATAAAGTCTGGACAGAAGCATTTTCAGAAACTGCTCTGTGATGTCTGCATTCAAGTCACAGAGTTGAACATTGCCTTTCATAGAGCAGGTTTCAAACACTCTTTTTTTAGTATATGGAAGTGGACGTTTCGGACGGTTTGAGGACCATGGTGATAAAGGAAATATCTTCCCCTACAAGCTAGAAAGAAGCATTCTGTGAAACTTGTTTGTGATGTGTGTACTCAACTAACAGAGTGGAACCTTTCTTTTTACAGAGCAGTTTTGAAACACTCTTTTTGTAGAATCTGCGAGGGGATATTTGGATAGATTTCAGGATTTCGTTGGAAACGGGAATATCTTCATATAAAATCTCGACAGAAGCATTCTCAGAAACTTCATTGTGATATCTGCATTCAAGTCACAGAGTGGAATATTCCCTTTCACAGAGTAGGTTTGAAACACTCTTTTTGTAGTATCTGGAAGTGGACCTTTGGAGCGCCTTGACACCTACGGTGAAAAGGGAAATATCTTCCCGTAAAAACTAGACAGAAGCAATCTCAGAATCTTCTTTGGGATATATGCACGCAGCTAACAGAGTTGAACCTTTCTATTGACAGAGCAGTTTTGAAACAGTCTTTCTGTGGAATCTGCAAGTGGATGTTTGGATAGATTGGAGGATTTCGTTGGAAACGGGATTACGTATAAAAAGTAGACAGCAGCATCCTCAGAAACTTATTTGTGAGGTGTGCATTCAAGTCACAGAGTTGAACATTCCCTTTCGTACAGCAGTTTTGAAACACTGTTTCTGTAGTATCTGGAAGTGAACATTAGGACAGCTTTCAGGTCTATGGTGAGAAAGGAAATATCTTCAAATAAAAACTAGACAGAAACATTCTCATAAATTTGTTTGTGATGTGTAAACTCAGCTAACAGTCGTGGATCTTTCTTTTGATACAGCAGTTTTGAAAAACACTTTTTGTTGAATCTGCAAGTGGACATTTGGATAGATATGAAGATTTCGTTGGAAACGGGAATATCTTCATATCAAATCTAGACAGAAGCATTCTCAGAAACGTCTTTGTGATGTTTTCATTCAACTCATAGAGTTGAACATTCCGTTTCAGAGACCAGCTTTGAAGCACTCTTTTTGTAGTATGTGCAAGTGGATATTTGGAGCGCTCTGAGGCCTACGGTGAAAAAGCAAATATCTTCCCATAACCACTAGACAGAAACATTCTCAGAAACTCCTTTATGACGTATGCACTCACCTAACAGAGAAGAACCTTCCTTTTGACAGAGCAGTTTTGATACACTCTTTTTGTAGAATCTGCAAGTGAATATTTGGATACCTGTGAAGATTTCGTTGGAAACGGGAATATCTTCCTATAAAATCTAGACAGAAAGCATTCTCAGAAACTGCTCTGTGATGTCTGCATTCAAGTCACAGAGTTGAACATTGCCTTTCATAGAGCAGGTTTGAAACGCTCTTTTTGTAGTATATGGAAGTGGATGTTTCGGACGGTTGGAGGCCCATGGTGATAAAGGGAATATCTTCCTCTACAAGCTAGAAAGAGAAGCATTCTGTGAAACTTGTTTGTGATGTGTGTACTCAACTAACAGAGTTGAACCTTTCTTTTTACAGAGCAGTTTTGAAACACTCTTTTTGTAGAATCTGCGAGGGGATATTTGGATAGATTTCAGGATTTCTTTGGAAAGGGGAATATCTTCATATAAAATCTCGACAGAAGCATTCTCAGAAACTTCTTTGTGATATCTGCATTCAAGTCACAGAGTTGAATATTCCCTTTCACAGAGTAGGTTTCAAACATTCTTTTTGTAGTATCTGGAAGTGGACATTTGGAGCGCCTTGACGCCTACGGTGAAAAGGGAAATATCTTCCCATAAAAACTAGACAGAAGCAATCTCAGAATCTTCTTTGGGATATATGCACGCAGCTAAGAGAGTTGAATCTTTCTATTGACAGAGCAGATTTGAAACAGTCTTTCTGTGGAATCTGCAAGTGGATATTTGGATAGATTGGAGGATTTCGTTGGAAACGGGTTTACGTATAAAAAGTAGACAGCCAGCATCCTCAGAAACTTCTTTGTGATGTGTGCATTCAAGTCACAGAGTTGAACATTCCCTTTCGTACAGCAGTTTTGAAACACTCTTTCTGTAGTATCTGGAAGTGAACATTAGGACAGCTTTCAGGTCTATGGTGAGAAAGGAAATATCTTCAAATAAAAACTAGACAGAGCATTCTGATAAACTTGTTTGTGAAGTGCGAACTCAGCTAACAGAGGTGGATCTTTCTTTTGAAACAGCAGTTTTAAAAAACACTTTTTGTTGAATCTGCAAGTGGACATTTGAATAGATTTGAAGATTTCGTTGGAAACAGGAATACCTTCATATGAAATCTAGACAGAAGCATTCTCAGAAACGTCTTTGTGATGATTGCATTCAACTCATAGAGTTGAACATTCCGTTTCAGAGAGCAGCTTTGAAGCACTCTTTTTGTAGTATGTGCAAGTGGATATTTGGAGTGCTCTGGGGCCTACGGTGAAAAAGCAAATATCTTCCCATAACCACTAGACAGAAAACATTCTCAGAAACTCCTTTATGACGTATGCACTCACCTAACAGAGAAGAACCTTCCTTTTGACAGAGCAGTTTTGATACACTCTTTTTGTAGAATCTGCAAGTGGATATTTCGATAGCTGTGAAGATTTTGTTGGAAACGGGAATATCTTCCTATAAAATCTAGACAGAAGCATTCTCTGAAACTGCTCTGTGATGTCTGCATTCAAGTCACAGAGTTGAACGTTGCCTTTCATAGAGCAGGTTTCAAACACTCTTTTTTTAGTATATGGATGTGGACGTTTCGGACGGTTTGAGGACCATGGTGATAAAGGAAATATCTTCCCCTACAAGCTAGAAAGAAGCATTCTGTGAAACTTGTTTGTGATGTGTGTACTCAACTAACAGAGTTGAACCTTTCTTTTTACAGAGCAGTTTTGAAACACTCTTTTTGTAGAATCTGCGAGGGGATATTTGGATAGATTTCAGGATTTCGTTGGAAACGGGAATATCTTCATATAAAATCTTGACAGAAGCATTCTCAGAAACTTCCTTGTGATATGTGCATTCAAGTCACAGAGTTGAATATTCCCTTTCACAGAGTAGGTTTGAAACACTCTTTTTGTAGTATCTGGAAGTGGTCATTTGGAGCGCCTTGACGCCCACGGTGAAAAGGGAAATATCTTCCCATAAAAACTAGACAGAAGCAATCTCAGAATCTTCTTTGGGATATATGCACGCAGCTAACAGAGTTGAACCTTTCTATTGACAGAGCAGTTTTGAAACAGTCTTTCTGTGGAATCTGCAAGTGGATATTTGGATAGCTTGGAGGATTTCGTTGGAAACGGGATTACGTATAAAAAATAGACAGCAGCATCCTGAGAAACTTCCTTGTGATGTGTGCATTCAAGTCACAGAGTTGAACATTCCCTTTCGTACAGCAGTTTTGAAACACTCTTTCTGTAGTATCTGGAAGTGAACATTAGGACAGCGTTCAGGTCTATGGTGAGAAAGGAAATATCTTCAAATAAAAAGTAGACAGAAGCATTCTCATCAATTTGTTTGTGATGTGTGAACTCAGCTAACAGAGGTGGATCTTTCTTTTGATAGAGCAGTTCTGAAAAACACTTTTTGTTGAATCTGCAAGTGGACATTTGGATAGATTTGAAGATTTCGTTGGAAACGGGAATATCTTCATATCAAGTCTAGACAGAAGCATTCTCAGAAACGTCTTTGTGATGTTTGCATTCAACTCATAGAGTTGAACATTCCCTTTCAGAGAGCAGCTTTGAAGCACTCTTTTTGTAGTATGTTCAAGTGGACATTTGGAGCGCTTTGAGGCTTACGGGGAAAAAGCAAATATCTTCCCATAACCACTAGACAGAAAACATTCTCAGAAACTCCTTTATGACGTATGCACTCACCTAACAGCAAAAGAACCTTCCTTTTGACAGAGCAGTTTTGATACACTCTTTTTGTAGAATCTGCAAGTGGATATTTGGATAGCTGTGAAGATTTCGTTGGAAACGGGAATATCTTCCTATAAAGTCTAGACAGAAGCATTCTCAGAAACTGCTCTGTGATGTTTGCATTCAAGTCACAGAGTTGAACATTGCCTTTCCTAGAGCAGGTTTGAAACGCTCTTTTTGTACTATATGGAAGTGGACGTTTCGGACGGTTTGAGGCCCATGGTGATAAAGGGAATATCTTCCCCTACAAGCTAGAAAGAAGCATTCTGTGAAACTTGTTTGTGATGTGTGTACTCAACTAACAGAGTTGAACCTTTCTTTTTACAGAGCAGCTTTGAAACACTCTTTTTGTAGAATCTGCGAGGGGATATTTGGATAGATTTCAGGATTTCGTTGGAAACGGGAATATCTTCATATAAAATCTCGACAGAAGCATTCTCAGAACCTTCTTTGTGATATGTGCATTCAAGTCACAGAGTTGAATATTCCCTTTCACAGAGTAGGTTTGAAACACTCTTTTTGTAGTATCTGGAAGTGGACATTTTGAGCACCTTGACGCCTACGGTGAAAAGGGAAATATCTTCTCATAAAAAGTAGACAGAAGCAATCTCAGAATCTTCTTTGGGATATATGCACGCAGCTAACAGAGTTGAACCTTTCTATTGACAGAGCAGTTTTGAAACAGTCTTTCTGTGGAATCTGCAAGTGGATATTTGGATAGCTTGGAGGATTTCGTTGGAAACGGGATTAAGTATAAACAGTAGACAGCAGCATCCTCAGAAACTTCTTTGTGATGTGTGCATTCAAGTCACAGAGTTGAACATTCCCTTTCGTACAGCAGTTTTGAAACACTCTTTCTGTAGTAACTGGAAGTGAACATTAGGACAGCTTTCAGGTACTATGGTGAGAAAGGAAATATCTTCAAATAAAAACTAGACAGAAGCATTCTCATAAACTTGTTTCTGATGTGTGAACTCAGCTAAGAGAGGTGGATCTTTCTTTTGATAGAGAAGTTCTGAAAAACACTTTTTGTTGAATCTGCAAGTGGACATTTGGATAGATTTGAAGATTTCGTTGGAAACGGGAATATCTTCATATCAAATCTAGACAGAAGCATTCTCAGAAACCTCTTTGTGATGTTTGCATTCAACTCATAGAGTTGAACATTCCCTTCCAGAGAGCAGCTTTGAGGCACTCTTTTTGTAGCATGTGCAAGTGGACATTTGGAGCGCCCTGAGGCCTACGGGGAAAAAGCAAATATCTTCCCATAACCACTAGACAGAAACATTCTCAGAAACTCCTTTATGACGTATGCACTCACCTAACAGAGAAGAACCTTCCTTTTGACAGAGCAGTTTTGATACACTCTTTTTGTAGAATATGCAAGTGGATATTTGGATAGCTGTGAAGATTTCGTTGGAAACGGGAATATCTTCCTATAAAATCTAGACAGAAGCATTCTCAGAAACTGCTCTGTGATGTTTGCTTTCATGTCACAGAGTTGAACATTGCCTTTCATAGAGCAGGTTTCAAGCACTCTTTTTTTAGTATATGGAAGTGGACGTTTCGGACGGTTTGAGGCCCATGGTGATAAAGGAAATATCTTCCCCTACAAGCTAGAAAGAAGCATTGTGTGAAACTTATTTGTGATGTGTGTACTCAACTAACAGAGTTGAACCTTTCTTTTTACAGAGCAGTTTTGAAACACTCTTTTTGTACAATCTGCGAGGGGATATTTGGATACATTTCAGGATTTTGTTGGAAACGGGAATATCTTCATATAAAATCTCGACAGAAGCATTCTCAGAAACTTCTTTGTGATATCTGCATTCAAGTCACAGAGTTGAATATTCCCTTTCACAGAGTAGGTTTGAAACACTCTTTTTGTAGTATCTGGAAGTGGACATTTGGAGCGCCTTGACACCTATTGTGAAAAGGGAAATATCTTCCCATAAAAACTAGACAGAAGCAATCTCAGAATTTTCTTTGGGATATATGCACACAGCTAACAGAGTTGAACTTTTCTATTGACAGAGCAGTTTTGAAACAGTCTTTCTGTGGAATCTGCAAGTGGATATTTGGATAGCTTGGAGGATTTCGTTGGAAACGGGATTACGTATAAAAAGTAGACAGCAGCATCCTCAGAAACTTCTTTGTGATGTGTGCATTCAAGTCACAGAGTTGAACATTCCCTTTTGTACAGCAGTTTTGAAACACTCTTTCTGTAGTATCTGGAAGTGAACATTAGGACAGCTTTCAGGTCTATGGTGAGAAAGAAAATATCTTCAAATAAAAACTAGACAAGAAGCATTCTCATAAACTTGTTTGTGATGTGTGAACTCATCTAACAGAGGTGGATCTTTCTTTTGATAGAGCAGTTCTGAAAAACACTTTTTGTTGAATCTGCAAGTGGACATTTGGATAGATTTGAAGATTTCGTTGGAAACGGGAATATCTTCATATAAAATCTAGACAGAAGCATTCTCAGAAACGTCTTTGTGATGTTTGCATTCAACTCATAGAGTTGAACATTCCCTTTCAGAGAGCAGCTTTGAAACACTCTTTTTGTAGTATGTGCAAGTGGATATTTGGAGCGCTCTGAGGCCTAAGGTGAAAAGGCAAATATCTTCCCATAACCACTAGACTTAAACATTCTCAGCAAACTCCTTTATGACGTATGCACTCACCTAACAGAAAAGAACCTTCCTTTTGACAGAGCAGTTTTGATACACTCTTTTTGTAGAATCTGCAAGTGGATATTTGGATAGCTGTGAAGATTTCGTTGGAAACGGGAATATCTTCCTATAAAATCTAGACAGAAGCATTCTCAGAAACTGCTCTGTGATGTCTGCATTCAAGTCACAGAGTTGAACATTGCCTTTCATAGAGCAGGTTTGAAACTCTCTTTTTGTAGTATATGGAAGTGGACGTTTCGGACGGTTTGAGGCCCATGGTGATAAAGGGAATATCTTCCCCTACAAGCTAGAAAGAAGCATTGTGTGAAACTTGTTTGTGATGTGTGTACTCAACTAACAGAGTTGAACCTTTCTTTTTACAGAGCAGTTTTAAAACACTCTTTTTGTAGAATCTGCGAGGGGATATTTGGATACATTTCAGGATTTCGTTGGAAACGGGAATATCTTCATATAAAATCTCGACAGAAGCATTCTCAGAAACTTCTTTGTGATATGTGCATTCAAGTCACAGAGTTGAATATTCCCTTTCACAGAGTAGGTTTGAAACACTCTTTTTGTAGTATTTGGATGTGGACATTTGGAGCGCCTTGACACCTACGGTGAAAAGGGAAATATCTTCCCATAAAAACTAGACAGAAGCAATCTCAGAATCTTCTTTGGGATATATGCACGCAGCAAACAGAGTTGAACCTTTCTATTGACTGAGCAGATTTGAAACAGTCTTTCTGTGGAATCTGCAAGTGGATATTTGGATAGCTTGGAGGATTTCGTTGGAAACGGGATTACGTATAAAAAGTAGACAGCAGCATCCTCAGAAACTTCTTTGTGATGTGTGCATTCAAGTCACAGAGTTGAACATTCCCTTTCGTACAGCAGTTTTGAAACACTCTTTCTGTAGTATCTGGAAGTGAACATTAGGACAGCTTTCAGGTCTATGGTGAGAAAGGAAATATCTTCAACTAAAAACTAGACAGAAGCATTCTCATAAACTTGTTTGTGATGTGTGAACTCAGCTAACAGAGGTGGATCTTTCTTTTGATAGAGCAGTTCTGAAAAACACTTTTTGTTGAATCTGCAAGTGGACATTTCGATAGATTTGAAGATTTCGTTGGAAACGGGAATATCTTCATATCAAATCTAGACAGAAGCATTCTCAGAAACGTCTTTGTGATGTTTGCATTCAACTCATAGAGTTGAACATTCCTTTTCAGAGAGCAGCTTTGAAGCACTCTTTTTGTACTATGTGCAAGTGGATATTTGGAGCGCTCTGAGGCCTACGGTGAAAAAGCAAATATCTTCCCATAACCACTAGACAGAAACATTCTCAGAAACTCCTTTATGACGTATGTACTCACCTAAGAGAGAAGAACCTTCCTTTTGACAGAGCAGTTTTGATACACTCTTTTTGTAGAATCTGCAAGTGGATATTTGGATAGCTGTGAAGATTTCGTTGGAAACGGGAATATCTTCCTATAAAATCTAGACAGAAGCATTCTCAGAAACTGCTCTGTGATGTCTGCATTCAAGTCACAGAGTTGAACATTGCCTTTCATAGAGCAGGTTTGAAACGCTCTTTTTGTAGTATATGGAAGTGGACTTTTCGGACGGTTTGAGGCCCATGGTAATAAAGGGAATATCTTCCCCTACAAGCTAGAAAGAAGCATTCTGTGAAACTTGTTTGTGATGTGTGTACTCAAGTAACAGAGTTGAACCTTTCTTTTTACAGAGCAGTTTTGAAACACTCTTTCTGTAGAATCTGCGAGGGGATATTTGGATAGATTTCAGGATTTCGTTGGAAACGGGAATATCTTCATATAAAACCTCGACAGAAGCATTCTCAGAAACTTCTTTGTGATATGTGCATTCAAGTCACAGAGTTGAATATTCGCTTTCACAGAGTAGGTTTGAAACACTCTTTTTGTAGTATCTGGAAGTGGACATTTGGAGCGCCTTGACGCCTACGGTGAAAAGGGAAATATCTTCCCATAAAAACTAGACAGAAGCAATCTCAGAATCTTCTTTGGGATATATGCACGCAGCTAACAGAGTTGAACCTTTCTATTGACAGAGCAGTTTTGAAACTGTCTTTCTGTGGAATCTGCAAGTGGATATTTGGATAGATTGGAGGATTTCGTTGCAAAGGGGATTACGTATAAAAAGTAGACAGCAGCATCCTCAGAAATCATTCTTTGTGATGTGTGCATTCAAGTCACAGAGTTGAACATTCCCTTTCGTACAGCAGTTTTGAAACACTCTTTCTGTAGTATCTGGAAGTGAACATTAGGACAGCTTTCAGGTCTATGGTGAGAAAGGAAATATCTTCAAATAAAAACTAGATAGAAAGCATTCTCATAAACTTGTTTGTGATGTGTGAACTCAGCTAACAGAGGCGGATCTTTCTTTTGATAGAGCAGTTCGGAAAAACACTTTTTGTTGAATCTGCAAGTGGACATTTGGATAGATTTGAAGATTTCGTTGGAAACGGGAATATCTTCATATCAAATCTAGACAGAAGCATTCTCAGAAACGTCTTTGCGATGTTTGCATTCAACTCATCGAGTTGAACATTCCGTTTCAGAGAGCAGCTTTGAGGCACTCTTTTTGTAGTATGTGCAAGTGGATATTTGGAGCGCTCTGAGGCCTACGGTGAAAAAGCAAATATCTTCCCATAACCACTAGACAGAAACATTCTCAGAAACTCCTTTATGACGTATGCACTCACCTAACAGAAAAGAACCTTCCTTTTGACAGAGCAGTTTAGATACACTCTTTTTGTAGAATCTGCAAGTGGATATTTGGATAGCTGTGAAGATTTCGTTGGAAACGGGAATATCTTCCTATAAAATCTAGACAGAAGCATTCTCAGAAACTGCTCTGTGATGTCTGCATTCAAGTCACAGAGTTGAACATTGCCTTTCATAGAGCAGGTTTGAAACACTCTTTTTGTAGTATATGGAAGTGGACATTTCGGACGGTTTGAGGCCCATGGTGATAAAGGGAATATCTTCCCCTACAAGCTAGAAAGAAGCATTCTGTGAAACTAGTTTGTGATGTGTGTACTCAACTAACAGAGTTGAACCTTTCTTTTTACAGAGCAGTATTGAAACACTCTTTTTGAAGAATCTGCGAGGGGATATTTGGATAGATTTCAGGATTTCGTTGGAAACGGGAATATCTTCATATAAAATCTCGACAGAAGCATTCTCAGAAACTTCTTTGTGATATCTGCATTCAAGTCACAGAGTTGAATATTCCCTTTCACAGAGTAGGTTTGAAACACTCTTTTTGTAGTATCTGGAAGTGGACATTTGGAGCACCTTGACACCTACGGTGAAAAGGGAAATATCTTCCCATAAATACTAGACAGAAGCAATCTCAGAATCTTCTTTGGGATATATGCACGCAGCTAACAGAGTTGAACCTTTCTATTGACAGAGCAGTTTTGAAACAGTCTTTCTGTGGAATCTGCAAGTGGACATTTGGATAGCTTGGAGGATTTCGTTGGAAACGGGATTACGTATAAAAAGTAGACAGCAGCATCCTCAGAAACTTCTTTGTGATGTGTGCATTCAAGTCACAGAGTTGAACATTCCCTTTCGTACAGCAGTTTTGAAACACTCTTTCTGTAGTATCTGGAAGTGAACACTAGGACAGCTTTCAGGTCTATGGTGAGAAAGGAAATATCTTCAAATAAAAACTAGACAGAAGCATTCTCATAAACTTGTTTGTGATGTGTGAACTCAGCTAACATAGGTGGATCTTTCTTTTGATAGAGCAGTTCTGAAAAACACTTTTTGTTGAATCTGCAAGTGGACATTTGGATAGATTTGAAGATTTCGTTGGAAACGGGAATATCTTCATATCAAATCTAGACAGAAGCATTCTCAGAAACGTCTTTGCGATGTTTGCATTCAACTCATAGAGTTGAACATTCCCTTTCAGAGAGCAGCTTTGAGGCACTCTTTTTGTAGTATGTGCAAGTGGATATTTGGAGCGCTCTGAGGCCTACGGTGAAAAAGCAAATATCTTCCCATAACCACTAGACAGAAACATTCTCAGAAACTTCTTTATGACGTATGTACTCAACTAGCAGAGAAGAACTTTCCTTTTGACAGAGCATTTTTGATACATTCTTTTTGTAGTATCTGCAAGTGGATATTTGGATAGCTGTGAAGATTTCCTTGGAAACGGGAATATCTTCCTATAAAGTCTGGACAGAAGCATTCTCAGAAACTGCTCTGTGATGTCTGCATTCAAGTCACAGAGTTGAACATTGCCTTTCATAGAGCAGGTTTCAAACACTCTTTTTTTAGTATATGGAAGTGGACGTTTCGGATGGTTTGAGGCCCATGGTGATAAAGGAAATATCTTCCCCTACAAGCTAGAAAGAAGCATTCTGTGAAACTTGTTTGTGATGTGTGTACTCAACTAATAGAGTTGAACCTTTCTTTTTACAGAGCAGTTTTGAAACACTCTTTTTGTAGAATCTGCGAGGGGATATTTGGATAGATTTCAGGATTTCGTTGGAAACGGGAATATCTTCATAGAAAATCTCGACAGAAGCATTCTCAGAAACTTCCTTGTGATATGTGCATTCAAGTCACAGAGTTGAATATTCCCTTTCACAGAGTAGGTTTGAAACACTCTTTTTGTAGTATCCGGAAGTGGACATTTGGAGCGCCTTGACGCCCACGGTGAAAAGGGAAATATCTTCCCATAAAAACTAGACAGAAGCAATCTCAGAATCTTCTTTGGGATATATGCACGCAACTAACAGAGTTGAACCTTTCTATTGACAGAGCAGTTTTGAAACAGTCTTTCTGTGGAATCTGCAAGTGGATATTTGGATAGCTTGGAGGATTTCGTTGGAAACGGGATTAGGTATAAAAAGTAGACAGCAGCATCCTCAGAAACTTCTTTGTGATGTGTGCATTCAAGTCACAGAGTTGAACATTCCCTTTCGTACAGCAGTTTTGAAACACTCTTTCTGTAGTATCTGGAAGTGAACATTAGGACAGCTTTCAGGTCTATGGTGAGAAAGGCAATATCTTCAAATAAAAACTAGACAGAAGCATTCTCATAAACTTGTTTGTGATGTGTGAACTCAGCTAACAGACGTGGATCTTTCTTTTGATACAGCAGTTTCGAAAAACACTTTTTGTTGAATCTGCAAGTGGACATTTGGATAGATTTGAAGATTTCGTTGGAAACGGGAATATCTTCATATCAAATCTAGACAGAAGCATTCTCAGAAACGTCTTTGTGATGTTTGCATTCAACTCATAGAGTTGAACATTCCGTTTCAGAGAGCAGCTTTGAAGCACTCTTTTTGTAGTATGTGCAAGTGGATATTTGGAGCGCTCTGAGGCCTACGGTGAAAAAGAAAATATCTTCCCATAACCACTAGACAGAAACATTCTCAGAAACTCCTTTATGACGTATGTACTCAACTAACAGAGAAGAACCTTCCTTTTGAAAGAGCAGTTTTGATACACTCTTTTTGTAGAATCTGCAAGTGGATATTTGGATAGCTGTGAAGATTTCTTTGGAAACGGGAATATCTTCCTATAAAATCTAGACAGAAAGCATTCTCAGAAACTGCTCTGTGATGTCTGCATTCAAGTCACAGAGTTGAACATTGCCTTTCATAGAGCAGGTTTGAAACGCTCTTTTTGTAGTATATGGAAGTGGATGTTTCGGACGGTTGGAGGCCCATGGTGATAAAGGGAATATCTTCCCCTACAAGCTAGAAAGAAGCATTGTGTGAAACTTGTTTGTGATGTGTGTACTCAACTAACAGAGTTGAACCTTTCTTTTTACAGAGCAGTTTTGAAACAATCTTTTTGTAGAATCTGCGAGGGGATATTTGGATAGATTTCAGGATTTCGTTGGAAACGGGAATATCTTCATATAAAATCTCGACAGAAAGCATTCTCAGAAACTTCTTTGTGATATGTGCATTCAAGTCACAGAGGTGAATATTCCCTTTCACAGAGTAGGTTTGAAACACTCTTTTTGTAGTATCTGGAAGTGGACATTTGGAGCGCCTTGACGCCTACGGTGAAAAGGGAAATATCTTCCCATAAAAACTAGACAGAAGCAATCTCAGAATCTTCTTTGGGATATATGCACGCAGCTAACAGAGTTGAACCTTTCTATTGACAGAGCAGTTTTGAAACAGTCTTTCTGTGGAATCTGCAAGTGGATATTTGGATAGCTTGGAGGATTTCGTTGGAAACGGGATTACGTATAAAAAGTAGACAGCAGCATCCTCAGAACCTCCTTTTGATGTGTGCATTCAAGTCACAGAGTTGAACATTCCCTTTCGTACAGCAGTATTGAAACACTCTTTCTGTAGTATCTGGAAGTGAACATTAGGACAGCTTTCAGGTCTATGGTGAGAAAGGAAATATCTTCAAATAAAAACTAGACAGAAGCATTCTCATAAACTTGTTTGTGATGTGTGAACTCAGCTAACAGAGGTGGATCTTTCTTTTGATAGAGCAGTTCGGAAAAACACTTTTTGTTGAATCTCCAAGTGGACATTTGGATAGATTTGAAGATTTCGTTGGAAACGGGAATATCTTTATATCAAATCTAGACAGAAGGCATTCTCAGAAACGTCTTTGTGATGTTTGCATTCAACTCATAGAGTTGAACATTCCCTTTCAGAGAGCAGCTTTGAAGCACTCTTTTTGTAGTATGTGCAAGGGGATATTTGGAGCGCTCTGAGGCCTAAGGTGAAAAAGCAAATATCTTCCCATAACCACTAGACAGAAACATTCTCAGAAACTCCTTTATGACGTATGCACTCACCTAACAGAGAAGAACCTTCCTTTTGACAGAGCAGTTTTGATACACTCTTTTTGTAGAATCTGCAAGTGGATATTTGGATTGCTGTGAAGATTTCGTTGGAAACGGGAATATCTTCCTATAAAATCTAGACAGAAGCATTCTCAGAAACTGCTCTGTGATGTCTGCATTCAAGTCACAGAGTTGAACATTGCCGTTCATAGAGCAGGTTTGAAACACTCTTTTTGTAATATATGGAAGTGGACGTTTCGGACGGTTTGAGGCCCATGGTGATAAAGGGAATATCTTCCCATACAAGCTAGAAAGAAGCATTGTGTGAAACTTGTTTGTGATGTGTGTACTCAACTAACAGAGTTGAACCTTTC
Source organism: Homo sapiens (assembly GCF_000001405.40). NCBI lineage: Eukaryota > Metazoa > Chordata > Mammalia > Primates > Hominidae > Homo > Homo sapiens. The sequence continues at coordinate 17,172,859 of NC_000013.11, forward strand.
TTTTTACAGAGTAGTTTTGAAACACTCTTTTTGTAGAATCTGCGAGGGGATATTTGGATACATTTCAGGATTTCGTTGGAAACGGGAATATCTTCATATAAAATCTCGACAGAAGCATTCTCAGAAACTTCTTTGTGATATGTGCATTCAAGTCACAGAGTTGAATATTCCCTTTCACAGAGTAGGTTTGAAACACTCTTTTTGTAGTATCTGGAAGTGGACATTTGGAGCGCCTCGACGCCTACCCTGAAAAGGGAAATATCTTCCCATAAAAACTAGACAGAAGCAATCTCAGAATCTTCTTTGGGATATATGCACGCAGCTAACAGAGTTGAACCTTTCTATTGACAGAGCAGTTTTGAAACAGTCTTTCTGTGGAATCTGCAAGTGGATATTTGGATAGCTTGGAGGATTTCGTTGGTAACGGGATTACGTATAAAAATTAGACAGCAGCATCCTCAGAAACTTCCTTGTGATGTGTGCATTCAAGACACAGAGTTGAACATTCCCTTTCGTACAGCAGTTTTGAAACACTCTTTCTGTAGTATCTGGAAGTGAACATTAGGAGAGCTTTCAGGTCTATAATTAGAAAGGAAATATCTTCAAATAAAAACTAGACAGAAGCATTCTCATAAACTTGTTTGTGATGTGTGAACTCAGCTAACAGAGGTGGATATTTCTTTTGATAGAGCAGTTCTGAAAAACACTTTTTGTTGAATCTGCAAGTGGACATTTGGATAGATTTGAAGATTTCGTTGGAAACGGGAATATCTTCATATCAAATCTAGACAGAAGCATTCTCAGAAACGTCTTTGCGATGTTTGCATTCAACTCATAGAGTTGAACATTCCGTTTCAGAGAGCAGCTTTGAGGCACTCTTTTTGTAGTATGTGCAAGTGGATATTTGGAGCGCTCTGAGGCCTACGGTGAAAAAGCAAATATCTTCCCATAACCACTAGTCAGAAACATTCTCAGAAACTCCTTTATGACGTATGCACTCACCTAACAGAGAAGAACCTTCCTTTTGACAGAGCAGTTTTGATACACACTTTTTGTAGAATCTGCAAGTGGATATTTGGATAGCTGTGAAGATTTCGTTGGAAACGGGAATATCTTCCTATAAAATCTAGAAAGAAGCATTCTCAGAAACTGCTCTGTGATGTCTGCATTCAAGTCACAGAGTTGAACATTGCCTTTCATAGAGCAGGTTTGAAACGCTCTTTTTGTAGTATATGGAAGTGGACGTTTCGGACGGTTGGAGGCCCATGGTGATAAAGGGAATATCTTCCCCTACAAGCTAGAAAGAAGCATTCTGTGAAACTTGTTTGTGATGTGTGTACTCAACTAACAGAGTTGAACCTTTCTTTTTACAGAGCAGTTTTGAAACACTCTTTTTGTAGAATCTGCGAGGGGATATTTGGATAGATTTCAGGATTTGGTTGGAAACTGGAATATCTTCATATAAAATCTCGACAGAAGCATTCTCAGAAACTTCTTTGTGATATGTGCATTCAACTCACAGAGTTGAATATTCCCTTTCACAGAGTAGGTTTGAAACACTCTTTTTGTAGTATCTGGAAGTGGACATTTGGAGCGCCTTGACGCCTACGGTGAAAAGGGAAATATCTTCCCATAAAAACTAGACAGAAGCAATCTCAGAATCTTCTTTGGGATATATGCACGCAGCTAACAGAGTTGAACCTTTCTATTGACAGAGCAGTTCTTAAACAGTCTTTCTGTGGAATCTGCAAGTGGATATTTGGATAGCTTGGAGGATTTCGTTGGAAACGGGATTACGTATAAAAAGTAGACAGCAGCATCCTCAGAAACTTCTTTGTGATGTGTGCATTCAAGTCACAGAGTTGAACATTCCCTTTCATACAGCAGTTTCTGAAACACTCTTTCTGTAGTATCTGGAAGTGAACTTTAGGACAGCTTTCAGGTCTATAGTGAGAAAGGATATATCTTCAAATAAAAACTAGACAGAAGCATTCTCATAAACTTGTTTGTGATGTGTGAACTCAGCTAACAGACGTGGATCTTTCTTTTGATACAGCAGTTTTGTAAAACACTTTTTGTTGAATCTGCAAGTAGACATTTGGATAGATTTGAAGATTTCGTTGGAAACGGGAATATCTTCATATCAAATCTAGACAGAAGCATTCTCAGAAACGTCTTTGCGATGTTTGCATTCAACTCATAGAGTTGAACATTCCGTTTCAGAGAGCAGCTGTGAGGCACTCTTTTTGTAGTATGTGCAAGTGGATATTTGGAGCGCTCTGAGGCCTACGGTGAAAAAGCAAATATCTTCCCATAACCACTAGACAGAAACATTCTCAGATACTCCTTTATGACGTATGCACTCACCTAACAGAGAAGAACCTTCCTTTTGACAGAGCAGTTTTGATACACTCTTTTTGTAGAATCTGCAAGTGGATATTTGGATAGCTGTGAAGATTTCGTTGGAAACGGGAATATCTTCCTATAAAATCTAGACAGAAGCATTCTCAGAAACTGCTCTGTGATGTCTGCATTCAAGTCACAGAGTTGAACATTGACTTTCGTAGAGCAGGTTTGAAACGCTCTTTTTGTAGTATATAAAAGTGGACGTTTCGGACGGTTTGAGGCCCATGGTGATAAAGGGAATATCTTCCCCTACAAGCTAGAAAGAAGCATTCTGTGAAACTTGTTTGTGATGTGTGTACTCAACTAACAGAGTTGAATCTTTCTTTTTACAGAGCAGTTTTGAAACACTCTTTTTGTAGAATCTGCGAGGGGATATTTGGATAGATTTCAGGATTTCGTTGGAAACGGGAATATCTTCATATAAAATCTCGACAGAAGCATTCTCAGAAACTTCTTTGTGATATCTGCATTCAAGTCACAGAGTTGAATACTCCCTTTCACAGAGTAGGTTTGAAACACTCTTTTTGTAGTATCTGGAAGTGGACATTTGGAGCGCCTTGACGCCTACGGTGAAAAGGGAAATATCTTCCCATAAAAACTAGACAGAAGTAATCTCAGAAACTTCTTTGGGATATATGCACGCAGCTAACAGAGTTGAACCTTTCTATTGACAGAGCAGTTTTGAAACAGTCTTTCTGTGGAATCTGCAAGTGAATATTTGGATAGTTTGGAGGATTTCGTTGGAAACGGGATTACGTATAAAAAGTAGACAGCAGCATCCTCAGAAACATCCTTGTGATGTGTGCATTCAAGTCACAGAGTTGAACATTCCCTTTCGTACAGCAGTTTTGAAACACTCTTTCTGTAGTAACTGGAAGTGAACATTAGGACAGCTTTCAGGTCTATGGTGAGAAAGGAAATATCTTCAAATAAAAACTAGACGGAAGCATTCTCATAAACTTGTTTGTGATGTGTGAACTCAGCTAACAGAGGTGGAACTTTCTTTTGATAGAGCAGTTCTGAAAAACACTTTTTGTTGAATCTGCAAGTGGACATTTGGATAGATTTGAAGATTTCGTTGGAAACGGGAATATCTTCATATCAAATCTAGACAGAAGCATTCTCAGAAACGTCTTTTGTGATGTTTGCATTCAACTCATAGAGTTGAACATTCCGTTTCAGAGAGCAGCTTTGAGGCACTCTTTTTGTAGTATGTGCAAGTGGATATTTGGAGCGCTCTGAGGCCTTCGGTGAAAAAGCAAATATCTTCCCATAACCACTAGACAGAAACATTCTCAGAAACTACTTTATGACGTATGTACTCAACTAACAGAGAAGAACCTTCCTTTTGACAGAGCAGTTTTGATACACTCTTTTTGTAGAATCTGCAAGTGTATATTTGGATAACTGTGAAGATTTCGTTGGAAACGGGAGTATCTTCCTATAAAATCTAGACAGAAGCATTCTCAGTAAACTGCTCTGTGATGTCTGCATTCAAGTCACAGAGTTGAACATTGCCTTTCCTAGAGCAGGTTTGAAACGCTCTTTTTGTAGTATATGGAAGTGGACGTTTCGGACGGTTGGAGGCCCATGGTGATAAAGGGAATATCTTCCCCTACAAGCTAGAAAGAAGCATTCTGTGAAACTTGTTTGTGATGTGTGTACTCAACTAACAGGGTTGAACCTTTCTTTTTACAGAGCAGTTTTGAAACAATCTTTTTGTAGAATCTGCGAGGGGATATTTGGATAGATTTCAGGATTTCGTTGGAAACGGGAATATCTTCATATAAAATCTCGACAGAAGCATTCTCAGAAACTTCTTTGTGATATCTGCCTTTAAGTCACAGAGTTGAATATTCCCTTTCACAGAGTAGGTTTGAAACACTCTTTTTGTAGTATCTGGAAGTGGACATTTGGAGCCCCTTGACACCTACGGTGAAAAGGGAAATATCTTCCCATAAAAACTAGACAGAAGCAATCTCAGAATCTTCTTTGGGATATATGCACGCAGTTAACAGAGTTGAACCTTTCTATTGACAGAGCAGTTTTGAAACAGTCTTTCTGTGGAATCTGCAAGTGGATATTTGGATAGATTGGAGGATTTCGTTGGAAACGGGATTACGTATAAAAAGTAGACAGCAGCATCCTCAGAAACTTCTTTGTGATGTGTGCATTCAAGTCACAGAGTTGAACATTCCCTTTCGTACAGCAGTTTTGAAACACTCTTTCTGTAGTATCTGGAAGTGAACATTATGACAGCTTTCAGCTCTATGGTGAGAAAGGAAATATCTTCAAATAAAAACTAGACAGAAGCATTCTCATAAACTTGTTTGTGATGTGTGAACTCAGCTAACAGAGGTGGATCTTTCTTTTCATAGAGCAGTTCTGAAAAACACTTTTTGTTGAATCTGCAAGTGGACATTTGGATAGATTTGAAGATTTCGTTGGAAACGGGAATATCTTCATATCAAATCTAGACAGAAGCATTCTCAGAAACGTCTTTGTGATGTTTGCATTCAACTCATAGAGTTGAACATTCCGTTTCAGAGAGCAGCTTTGAAGCACTCTTTTTGTAGTATGTGCAAGTGGATATTTGGAGCGCTCTGAGGCCTACGGTGAAAAAGCAAATATCTTCCCATAACCACTATACAGAAACATTCTCAGAAACTCCTTTATGACGTATGCACTCACCTAACAGAGAAGAACCTTCCTTTTGACAGAGCAGTTTTGATACACTCTTTTTGTAGAATCTGCAAGTGGATATTTGGATAGCTGTGAAGATTTCTTTGGAAACGGGAATATCTTCCTATAAAATCTAGACAGAAGCATTCTCAGGAACTGCTCTGCCGATGTCTGTATTCAAGTCACAGAGTTGAACATTGCCTTTCATAGAGCAGGTTTGAAACGCTCTTTTTGTAGTATATGGAAGTGGACGTTTCGGACGGTTTGAGGCCCATGGTGATAAAGGGAATATCTTCCCCTACAAGCTAGAAAGAAGCATTCTGTGAAACTTGTTTGTGATGTGTGTACTCAACTAACAGAGTTGAACCTTTCTTTTTACAGAGCAGTTTTGAAACACTCTTTTTGTAGAATCTGCGAGGGGATATTTTGATACATTTCAGCATTTCATTGGAAACGGGAATATCTTCATATAAAATCTCGACAGAAGCATTCTCAGAAACTTATTTGTGATATGTGCATTCAAGTCACAGAGTTGAATATTCCCTTTCACAGAGTAGGTTTGAAACACTCTTTTTGTAGTATCTGGAAGTGGACATTTGGAACGCCTTGACACCTATGGTGAAAAGGGAAATATCTTCCCATAAAAACTAGACAGAAGCAATCTCAGAATCTCCTTTGGGATATATGCACGCAGCTAACAGAGTTGAACCTTTCTATTGACAGAGCAGTTTTGAAACAGTCTTTCTGTGGAATCTGCAAGTGGATATTTGGATAGCTTGGAGGATTTCGTTGGAAACGGGATTACGTATAAAAAGTAGACAGCAGCATCCTCAGAAACTTCTTTGTGATGTGTGCATTCAAGTCACAGTAGTTGAACATTCCCTTTCGTACAGCAGTTTTGAAACACTCTTTCTGTAGTAACTGGAAGTGAACATTAGGACAGCTTTCAGGTCTATGGTGAGAAAGGAAATATCTTCAAATAAAAACTAGACAAAAGCATTCTCATAAACTTGTTTGTGATGTGTGAACTCAGCTAACAGAGGTGGATCTTTCTTTTGATAGAGCAGTTCTGAAAAACACTTTTTGTTGAATCTGCAAGTGGACATTTGGATAGATTTGAAGATTTCGTTGGAAACGGGAATATCTTTATATCAAATCTAGACAGAAGCATTCTCAGAAACGTCTTTGTGATGTTTGCATTCAACTAATAGAGTTGAACATTCCGTTTCAGAGAGCAGCTTTGAGGCACTCTTTTTGTAGTATGTGCAAGTGGATATTTGGAGCGCTCTGAGGCCTACGGTGAAAAAGCAAATATCTTCCCATAACCACTAGACAGAAACATTCTCAGAAACTCCTTTATGACGTATGCACTCACCTAACAGAGAAGAACCTTCCTTTTGACACAGCAGTTTTGATACACTCTTTTTGTAGAATCTGCAAGTGGATATTTGGATAGCTGTGAAGATTTCGTTGGAAACGGGAATATCTTCCTATAAAATCTAGACAGAAGCATTCTCAGAAACTGCTCTGTGATGTCTGCATTCAAGTCACACAGTTGAACATTGCCTTTCATAGAGCAGGTTTGAAACGCTCTTTTTGTAGTATATGGAAGTGGATGTTTCGGACGGTTGGAGGCCCATGGTGATAAAGGGAATATCTTCCCCTACAAGCTAGAAAGAAGCATTCTGTGAAACTTGTTTGTGATGTGTGTACTCAATTAACAGAGTTGAACCTTTCTTTTTACAGAGCAGTTTTGAAACACTCTTTTTGTAGAATCTGTGAGGGGATATTTGGATAGATTTCAGGATTTTGTTGGAAACGGGAATATCTTCATATAAAATCTCGACAGAAGCAATCTCAGAATCTTCTTTGGGATGTATGCACGCAGCTAACAGAGTTGAACCTTTCTATTGACAGAGCAGTTTTGAAAGAGTCTTTCTGTGGAATCTGCAAGTGGATATTTGGATAGCTTGGAGGATTTCGTTGGAAACGGGATTACGTATAATAAGTAGACAGCAGCATCCTCAGAAACTTCTTTGTGATGTGTGCATTCAAGTCACAGAGTTGAACATTCCCTTTCGTACAGCAGTTTTGAAACACTCTTTCTGTAGTATCTGGAAGTGAACATTAGGACAGCTTTCAGGTTTATGGTGAGAAAGGAAATATCTTCAAATAAAAACTAGACAGAAGCATTCTCATAAACTTGTTTGTGATGTGTGAACTCAGCTAACAGACGTGGATCTTTCTTTTGATAGAGCAGTTCTGAAAAACACTTTTTGTTGAATCTGCAAGTGGACATTTGGATAGATTTGAAGATTTCGTTGGAAACGGGAATATCTTCATATCAAATCTAGACAGAAGCATTCTCAGAAACGTCTTTGTGATGTTTGCATTCAACTCATAGAGTTGAACATTCCCTTTCAGAGAGCAGCTTTGAAGCACTCTTTTTGTAGTCTGTGCAAGTGGATATTTGGAGCGCTCTGAGGCCTACGGTGAAAAAGCAAATATCTTCCCATAACCACTAGACAGAAACATTCTCAGAAACTCCTTTATGACGTATGCACTTACCTAACAGAGAAGAACCTTCCTTTTGACAGAGCAGTTTTGATACACTCTTTTTGTAGAATCTGCAAGTGGATATTTGGATAGCTGTGAAGATTTCGTTGGAAACGGGAATATCTTCCTATAAAATCTAGACAGAAGCATTCTCAGAAACTGCTCTGTGATGTCTGCATTCAAGTCACAGAGTTGAACATTGCCTTTCATAGAGCAGGTTTCAAACACTGTTTTTTTAGTATGTGGAAGTGGACGTTTCGGACGGTTTGAGAACCATGGTGATAAAGGAAATATCTTCCCCTACAAGCTAGAAAGAAGCATTCTGTGAAACTTGTTTGTGATGTGTGTAGTCAACTAACAGAGTTGAACCTTTCTTTTTACAGAGCAGTTTTGAAACACTCTTTTTGTAGAATCTGCGAGGGGATATTTGGATAGATTTCAGGATTTCGTTGGAAACGGGAATATCTTCATATAAAATCTCGACAGAAGCATTCTCAGAAACTTCTTTGTGATATGTGCATTCAAGTCACAGAGTTGAATATTCCCTTTCACAGAGTAGGTTTGAAACACTCTTTTTGTAGTATCTGGAAGTGGACATTTGGCGCGCCTTGACACCTACGGTGAAAAGGGAAATATCTTCCCATAAAAACTAGACAGAAGCAATCTCAGAATCTTCTTTGGGATATATGCACGCAGTTATCAGAGTTGAACCTTTCTATTGACAGAGCAGTTTTGAAACAGTCTTTCTGTGGAATCTGCAAGTGGATATTTGGATAGCTTGGAGGATTTCGTTGGAAACGGGATTACGTATAAAAAGTAGACAGCAGCATCCTCAGAAACTTCTTTGTGATGTGTGCATTCAAGTCACAGCAGTTGAACATTCCCTTTCATACAGCAGTTTTGAAACACTCTTTCTGTAGTAACTGGAAGTGAACATTAGGACAGCTTTCAGGTCTATGGTGAGAAAGGAAATATCTTCAAATAAAAACTAGACAGAAGCATTCTCATAAACTTGTTTGTGATGTGTGAACTCGGCTAACACAGGTGGATCTTTCTTTTGATTGAGCAGTTCTGAAAAACACTTTTTGTTGAATCTGCAAGTGGACATTTGGATAGATTTGAAGATTTCGTTGGAAACGGGAATATCTTCATATCAAATCTAGAGAGAAGCATTCTCAGAAACGTCTTTGTGATGTTTGCATTCAACTCATAGAGTTGAACATTCCCTTTCAGAGATCAGCTTTGAAGCACTCTTTTTGTAGCATGTGCAAGTGGACATTTGGAGCGCCCTGAGGCCTACGGGGAAAAAGCAAATATCTTCCCATAACCACTAGACAGAAACATTCTCAGAAACTCCTTTATGACGTATGTACTCAACTAACAGAGAAGAACCTTCCTTTTGACAGAGCATTTTTGATACACTCTTTTTGTAGAATCTGCAAGTGGATATTTGGATAGCTGTGAAGATTTCATTGGAAACGGGAATATCTTCCTATAAAATCTAGACAGAAGTATTCTCAGAAACTGCTCTGTGATGTCTGCATTCAAGTCACAGAGTTGAACATTGCCTTTCATAGAGCAGGTTTGAAACCCTCTTTTTGTAGTATATGGAAGTGGACGTTTCGGACGGTTTGAGGCCCATGGTGATAAAGGGAATATCTTCCCCTACCA